>NC_000016.10:67592803-67895833 GCF_000001405.40 Homo sapiens | reverse complement strand
GGAGTCCACAAGGCAAGGCCTTCTCACTGGACAAAGGAGACAACAGTTTTCTTAGGCAATGACAAAGATCTTCAATGAGGAAGCACAGTAAAGTTACCTGGGAAGTTTTCTCAAAATACAGATACCTGGCCAGACATGGTGGCTCACGCCTGTAATCCCAGCACTTTGGGAGGCTGAGACGGGTGGATCACGAGGTCAAGAGTTCAAGACCAGCCTGGCCAACAGGATGAAATCCCGTCTCTACTAAGAATACAAAAATTAGCTGGGCGTGGTGATGCGTGATTGTAATCCCAGCTACTCGGGAGGCTGAGGCAGGAGAATCGCTTGAACCTGGGAGGCGGAGGTTGCAGTGAGCCGAGATCGCACCACTGCACTCCAGCCTGGGTGTCAGAGCAAGACTCCATCTCAGAAAAAAAAAAAAAATACAGATTCCTACCCCAGATCTTCTTCATCAAAATCTCAAAGAGTGGGTCAGGTGTGGTGGCTCTTGCCTGTAACCCTAAAACTTCGGGAGGCCAAGGTGGGAGGACTGCTTGAGCCCAGGAGTTCGACACCAGCCTCGGCAACATGGCGAGACCTCGTCTCTGTTTAAACAAAAAAAAAAAAATCTCAGCCAGGCATAGTGGCTTATGCCTGCAACCCTAGCACTTTGGGAGGCCGAGGCAGGTGGATCACCTGAGGTCAGGAGTTCGAGACCAGCCTGGCCAACACGGTGAAACACCATCTCTACTAAAAATACAAAATTAGCTGGGCATAGTGGTGCTTGCCTGTAACCCCAGCTACTCTGGGGGCTGAGGCAGGAGAATCACTTGAACCTGGGGGGTAGAGGTTGCAGTGAGCCAAGATCGCGCCATTGCTCCAGCCTGGGCAAAAAGAGCAAAACTCCGTCTCAAAAAAAAAAAAAAAAAAAAACTAACTCAGACAGTAAGGCTCTTGATTTTGTATCACAAAATTATCCCAGGAGATTTTGGACTATCCAGGATTAAGAGGCTGTACTACCTACCACACACATACGCTGGCATTTGCTGTGCTCATCTTAGATCCTAGCCCTGATAGGTGCTCAAAAATACAGTTGAATCTATCCATTCATAAGTCAGCATTCAGCAAATGCTACTGGAGGCTAGCCCCTATTTTATGCCAGGCACAGAGCCAGACATATGCAGACAGAAGACCACCATGTGACACAACAGGATGTACTCAATAGTAGCAGCATGGATATAGAGGAGTTAATGGTTACATGCCAAGCAAGGTAGATTTTTTTCCTAGGAAGTGACATCTCAGGTGGATTTTATAGGACAGATGTAAGTTTCCAACACTGGTAGGTGGTCGGTGGGGTGGAAGGCAGTGTATAGCAAACTGAGAAAACTGCGTTATCTAAAGCACAAGGGGACCAAGCACAGTGGCTCACGCTTGTATTAATAATCTCAATATGTTAGGAGCCTAGGCAGGAGGGTCTCTTGAAGCCAGCTCTGGCAACAAAGCCAGACTCCCTGGCTCTACAAAAAATTTTAAACTTAGCCAGGCGTGGAGGGGAGTGCCTCTTGTCTCAGCTACTCGGGAGGTTGAGGCGGGAGGATCATTTGAGTCCAGGAGTTCAAGGCTGCAGTGAGCTATGAATGAGCCATTGCACTCCAGCTTGGGCAATAGAGGCCTTGTCTCAAAATTAGTAATACTAAAACACAAAGGTATGAAACCAGAGCTAACAGGAGCGCCACACGTTTTAACAACAATAAACTACGTAAAGGGAGCACAGAAGTGCTCCGGTGTTGATTGGCTGGTTAAACCTTCACCAGATTACGAAGAGCCCTGAATGCCTTGCTAAGAAGTGCGGCCTTTGTCCTGAAGGCACTAAGGAACTAGTTTCAGGCAGTGAAGGACTTACTCAGATTTTCAGGTGGGAATTATCACTTCAGCCGCTTTATGGAGGGGGACTAAGTGTGGGGGACTAGGCTTCCCCTTGCAGGTAGAGGAATGACAAGCTTGCCAAGCAAGCAACCCAGCTGGACTCAGACCTGCTATTTCCCAGCCTGCACAAGGAAGCGATCAGCTGCCCCGCCGGCCCCTGGCAGACGCAAAGGAGGGGTGTGGAGTAGGCGCCGGGCGCGAGAAGGCAGTAAGGACAAGGACAACCAGGTTGGATCAACCTGACCCGCTCTGGACGCGGGGCGGCTGAACAGCAAGCAGGCAGGGCAACCGACCACGTCCACCAGGCCCAAGCGGGCCTGGAGACGGGCTATCCAGCACGACAGCACGTTCCGAGGCCAGTCCAGACTCGGACGCCGGGAACCCGAGCAGCCATCGCCCGGCCTGCTCTCCAACCCTGTAGGCCCTGGCGCACGGGGCACGGGCCGACGCTGCAGGCTGACCAGGGGCAGGCCCCGGAGCGCCAGAAAGCGACCACGACCACAGTTCGGCTGCCCCTCCCGCCCGTCGGGCCGTCGTCCTGGGCCGGGCCGCCTCACCTCGCGCGGGCGGCGGGCTCTTCGGCGTCTCGGCGGCTCTGCCGGCCATCTCCGGGCAATGGCAGCGGCCGCCGCCGCCGCCGCCGCCGCCGCCATTCTCGGGCGTTAGCGTCGTGGCGTCATCACAGCGCGCAGCTGACGCCAAAACAAGCCTACGGGGCGGGTCGGGGGCGGGTCGGGGGCGGACTCTCCCGAAACTGGGCTACGCGGCTGGCGGATCTCCGAGCGTGGCCTGCCAATCAACCTCTTCGGGGCGGGGACGGGCACTCTCCTGAAGGGGTGGGTCTATTTGTCGCTCAAAGTAACTTGACCGCTGCCTGCGAGACGGGTCGGTGATAGAAAAAGGAAGGATCGCGGGAAATAGGGAGAAAGTTTCAAGTTTCTGGTTGGGGGAAAGGGGACTCTGTAATGCGAGCTTGGGTAAACAATGCTTTCCAACAGAGGTTTCTGGAAGTGCCTCTGGAACTCCGCAAAGGATAGACTTAATTTTCATTAACAAAATCTATTTTTTAAAACTGCACTTAGAATAATTTCAACACTCCATGTGTTGAATTTGGCCTCCATCAAAGAAGAGATGCAAAGGGTTAATTTGTAGATAGGTGAAGTCAATCTTGGGCCAACTTCTGGACTCATGGTTATTTGTTGTTGTTAATTTAATTTATATGCCGAGTCTGAAAAGCAAGCGGATTTTTAAAAAATTGTTACCATTCACAATGACTTCTCTATAGGATCAGAACTGGTTCACTTTACAGTCAACCCAACTTGGAGGGGTTAAAATAGGTGCTGCAGATGGTAAGTGCATTGTAACCTCCATCCATCTTCCCCATTTCAGTAGCTCTGTATTCAAATCTTTATTGAGTATGTACTTTGCACATGGAACTGTCTTTGATTGACTGTATAAGCTAATGTTATACTTTAAACCTAAAAATAAATTAACACCAATAAAACATTGTCGTCGGCTGGGCGCCACTGCTCACACTTGTAATCCCAGCACTTTGGGAGGCCAAGGCAGGTGGATCACCTGAAGTCAGGAGTTTGAGACCAGTCTGACCAACAAGGTGAAACCCTGTCTCTACTAAAAATACAAAAATTAGCCAGGCTTGGTGGCAGGCTCCTGTAGTCCCAGCTACTCGGGAGGCTGAGACAGGAGAATAGCTACAACCTGGGAGACAGAGGTTGCAATGAGCTGAGATTGCACCACTGCACTCCAGCCTTGGCGATGGAGTGAGACTCCGTCTCAAAAAAAAAAAAAAAATTGTTGTCTATTTTATGTAGTAAGGTTTCTTTCTTTTCTTTTTTCCTGAGATGGAGTTTCGCTCTTGTTGTCAGGCTGGAGTGCAATGGCACAATCTCGGCTCACTGCAACCTCTGCCTCCCAAGTTCAAGCAATTCTCCTGCCTCAGCCTCCCCGAGTAGCTGGGATTACAGGCGCCTGCCACCATGCCCGGTTAATTTTCTTTATTTTTATTTTTATTTTTATTTTTATTTTTATTTTTATTTTTTTTGAGAAAGAGTCTCGCTTTGTCACCCAGGCTAGAGTGCAGTGGCGCAGTCTCGGCTCACTGCAAGCTCCGCCTCCTGGGTTCACGCCATTCTCCTGCCTCAGCCTCCCGAGTAGCTGGGACTATTGGCGCCCACCACTGTGCCCAGCTAATTTTTTGTATTTTTAGTAGAGACGGGGTTTCACCATGTTAGTCAGGATGGTCTCGATCTCCTGACCTCGTGATCCGCCCGCCTCGGCCTCCCAAAGTGCTGGGATTACAGGCGTGAGCCACCATGCCCAGCCGTAGTAAGGTTTCTTACAAGATTTCATTTAAAAAGAACAATGGTGGCCCAGCGCGGTGCCTCACGCGCCTGTAATCCCAGCACTTTGGGAGGCCCAGGTGAGCAGACCACCTGAGGTCAGGAGTTGGAGACCAGCCTGGCCAACATGGTGAAACCCCATTGCTACCAAAAATACAAAAATTAGCTAGGCGTGGTGGCAGGCGCCTGTAATCCCAGCTACTTGGGAGGCTGAGGCAGGAGAATTGCTTGAACCTGGGAGGCAGAGGTTGCAGTAAGCCGAGATCACGCCATTGCACTCCAGCCTGGGCGAGAAGAGTAAAACTCCATCTCAAAAAAAAAAAAAAGTTAAAAAATTGTTTCCAAAAGTCTAGTGCAATAATTAAGGGTATAGACTTTGGTGCCAAACATACCTGGGATCAAATCCCAGCTCTGACACTTCCAGAGCTGTTTGACTTTAAGCAAGACATCTGCCTCATCAGCCTCATTTTATTTTTTAAATTTTGGCCAGGTTGGTCTTGAATTCCTGACCTCAGGTGATCCACTGGCCTCAGCCTCCCAAAATCCTGGGATTACAGGCGTGAGCCACTGCACCTGGCCTTTTTAATTTTTTTAATAGAGACAGGGTCTTGCTCTGTCATCCAGGCTGGAGTGCATGGCAGCAATCAAAGCTCACTGTAACCTCGAACTCCTAGGCTCAAGGGATCCTCCTGCCTCTGGAACAGGAATTAAAAGAAATTAAAGAATGTGTAAGTAGAAACTCAGTTGTATGTAAGAAAACCCAATTCCCCCTGAGAAAGAGAAAGAGCTGGAGTTCTTTAAAAATTAACTGCCTGTTTTTCTGTGGCTAGGAAGCCTTATCTCTCCTCCTTTCCCAGGCATTGTGAAGACCCTGTTTCACTAGCTGTGCAGTTACAAGGTCACTAGACAGATAAACTCAAGTCGTAAAACATGCTTCTCCTTGAAAAGTAAGAAATGATGTAATGCGGCCGGGCACAGTGGCTCACGCCTGTAATCCCAGCACTTTGGGAGGCCGAGGCGGGCGGATCACGAGGTCAGGAGTTCGAGACCAGCCTGGCCAACATGGTGAAACCCTGTCTGTACTAAAAATACAAAAATTAGCTGGGTGTGGTGGCGCGTGCCTGTAATCCCAGCTACCCAGGAGGCTGAGGCAGGAGAACTGCTTGAACCGGGACCCGGGAGGCAGAGGTTGCAGTGAGCTGAGATCACGCCATTGCACTCCAGCCTGGGCAACAAGAGTGAAACTCTGTCTCAAAAAAAAAAAAAAAAAAAAGAAATGATGTAATGCATGTCTCAATTAATTTAATAACTGTCTTTGTTTCTTGCTTCTGTAATATGCTTCCCCCTGCACAGATCTCCCCCCACCCCACAAAATGCTTAAAAGGTAACTTAACTCTTTGTTCAGGGCTCAGTCCTTTGGATGTTAATCTGACTGGGCCGATGCACCTAAATAATTAATAAATATCCTCCTGAACCCCACTGGTCTCTCTGATTCCTTAAAATCCCGCTACACCTCGGCCTCCCAAATAGCTGAGTCTACAGGCATGCACCACCATGCCTGACTTGCTTATTTATTTATGTATTTTGAGACGGAGTTTCGCTCTTGTTTTCCAGGCTGGAGTGCAACTGCACGATCTCGGCTCACCGCAACCTCCGCCTCCTGGGTTCAAGCGATTCTCCTGCCTCAGCCTCCCAAAGTGCTGGGATTACAGGCATGAGCTATTGTGCCCGGCCTAATTTTGTATTTTTAGTAGAGACAGGGTTTCTTCATGTCGGTCAGGCTGGTCTCGAACTCTCAACCTCAGGTGATCCGCCAGCCTCGACCTCCCAAAGCACTGGGATTATAGGCCTGAGCCACCATGCCTGGCCTATTTATTTAGACAGGGCCTTAAGTTATCCTCCCACCTCAGCCTTCCAAGGTGCTGGGATTACAGGCATGGACCACTGCGCTGGGCCATAAGCCTCATTTTTATTTTTCTTTTTTTTTTTTTTTTTTTTTGAGATGGAGTTTCACTCTTGTTGCCCAGGCTAGAGTGCAATGGCATGATCTCAGCTCACTGCAACCTCTGCCTTCTGGGTTCAAGCAATTCTCCTGCCTCAGCCTCCTGAGTAGCTGAGATTACAGGCATGCACCACCACACCCAGCTAATTCTAATTTTTTGTATTTTTAGTAGAGACAGGGTTTCTCCATGTTGGTCAGGCTGGTCTCGAACTCCCAACCTCAGGTGATCCACCCGCCTCGGCCTCCCAAAGTGCAGGGGTTACAGGCATGAGCCACCATGCCCGGCCCATAAGCCTCATTTTTCTTAGCTATATAATGAGGATAGCTCTGTGCTTGTAATCTCAACACTTTGGGTGGCTGAGGGAGGAGGATCATTTAAGGTCAAGAGTTCGAGACCAGCCAGGGTGACATAATGAGACCCTGTCTCTGCAAAAATATAAAATTAGCTGGGTTTAGTAGCACAGACCTATAGTCCTAGCTACACAAGAGGCTGAGGCTAGAGAATCGCTTGAGCCCAGGAGGTCAAGGCTGCAGTGAGTCAGGACTGAGTTACTGCACTCCAGCCTGAGTGACAGAATGAGACCTTGTCTCAAAAAATAAAATAAAATATAAGGGGGGGTCATAATCCTGACCTTACAGAGTTGTTGTGAGGGTTAAAAGGAATATGAATTCCAGGGTTGATGGCACTCAGAAATCTACACAACACTCCTGTTTTACAGACATTCAGCGCATTAATTAACAAATATTTATTGAACCCTTACTATGTGCTGGTCTGGGCTCTGGAGAAGAGCAGGAGGGAGGTCCTTAGGTGAAGAGATATATTAATGCAGAGGGGACTGGGCTCAGGACATCCATCCCCCAGGCTCTCTCAGAACAATAAGGTACTCCTTGTCCACGGTGCTGCAAATGTGAGAAACACCATCACCATGATGCTCTGGCCTGGGCAGCTGTGCCCAGGGCCCAGCCAGCTTGGCTATCAGCCCACCCCTCTCCTCCAGCTCTAGGATAAAACACACAAAGCCCTTAAGCCCCTAGCCAGAGAGCAGATTCTTTCCCCCCTCCCCAAGCCCCGCTCTATTCCATGGAAAAGTAGGGACTTAGAGAGCAAAAACCAGGGGAAAAGTAGGCCACAGCAGGAGGATGGTAATCTCCCTGACGGCCAGCCAGAACAGCCAGGCCCCTGCTCCTAGCCATCCAAGACCAGCTCTGGAAGACTTCTGGGGTATACAGCCCCAGCACCATCCTTCCCAGCAGTATGCCCAGAGTAAAGGTGCCACCCCAAGATGACACACCTCCACAGTGGGGTCATTCTCAGTCCAAGCTCTTGCTTACTGTAGCACTACCCATGCTGGACTTAGGAGTTCTATCTTTCATTCCACACCCTCCCACAAGTGCACCCTTTATATCCAGCCCTAGGTTGGATGCTAGAGACACAACGAGGATTCTGACAAAAAGGACTTCCTGCCCTTGGGGAATCCACAGTGGGGAATTCTGACCTGTACCTAGACAATAACAAGCTAGTGCTATCAGTACTGAGGCAGAAGGGAATCCAGGAGCTGTGTGGACCTAGAGGAGCCTTCTGATTCAGCTTGTAGTCAGGGTTAGGGAATAGTTCCTAGAGGAGGTGATACTGCAAGATTGAGCCACTATGCCTGGCTGAGTTTTTCAATTTAGAAAGTAAAGAATAGGCCGGGCGCGGTGGCTCACGCCTGTAATCCCAACACTGGGAGGCCGAGGCGGGTGGATCATGAGGTCAGGAGATCGAGACCATCCTTGCTAACACAGTGAAACCCCGTCTACTAAAAATACAAAAAAAATTAGCCAGGCGTGGTGGCGGGCGCCTGTAGTCCAAGCTACTCGGAAGGCTGAGGCAGGAGAATGGTGTGAACCCGGGAGGCGGAACTTGCAGTGAGCAGAGATCGCGCCATTGCACTCTAGCCTGGGCGACTGAGGGAGACTCTGTCTCAAAAAAAAAAAAAAAAGAAAGTAAAGAATAAGGCCAAACATGGTGGCTCACACCTGCAATCCCAGCACTTTGGAAGGCCGCGGGGGTCAGATCACCTGAGGTTAGGAGTTCGAGACCAGCCTGGCCAACATGGCAAACCCATCTCTACTAAAAATATAAAATTAGTCGGGCATGGTGGCGGGCACCTGTAATCCCAGCTACTAGGGAGGCTGAGGCAGGAGAATTGCTTGAACCCGGGAGGCAGAGGTTGCAGTGAGCCGAGATTGTGCCACTGCATTCCAGCCTGGGTGACAAGAAAAAAAAAAAAAGTAAAGAATAAAGTGGAGGGAGTGATAATAGAAGTCAATGAGGAGACTATGGCAGTGCCTCTGTAAACCGTGGGGTAATGGCTTGGAATAGGATCCTGGCGGTGGTGGGAGAAGGCTGATCAGAAGAGGGTCCTACCCCCAGAAGGCTTTCTCCTTCCTCAGATTCCTCTGCCTAGCTGATTTTGCTCTTCCTTTCCACCGGTATGAAGAGGGGCTCCTCGCACACCACATGCTCTTGTTCCACGGCTTCCAGAAAGCCTTCTGCAATTGTTTTGACTACACACTGCCTACCTCTTCTCAAAGAACAAGCTTGTGGAGAGCAGAGGCCAGAGGAACCCTTATGGTGACTCCAGTTTTTGCCACTTCAGGTCACATCAGGGGCTTGAATGTGGACTTCAACAAAGGCTCCCCACCTTCTAGAACAGGCCTCCCTCAGATAGACCAGAAAACCAGAGGAAGGGACTGAGCACATAGTCTGTGCTATGCCTTGAAGGCTGAGGTGACAGGCAGAGAGAGGAGGAGGTGAAATGGTCAGGAGCCCAGAGGCTGGGGAGGGGGTGGAGCTGAGATCAAGGGCACTTCACCAGCTCACCTGGCCCCCAGGGGCCAGGATAGAAGGGGTAGGCAGTGCTAGGAGTGCAGGGCTGAGACCCCACCCTCCCGATCTCAACCCGCACAGGAAGGTAGAGGAAGACTGTGCATTCTGGCAGATCTCCAGTCTCCACTGGAGGAGCTCTTGGGGCCTGCATGAAATGGAAAGCTTTGCGCTGCCACTGGGAAATGAGTGTTTGTAAGGAGGAAGATTGAGGGCCCCTGTGGTGGCCCTCAGCCCCGCCCATTCCATCCAAGCAAAGGATCAGTTTCTAGGAGTCCCTGGCCCCAGCCGCAAGCAAGGCCACAGCCAGGAGAAAGGAAGGAGCTTACTACAAATATAAATACCTTTAATGAAAAGCCCTGCTGCGCTCTGCAGAGCCTGGACAACCACCGCCAGAGCAGGGCTGGAGGTACGGGCGCTGCTACCCAACCCAACAAGCTAGGCCAGAGGCCTCAGGAGGTAGGCCAGAGCCAGAGCAGCCGCCAGCAGTGGGGGCGCAGGGGCCATGGGGAGTGCAGGCGCTGTAGCCCGCAGCGTCTCCTGGTTGGTTTCGGAGCCTGTGCCGCGCTCCCGAACATGCACCGGGGCACCGCACAGAGTGTGCAAGTTATTCGGACGGGGGGCCTGGCGAGCTTCTTGCTGTAGTGATTCCCACACTGCAGCTGCCTCCTCCGGACAGCCTGACAGGACCTGAGAGGCACAGGCATGGAAGTCATTCCAAGACCTGTTAAGGGAGTGGGATTAGGGGGATTAGGTGAGGCAAGGAGACTTTAGCTTGGGAAATAAAAGGTTCAGTCCCCAATGGTGGCACAGGTTGGGCCACTGCCTCACACCCGCCGGTACCTGCAGATGGTCTCCAGCTCGCCTCCGCGGCCCATGCTGTCCCCCAAGCGGATGAGACACTCGGCGAAGCCCTGGTATATGGTGTCACATCGGTTTGGGCCCGCTGCAGCTGCTGCCAGGGGAGGTAAAAGGACTAGAAGTGGGGCGGGGGTGGGGTGGGGAAGGAATGGTAGATAGGATGAGCCAGGCTCATCCCCCAGCCCCCAGGGGCTTGTTTACCTGGGAGCACTCTGGGGATGTGACTCAGCGGAAAAAGGGTGCCCCAGGGAACTAAAGGGCAAGTCTGGGGATTACCTACCCAGGCCCCCTTCAAGGTAGGACCCAGACTGGGATTTGTACAGGGGAAGGGGGTGTTGTGTACCCCAGGTCAGCTCTTCCTTTGAGCTTCTGGGGCCGCAGGTGGGGTGACAAGGGTCCATGTAAAGGAGTCAGGACAGGGTGGAGGGGAGGGAGGTCCAGAGGCCCCGGACCAGGAGCAGGTGCATCTCTCTGCGGTTTAGACAAGCTTTGCTTGGCCCTCCGAACTCTCTCTAAAGATAAATATTTTTGGAGAGACAAGGCAGGATGCAGAGGTATTGGGATCCAGGCCAGACCCTCAGAGAGGACTTAGGGATCCTACGACTGGTCTATAAGTCCTGCCATTGGCATGTCTCCCTTTATCATAAGAGGGGATGCAAATTTTGGAGTCCTTCTCCCATAACTGGGGCTGTTTGTGCCTCTCACTTTCTGTCCTGAAGTCACCAGCACACCTTCCTGGAGCCCTTACAACTCTTCTCCACCCTGGCACCCAGCGTTCCCACACACCCTATGCCCAGCCTGGCTTGGCTGGGCGAGAAGGGGGTGTGGCCCGGGCCCCGGATGCCCGCACTCACCGAGGGGCAGCAACAGCAACGGCCTCAGGGCATGGGGTGGTTGCCGGCAGCAGCAGCGGCGGCGGCAGCAGCGCATCATCCCTGGCTGAGAGCCTAGTGCAGGAGCTAGCTGCTTGGAGTGCAGCCCGTCCGCCCAGCCCCCGGAGGGAGGGACGGTGATTGGATGGGAGCTGGGGGTGGGGCTCCGAACCCAGCCGGCGGCTCCGCCTCCAACACCCAGATGGGAAAAGGAGCGAGGAGACCTCAGAGAGCAGAAATTCGCAGGAGCACAGGCTGGTGCTGGGCAGGCCCCTGGACCCTCACTCCATAGAAGGAGGGAGAAGGGAGATCTGGGAAGGCAGTTGGAGCAGATGAGTGGGTAACCCGGCCCCTTGGCTGGGTTGGCCTCGACAGAGCTCCACGGGCAAGAGATGGGCAGAGAACGAACAGACGGCAGTTATGAGAGTCACACCAAAGACAAACCAAAAGCACACACATACTCCATTTTATTCCAAAAGCATTTAATTGAATTTCTCAATGTTTTTCAAAAACAAAAAGATCCAAATTAGAGGTAAAAAGGAACATGGAAAATTCCACTCAAGTGGTGTCACGATCTCAGGGTCATGCTCCAGGCATGGCAGAACCCAAGCAGGCGCAATACCTGCCCTGGGCCCAGCTAAACCTTCTGACTACCACACGCTGTAGACCACGGCCAGTGCTCCCTGCTCCCTGACCCCCAAACACCCCAGAGATGGGGGCCTGAGCAGGTAAAGGCCAGCCGTGACCCTGCCCCAGCCTAGGCCTGTCTGCTGGCCTTCAGTGCCATCCCACCCCTGGGCAAGGCAGGCTTAGCAGCTAAGGGAGGCTGGGGGTCACGAGGCCATGCAGCATGAGGCTGAGACGCCGAGCTGCTTTGCCAAGTGAGTTGTGTGGCTCAGCCTGCAGGAACTGAAAAAGCTTTTGGCGCACCTGGGCCATAACGGAGCCCATGTGGTCCCGAGTGATGGGGTCACTGTGGTCCAGGTGCATCACGGCCTCTTCCAGGTAGCTGGGGATGGGGGGGAAAGGACAGGCTACAGGTGGGTGCCAGCAGACGGGAGCGCCCCCTGGTGGCACCGAGGCCCAGAGGGAACCCTCTGGGTGAAGGCAGAAAGGACTGGTGGAGAAAATTAGGGAGAGGATTCAGGCAGAAGTGGGCGTCAGCTTCAAACTGCTCCCTCCCACTGCCCCACTCCCCAGCTCATCTCCCCATCCCTGGCTGTCCCCACTTACCTGAGCTTGAGGTCAGTTCGAGTGCCAAGGTCAGATGCCAGCTGCTGGATGAGGGAAAGGAGCACAGGCTGGGAGAGCGGGCAGGGTGGCTGCCCAAAAACCTGGGCTGGGTCCACAGTTTCACACACATACAGCACCAGGTTCAGGTCAGCAGCTGTCAGCGCCTGGAGGAGAAAAAAGCAGCAGTGTTTATAGCAAATATCAGGATGGAATGTCTGCTTGTCTGAACTGTGTGGCCTGGGGGAGGATGACCACAGGGTGGGCTAGTGAGAGCTCCAGAGGGACTCAGAGAGAGCCTGTAGGGCTGTGTAGTTACCCTAGGGGATTGGGAAATGGGTTCCTGAGAAGGGTAGTTGTAAAGCAAGGTGGGCTAGGTGGGAAGAAAGGGGTCCAGGAAGAGGAAGCAGCAGGGACAATGGCCTGGAGGCCAAAGGGAACCAAGAACAGTCTGCTGGGGCCAGAAGGTGCAAAGGTGGTGGGTGGAGTAGAATGTATGGTATGTGGGCCTTGTCAAGAGACACGTGACCCTTAGCAGGGCCTAATGCCTATCGTACCTGCTGGAAGGCCTGATTGAGGTGGCCCTGCTGCAGCAGCTGCAGGATATGGGCTTGCTGGGCCTGGCAGTCAAGGTGGGCAGAGGGGACAGGTGTGCCAGCAGCTGAGCGCATGGCCTGCATGATGCTGGAGGTGACGGCGGCCTGCTGCTCCTTGAGCGCCACACTCACCTCACCCTTAACGATGCGCTGTACCTGTGCTAAAATGGACTCCTGCAGGCTGCAAAGGGAAGTGAGTGAGGTGAAGTGGACAGGGAGCCTAGTCTGGCCTTTCTCAAGCCCACCACCTTGCCCAGTACTCTGCCCACACACCTGCCCACAGCCACATGCAGCTGGTGCTGCACCTCAGCACGAACACTGCCGGCCACGGTGGCTGCCATCTGCTCAGTGGCACTCTGCAGTGTGCTGACCAGGCCCCGCAGCTGGGCTAGCACAGGCTCCCTGGCCTCCTGTTCCCGTGCCTTCCGGCTCTTCATGTGGCTTTCTAGCTGCTGCAAGTCTGAGGGGTGACCACAGGGACTATAAGAGGAACAGTAGGAAAGAGGATAACCCCTCCCACCTTGGGCCATATGACCCCACTCACATTCCTGTGTCCCCAGCCGGAAGCTATCATTGATTTGCTGGAACATGGCCTGGCAGCTCTTCTCAAAGGCCGGCAGCACCACACTCTGGAAGGCTTCCCGGTAGGCAGCCTGCATCGGCCCTTGTAATGTGTCTGCAGCTGCTCGGGCGATGGCATCAGTCAAGTTCTGGGGTTAGAGGGAGGGGCCAAGTTGAAAGCCTGAGCCCAGCCTGGCCTGACTAGGCCCAGGAACCACCACCTCCACCCACATCTTGGGCCCTATAGCACCTTGGACTTGAGCAGCTTGGAGATGTTCTCTTTCATGCTGCCCTCCACAGCTGTGAGCTTGGTAGCCACTGAGTTGCTCAGTTGGCCTGCCATAGGCTCCAGACTCCTTGAGACACCTGGGAGAGGGGAAGAGGGTGAGGTGGAGCCATGAGAAGAAGCTTGACAGGTACCCCACTCCCACCTGAACCACCCAAAGGGAGTCTGCATGCAAAACTCACATGGAGGGACTGTCTTCTTGATCTCATCCCGTATGCTGCGCTCTAGCCGCCCAGCTACAGCTGACGACAGTGCTTGGGACAACTGTTGTGTCAGCTGCTCCTGCAGCTGCCCTCCCCGCTGCTGCCCCTCAGCCAGTGCTCGCTCCAGCCGCCGCTCTGCGCCATAGCTAAGGAACGGGCCTGGAGCAGGTCGTGTACTCCTTCCCAGGCCAAGAATGCTGCCCCCGTCCCTATGCCATGTTGTGCTACCAGTCTCAAGGATACGTTCCTGCTCGTGCCGAGTCTCAAGGGCACGTTCTACGTGGCCTGTGACTGTGCTCTGCAGGCCTTCGAGTTGGGTACACAGACGCTGCAGCAGCTCTTCCTGGCTGTGCCGCAGCTCTGCCAGCTCTCTCTGCTGTTGCCAAATTAGTGCTGGCCAGTCCTCAGGGGGCTCTGCCACCTGTCAGTAGCACTGACAGTCACACGATGCCTGCCCCACCTATTCCCACACACCAGACCAGGGAATGGCCCAGAGCCCTTCTCCACCCGCCCAGGGTGAAGTTCCACAAGTACAAAGTGGGCTCATTCACTTACCTGGTGCTCTGTGAGCCGGGATCCCATGGCTGCATCCCTGCCATAGGCGAGAAGCACCTCAGGCTATGTGAGGCAGCCTAGAGACCACCCTCTCCCTCCCTAGGATTTCTCCCTACCCATCATCCTTCTTGCTTTTCCTCTTGAGCTTGGGTGAGGTTCGAGGGGATCCCTTGGTCTTCCAGTCCTTGGCAGGCAGCCGTGGAGCAGGAACTTTGGTGCCAAAGCCTCCTGAAGCAGAGGCAAGGCTGGCCACCTCATCATCATGGTCACTGTGGGAAGGGGAAGGAGGAGTAAGCCCCTGCCCACTTGCTGCCCATCCCCCCATGAGGGCAATGGTGTAGAGTGGCTCCCACCTTTGCTCAGCACTGGCATCCTGGCTGTCACGTTGCTGCAGCAGGTGATATGGTGGTCGGTGGAAGGCCAGGCTCTTGTGCTTTTCCTGAAGGCCATTCCTGGGGCTGGGAGGACAGGCCAACTTAGCCATGGATGAATCTATCTGAAGCCCCTCCTGCTAGCACACTTTTCCCCTCCCAAGCTCCTCACCTTTCTGCCAGGGTGCTGCAGGTCTCACGAGTAATGTCAGGTGCTGTGGGCCAAACCTGACTGTCAGGAGTCGAGGCCTCCTGGGTCAAGGCTGCCTCCAGGAGGGAGGGGGTATTATGCCGATCTCCATCCCCAGGGCCTCCATCAAGCCCGAGCTGGGGGCCGAGCTCGGGCCCTGGCCGGGGCCGTGGGGACAGCAGGTGCAGTGCCGAGGCGGCTGAAGCCATACTGTCTGGCTCAAGGCCCTCTGGTGCAGAGGAGCCAAAACCACGGGACAGGGCCTCAGATGCAATCTCAGGGATGTCCTGGGACAGGGCAGTGGAAGCTGAGGAGATGACATCAGGGGAACGAGTGCGGCTAGGGGAGGCTTGGGGTAGCCCCAGGGGCTCCACTTCCTGCAGCTCCAGGGACAGTGCAGAGGTGGCAGTAGGCACCTGAGGTGGGCCAAAGATGGGGGCTTAAGTGACAGGAAGTGAGGCAGAGATGGGGGGCACAGAGACGAGGCATTAGTATTAGCAGTAATGAGAGACAGGGCAGCAGGGAAGTGGGGATACAGGTCAAAAACGAGGCCACAGCCAAGAAGAGGAGGTGGGGACAGGGAGGCTGAGGAGACACCCACCAGGAAACACAGGAGGGTGAAATGACCTCAGGGAAACACGGACCATGTCGGGTAGAGCAGGATCAGCAGCAGGGGGCTGGGAGGAGCCCACCACCCACCTTCCCTGCTGCTGCCCACCTGCTCCCCACACTTCACACACACACCCAGTCACACACCTGGCCCGGCCCCTTGGGAGTCAGTTTGTCAGCTGGGGCTGGGAGCAGGCCAGGCAGGAGGCCACGCGGGCTTGCCTGAAGGCTGCCACTGCTGCTCATTGTCAGGCTGCCATCCAGCTGCAGCTTGGGGCTCAAGGTCAGCTCCTCAGGTGGCCTGGTGGGGGAAGGCTGAGGTGTCAGCAGCCAGAGCTTGGCATCATCTGGTACCAGCCCCTGCCATCCTCCATCTCTGACCCTTGCCTCACCTGGTCAAGGAGGGGTCCACAGCTGAGGTGCTGCTCATGGCAGACACAGCTGTAAGGGAGCTGCTGCTACTGCTGCTGCTGCTGCTGCTACCGCTGCTGCTGCTGCTGGGAGAGGCAGTGATCTGGGGAGATGCAGGAAATAAGACCTGTGGCCTGTGGCTGAGGCATTCCCAGGTCCCCCTACCCTGGGAGAGTACCTGCTGCAAGGAGGCGCTAGGTGTCATGAAGGCGTCAGGTGTCATCAACTTGGGCTTGGTCTCACTGCTCAGACTGAGGAAGTCGGCAGGTGCAGGCAGCTCCACGATTCGTCGGAGGTCAGGCTGGGAGCCGTGAGCGGCTGACCCCAGGCCCTCAGAGCCCAGTTCGGGCCGAGACTCTCCAAATGCTGCAGGGCAAGTTGCCACTTGAGTTAGATCTCAGACCCTGGTCAGTCCAACTTACCCTACCTCCCTCTCACGCCCTACTCACTGAAGTCCTCGTGGGCAGTGTGGGTGGGCAGTGGGGCCACCACATCAGGGTTCAGCTGTGGCTGGAAGCGGATCTGCACATCTTGCAGTGCCCTGCAGGAAAAGAAGGGGGAGAATAAAGTGCTCCAAGGGCAAGGGTCAGTAGAGTGGAGACAGACACAGACAGGACACTGGCGGGCCTCCCCACTCACTCACTTAGTATGCACACAAAAGAGCTTGATGAGCACACCGGCCGCAGACTCCATGGCACCGGCTCCATGGGTACCATCTGAAAGGACAGTGTGGATGATGAAGCCCCTGGCCCTCTCTGTGCCTCCACAACCCCCTAGATATATGGACACATAGCTCTGACCCTGAGGCAGCTCACCAGCACCCAGGCTGTCATTTTCCTCTTCGGCAGGCAGCACCTCAGTGTGCCGTAGCCGGCAGCGACTCACAACCTGGATACCAAAGCTCAGCACAGGGTGGGTGAGCAGGAACTCCGAGATGGAGCTGAAGCAGGCGTGGCCCTCCTCCTGGTTTTGCAGCAGCTCCATCACATAGAGGACCTGCACAGGCAGAACGTTCCTAGCTGAGCTCAGAGGCTAAGGGCTGTGATGCGCCACCTGCCCCCCGGCCTTCCTCTATAATCCCAACTCTGCCCAGGGTACCCCATGGCAGCCTACCTTCCGTTGCACATCGCTGAGAATCAGGTATTCTGCTGAGAGGTCCAAGCAAACCTTGAGGCTAGGGGGCACACTCACTGAGCTGAAGATATCTGGGGAGAAGCTAGAGAGCCACAAAGCAGAGTGAATGAGCCTGAGAACTGAAGGAAGCTACATTCCCAACCCTGCCGCCCCTGCCCAGTCCCCCAGCCTTCCAGCCACTGCTTACCGAATAGTCTGCAGGCAGGTCCAGGATACTGTACACCACATCTTTAACTCTCGGTTCTGGTCAGCACCAGTAATAAGGAACCTCCAGAAAGGGACACTGCAAGGCAACAAGGCAGTGAGTGACTGGCTGGGGCCCCTGCTGGGAGCCATGGTCCAGCCCACCACCCACTAGGCTGCCCACTCACTCACTCAGGGTCTTGTTTCTTATGGTTGTCACAGAACAGGAGGCAGGAGAGGGGCCGCCCATCATGAGGTTTCCACTCGTGCAGACACCTGCAGGTAGGCAGATGAGGGGCCTGAGTGAGTGGTCGGGTGGGCTACCTCGGGAGGATCCTGGTCCCTGAGGCCCTGCCTTACCTTGGCTCATCTTGCCCCTCAATGTAGATCTGCCAGAACTTGACATAGCCATCGTGGCTCGCAGTAGCCAGCACAGTCCCATCAGGAGAGAGGGCTCCTTCACTGAGGCACTAGAAAGAACCCAAAAAGCTTTGCTGACTAGAGGTGAGAACAAGCCCCTCCCAAGTGAGGATGGCAATGAGCTGGGCTGACTCACGGTGGGACTGGCATGCTTGTGTGACTGACTAAATGAACAGGGTTCCTAGAGAAGGCCAGACCTGCAGGGTGCTGCTAGATAAGGAGAAAGCTGCACAGGTGAGGGCCAATTTGAGCTCAGAGTCCCCACGGGCAGAATGCTAGTAAAGCTGCCCGGGCAGCTGTGGATATAGGGAACAGAAGATGGATATGAGGAAGTGGGGAGGGCAGGGGAGGCAGGCAGTCACAGGCTTACCGTGCTATGACCTTTTACCACAATGAAGCCCTGCTTGATCTGGCTAACATCCACAGGCCAGGTACTGTGGCTGGAGCGGAGCATGTCCAGGTCCCACACCTCAGCCTGGAAGGCACAGGGAGGTGAGTGTGCAGCCCAACCCCACACTATGGCTTCTCTGGCGCCTCTTCGCCATGTCAGCCCCCTCACCCGGTCTTCATGCAGCAGGGCCACTGTTGGGCTGCTCTCCTCACAGCAGTCTTCGCTCTCCTCAGGGATGAAGGGGCACCAGATGATCCTGCGAAAGTGGTTCAGTGGCGTGCCCTCTGGCTGCCGAATATGGACCAAGATCTCTTCTCTGAGCAGGGTGTTAAGGGCTAGATAGATGAATGAAGAGGCGTGACACCCCAGCTCCGCCCACCCTTCTTCAGTCCCACCACCCACAGGAAGGAATGGATACTGAATTTTGCCATTAACCAGAGCCAAGCGCCACACGAACAGGTTGCCTGCCTCATCCAGGCAGGCCAGCTGTGGAGAGTTGAGGTGCGCGAAAGCCAGATCAGCCACACTGCCTGTGAAGCCCTTGAGCAAGGTCCGCTCCGAAGTGCTGACGCTGATCACCCGCACCATGGCAGAGCCATTGTTGGCAGCTGGAATCAGGAGAGCAGTGGACCATGAATACGTATCCAGGCTCAGGCAGTAGCAGAGAAGCGCTGCCCCACCTGTCTCCCTGCCACCACCAGAGTCTCAAGCTTGGTTTTCCCACCCAGCTCCCCAAGAGGCAGCATGGACAAACCTTCCATTGTACCCCTAAGGCCTGAGTGGCCTGATGTTGGAACTGGCTCTGTGGGACATCCAGCAGAACATTCCTTCCTCCTCACTGTCTTTACTCACCCCGAATGGCATAGGCCAAGAAGGAGTTAGACACAGCAATCAGGTTGCCATAGTAGTACTTCTGTTCCCAGTCATACTTGGCGACAGGCTGAATTTTCACCTGAGAACCCAGGGTGAGAAAAGTCATGGAACTTCCCCAGAGCCTAGGTGGCCCCCAACATCCCTGGGGATGGGAGAGGACACAGATGCAAGTCCAGCTACCCACTGTTACCTCCTGGAGCCAGACTCCCACAGAGGCTTGGCACCCAGCCCTGGCTTCCTGAAACTGGGAAAGTGTCAAGGTGGTCCCCATAGGAACTGGCAGCATGAGGGAGACTGGAAAGGCTGGGTGTGCCCCCGTACATTATATATGCCACAGCATCCCAGTACCTACCTTGTTGCTTCCCCGGGCCTTGCTTGAAATGCTAGAGTCACTGCTAGCCACAATCTCCACCTCCTTGGCCAAAATCCCAATGCAGGTGGAGCTATCATCTCCTGAGAGACAGCTGTGGGGAAGAGTGCAAAAACTTTGCCTCTTGTTCACCCAAAGGCTCAGCGGGCAGGGTTGGGAGGAAGCGAGGACATAGCCAGACTGGGGAAGGTATCTAGTCCAATGTCAGCTTCGCCTGGTCCACTGGCCCCAGACCCACAGCTCTGCTTGCTCATCTCCTTCCTTGGGAATGAGCCTACTTTCATTCTAAACCAGGTATCCAGGCCAAACCCCTGAGCTTGTCCTTGCCTCTCATCCTAGTGCAAGCTCAAGCTCCACCCCAGGTCATCTAGAGAGGAAGCAGCAGAGGCTGCTGGCCCCGCTCACTCCCCATCTCATGCCTTCAGCTAGCAGACACCCCAAATACACCATCACCACTATTGTCGTCTCCTAGGTACTCACATGACCTGCTTCTCTTGCAGGTTAATGGGTGGCATGGTCCGAAGACCAGTCTTGTTTGCTGAGGTACTATCACCTGAGCAGAGCGGGTCTGGGACCAGAAGTCCATTGAGGTCCCCATTGTAGGCACTGGATGGCCGTGGGCTCTCTGCACTGGGGCCTGGGGACAAAGAGGGTCATTCTGATAAGGTTGCTCGACCTGCCCACAAGCCTCTCCCCTTTCAGAGTTTCCTTCAAGAACTATGAGGTGCTCTAGGAACACTCAACTGAGCAAAGCATGTCCATGAGGAGGAGGGCCCTGTGTTCATCTCTCGTTCCATAAACACTGATGTAGGCAGGACCAAGGATGAGCATGAGGCTCTTCTACCTGGGGGAGGGGTACAAGCCATCAAGGACCCTTTGAGGGCAGTGAATACTCAGGTCTGGGTCACTACAGAAGAACTCTGTGGACTGAGTGAGGGCATAGGAGGGGTCAGGAAAGACTTTATACAGCAGTTAGTGTGACCAGAACACACAAACACAGGAAGGATGGAGTGAAAACAAAGCTACAGAGGCATCAGGTATGATGCCGTGGCACTTAGACTCTCCCTGTGGGCCATGAGAACCATAAAGAGTTTCAAAAGGGAAGGTGATGTGGTCAGTTCTGGCCAGTGGGAAGATTACTCTAAGATAGCATGCAGAATGGTTGAGAATCTGGGTGAGAGAGATCAAGGCCTAGACCAATGTAGTGTCAGAGTTTGGAGAGAAGATGGGCTCCTAAGGCATGGAAGGGCACTGGTAAGATGTGGAAGGGGCTGCCCCACACAGAAATGGCTCAGAAGAAGCTATCTTGGGCAAGTAAACACAGAAGGCAGGGACATAAAGGAGCTGGACCAAAAGGAGAGAAACTATGGGGCAGCGTGTGGAGTAAGGAAAGACAGCATTTCAGTTCTTTGCAACTGGCTGGGTTTCAAACACTCTCATAGGCTCAGACACCATTTCCAAAATCCCCAGGTGGCAAGGAGCCTAGGGCTCCACATTCAGAACATAGCAAGTTTCCAGTCACAACAGTCTTTGAATTATTTTGGCGCGATCTCGGCTCATGGCAACCTCTACCCCCTGGGTTCAAGGGATTCTCCTGCATCAGCCTCCCAAGTAGCTGGGATTACAGCTCACCTAATTTTTATATTTTTAGTAGAGATAAGGTTTCACCATGTTAAGAAACCATGTTGGCCAGGCTGGTCTCGAACTCCTGGCCTCAAGCAATCCACCCACCTCGGCCTCCCAAAGTGCTGGGATTACAGGTGTGAGCCACCGCGCCCAGTCCTCAATAGTCTGAGTTCTGACCTGGTCGTCCAGTGAGAGGAGACAAGAAAGAGCTGCTTGGCAAACAAGGGAATCAAGTGCCAATCAATAAACAAAGTAGTTATAAGGAAAGCCTCCAGGCCACTTCATTCAGATCAGAGCCACTTTAGCTGCTCAGGGACAAGCTGACAACTCTCCCTTCCATGAAGGGTACCATGAGGACAACCAAAAAGCAGGCTCAGGCTGTACATGGTTGGCCATGCCAGGCTCTACCAAATCTCTGCGGAGTCTAGTCTACAAAGCAGCTGAGCAGCAGGAGAGGTCCACGCCCAACTCATGAGTAAAGAGGGCACACACTCCAGGCCTGGGACAAAGGGCCGAGTGGTCTCAGGCAGCAGATGGATTTTCTGAAAGTAGGGGTTAGTTGAATCCACCCCTAGTGAGCACCAGTGCCTGCTTCCAGAAGCAGCCAGTCTGGGCCTCCCAGCAGGTGTAAGAACAAGATCTGAGGAAACACAATTCTCCACTGTACGCCCACACCATCATCACCGGCCACTTCAGAGATCCCTAAACCTGTCAGTAAACTAGTGCCTGCACACGTGCTATTTCCTCTTCCTAATAGGTGGCTTCTCCATAGGTGCCTTGGGTGCCTTTCCTGACACCCAAGCCCCTGTTCACATTACAAGACCTAGCCCAGTCTCCCCTCTCAGACCTGCACTCTGCACTCACCAGCCTCCACCCTTCCCACGCCCATCACAGTATCGAGACACTCCTTTCTTTCAATGACAACAGTATATTACAACCCTGTTAGCTGTGTCTTGGGGAATCTTTGGGGGCAAGACTAGTTCTGAGGTATCATTAAGAGCCAAAGCGAAATATGAATGAATGGGAACCAATTAGGGCTTGCAGATATTTGTAGCATAATTCAGTCAGGGTGGTGCGGTCTGTGATTTGCCTTCATCCCAGAAAGAACACGGAATTGAGACTGGACACCTTCCTCCTGGAAATCAGTTTCAGAACGGGAGGCCTGGAGTCTTTATTCCAGAGAGAAGGGCAAGTTATGGAGGGGGACCGGCAGCTCTTCAGCATCGCGCTTAAGCCTGGGCCCAGAATTCCATATACGGAGCCCAGACCAGGCCTCTGAACCATGGAGAAAGGGAAGAGGAGCTAGGCCAGTCCCAGGAACACTAGAGACCTCGGGGCCAGGAAACCAGAGGGCCCCAGCGGATTCAGAGAAGGCGCCTCACCTTCAACCGAGACGCTGAAGGACAAGGCAGAACAGCCTGAGGACAAGATAGGGAGGGGTCACACCCAGGGGTCTGCGCCCTTCGAGGGGCACAGTCAATCCCCGTCCACCCTTACCCGCCGGGAGGATCCAGAGCTAGTCCTAAGGGAGCTGTGGGCCCCAATGGCGGTTCAGACGCGCGCCGCCCTTTTGTCAGCTCGCCTGGGGCCCACCCCCGCAACCCCCGCTCACCGCCCGCGGGCCGGTCCAGCTTGAGGATGTCCCGCAGGTGCTGCGTGGCGTCCTCGATGTCGATGCTCGCGCAGGAGGCCATGGGCCCTGCGGCGGGCGCCCCGCCCGCACCGCGTTCGTTCCGCCGCCGCCGCGCACCACGCACCCTCGCTCACCCGCCACGGGGCGAGACAGCGGGACGCCGGTCACTACACAGTCCACCCGCAGTTCGCAAACCGCCACCCGCGCAGCGTCGCTGAGCCCCGCCAACCCCACCAACCGCCTCCACTTCCGGCACCCACGAGCCGAGGCTCCCGGAACCTGCCAGGGCCGGAGAAGAAAGGTTCCGGGCTGGGGGCGGAAGCCTAAACCCCTCCCGCAGCCAGTCCCCCTCGGCGGCCCCGCCCCTGTGTCCGCGAGGTCAGGAAAGTCCCACGGGGCTGAAGTAAGCGTCCACGCACTGGGCCACCTAAAGCCCTACTCGACTCAGAAGGCGCCAGGTCCCTGCCCACTCCCAGAGCATGGACTCCGATGGTCCTGGGACGGGGTCAACTTAGCCGCCCATGCTAAGGTCCCTCAGACCCCCAGAATATGCTGAATTGGCAGGTGCCTCAGGTTCCCTTTGGGAATGGGTCGGAATAACTCAAGGCCTGAGGCTACCCTCGAGGTCATAAAACTCAGGAATTGCAAGAGCAGGGGAGATGATCCCACTACAATGACCAGTCATTGTTCCCTACTGTCCCCCAGCATCCCCTTGTCCCACCTGGCACCCTCAGGTTGGAAGAAAGAAACCACAGTTTACAAATTCTTCTTTATTGCAGACAGTTCAGGCACAGGTACATGGAAGAAGCCGTATTGCAGATTTTACACAAGGTGGTTTGAGGCAGCAGGCACCTACCTCTTCCCCACCCCCACTTCCCCAAATACACATCAGCCTAGAGATCATTCCCACTGAAATCTCCTGAGCATGCTGTCCTCTCAAACAGCACACCATCCAGCCCTGTGCCCAATGTCACCAGGCAATCTGTGGGATCTGAGGAGGTCCTTAGCCTCCACCCGTAGTGGGACAGGGGAAGGGTATCCTTTTACATGTCAGATTTAGCTGTGGTGTCCTTACCAATCCTAAAACCCTTAACAGGGCACTGACCCAAATCTTGGGTTTGGTTCTAGCCTATGGTTGCTACATTGCCACTAGGTTTATACCATCCAGAAGTCTGTGGGACAAGGGGCTAGATTTGTACTGGGCAAGGCCTTTGTCCCCAAAATGGAGAAGCAGAAACTGCCCTAATAGCTAAGACTCCCCGGAATTGGAAGATAGCATGAAGTCTGTATGCTGAGGAAGGAAGTGGAGAGAGGCCTGGCAATGTCCTGCAGCAGTCTGAGGGGTGAGGACTCCTAAAGCATGAGTCCCTCACAGACTGCCTCCTTCCACAGCTCCTGACCTATACTCCAACACAACTGGGCCTGGCTCTGTGGGCAGTGGAGGCTGGCTCTTCGGGTTACCTGCCTTTGGGTAAAGATATCCAAAGCAGATGGGACAGGAGCTGAGCTGCCCTCTGCCTGGCTTGGTGTATGTGGGGCATCCTGGATATGATCCTGATCCTTCTGGGGATAGAGCAGGCCCCTCCCTTGATACTGCTGACAACTCAGCCCGGAGGGCCTGAACGTGATGAGCCATTTTGCCAAGGCCTCTCCAGCTTCAACAGGATTCAGGATCATCTCTCCTGCTACTAGGGCCCTGAACCTACCCAGAGCAGAAGTCACAGGAGGTATCAGAACTGACTGCACAGGCTTCAGTGAGAGAAGCTTCAGGCCAGACCTGAGCTCTTCCTGCCTGCTTTCCAAAGACCAGTCGCCCTGTGGAGTGGGAGAGAACTGCCCTACACGGCTTCTGAGAGGCTAGCTGGGAGTGCTGCTTCAGCAGTTTCTCCCTGCAACAGGTATTCAGAGTTGGGGCAGAAGTGGGAGGGTGAAACATGAGAGAGACAACGGGTCTGGGTAGCTTCTGATGCCCAGCCAACTAGTAAACTAATTAAAACAATTTAAACTGTTAAGAAAATTTTTGTGGTTTTATTGTATCATGAGGCATTGAAACATCTGAACAAATCAATGTCTGGGCGGTGAGGCAGCTGCTTTCTCCTTCACTTCTTTGGGTTACTAGAGCAACTTGTCAGTAGATTAAAAAAAAAAAAAAAAAAAAAAGGACAACCTTTTGCATTACTTAAGTCTTTCCAAGGCATGCGCTGGTACAACACAAACTTCTCCCGTCAGATGCAACTAGTCTAGCATCCAAACATCATGCACAACACCTCAGTGGCAGCAGCGCACTGCGCCCACTCCCACCGCGGCCCTGCTCATTTGTGCATGATATTTGGAGCATCTGGAGGAGTGGGAATAGTATTGGGAAGAGGAGGGAGGAGGAAACAGCGTGAGTGCCTAGCTGAGAGGAGGTCAGCCAAAGTTGTGCAGGGCGAGCCTGAACATGTCATTGGTGCAAACCCAAGCATCGTTGATGTTCTTTAATAGGAACATCTGGTGGAACCCCATGATGGGGTCTTCATCCGCCTATGAGGAGAGAAAAGAGGATTCAGTAAGGGGATCAAGAAACAGGAAGGGAATTCAGTGGTAGGAGAAGAGGGCAAAAAAATGTTGACTTTAGGATCAGGCCCTACTGTCCTGAACTCAAATCCCAGTGTAGCCAAGGGGTACTTGTGAATGTGAATTGATGTAATGTATGAAACAATGCCCTGGGCACATGTAGGCCAACAATCAGCCACGCCTATGTGTGCTATGTGTGCTTAAACTGCACAATAATTCACCCTTAGCTACAGCAAAAGAGCAGAGGATGTACCTGCCTCCAAGCACATATCTCCAGACACAAGTGATCACAATTTTGAAACGAATCCCATAGTATTTACCAAGTAACTTATAGAGTATCAAAAAAACTGCAAACAATCTTGAAAACATAGGTTCACTATCCAATGATGTTTCCTGTCATGTAATAAACAGTATTTGAGATGAAAAAAAAGGGCAAGAAACCTGCAGCCAAACTGCAGAAAACTAGGATGAGACCTAGTTGAAATAGGAGCCTAGCTAACCAGCACTGTCTCTAACATCAC
Organism: Homo sapiens; assembly: GCF_000001405.40. Lineage (NCBI taxonomy): Eukaryota > Metazoa > Chordata > Mammalia > Primates > Hominidae > Homo > Homo sapiens. The sequence goes on along the minus strand of NC_000016.10, from coordinate 67,870,245 downwards.
CTGCTTTCTGGGAATTATCGTCATCAAGGAGGCAAATCAGTTGTTTGGGAGCTCCAAATTGGACAGAATCACCAGGAAGAACCTGAAGCCGGTGGGAAGCAGCAGTGTTTACTACCTTTGCCTGAGAAAGTGAACAATGAGCTCCCTACAGAGACCTCCTGAATTCTGTGCCTCTTCAGGCACAGGCACTGAGCAGGACATCCTGAACAGGCAGGAGAAACTGACAGGAAAGTCCAGGCCAGAAAGCAGGTGCCTCTGCGTCCACTGCAGAGGCCCACAGGACCACCTACACACCCACTCTGGACTCAGGAAGCCCTGTCCCGGCTAGCCTAGAGAAAGAGAGCATGTGACCATGTTATTGTAAGACACAAGCCCAGGCCGAGGGGCAGCCAATTTGTCCTGCTATTTTTGGGAAGAAGGGTGTTTTTGTAAACAGAATCTGGCTTTATTTATTTATTTAGAGACAGAGTTTCACTCTTGTTGCCCAGGCTAGAGTGCAATGGTGCAATCTCAGCTCACCGCAACCTCTGCCTCCCAGGTTCAAGCGATTCTCCTGCCGCAGCCTCCCGTGTAGATGGGATTACAGGCATGTGCCACCATGCCTGGCTAATTTTGTATTTTTAGTAGAGACAGGGTTTCTCCATGTTGGTCAGGCTGGTCTCAAACTCCTGACCTCAGGTAATCTGCCTGCCTCGGCCTCCCAAAGTGCTGGGATTACAGGCGTGAGCCACCGCGCCCAGCCCAGAATCTGACTTTAATATGCTGAAGCACAACAGGTCCTTGGAGAGTTCTTGGGGGGTCTGAGGGACCACAGGAAGTCTCTGAGAATAATAGGTCTTGAGAAGGAGGAAGGAAAATGCAAAGAGAAATAGGTGGCTCACGCCTATAATCCCAGCACTTTGGGAGGCCGAGGCAGGTGGATCACCTGAGGTCAGGAGTTCAAGACCAGCCTGGCCAACATAGTGAAACCCTGTCTCTACTAAAAATACAAAAAATTATCTGGGTGTGGTGGCGGGCAGCTGTAATCCCAGCTACTTGGGAAGCTGAGGCTGGAGAATTGCTTGAACTCGGAAGGCAGAAGTGTAGTGAGCTGAGATTGTGCCACTGCATTCCAGCCTAAGCAACAAGAGTGAGACTCCGTCTCAAAAAAAAAAAAAAAAAGAAATAGGAGTTCCAGGAATCTGCTTTGCTCAGCAGGCAAGGAGCCAGCAGCCAGCCTGAGGAGTGGTAGCAAGGGCTGCAGGAGTGGACTGCCTCTCCGCACCCAGCTAGCCTGTCCACCTTGACCTTAGGGCAGAGTGGGAGCCTAGTGGCTTGGCACCCCAGTCCCATCCTACTCCTATACTTCTCCCTTTTCCAGATAAAGGCTCTAGACCAGTGTCTGCCAATAGGACTTTCTACAGTCACAAAAATGTTCTATATGGCTAGTACAACCGAAGAAGTACATTTTATTTAATCTTAATTAATATAACTTAAAAATTGCCACCTACATGTGGCTAATGGCTAGCATACTGAACTACGCAGCTCTAGACAGTCACTTTGTCTGGGTGTCCCTAGATAAGCAGGTCACATCCACAGGGAAAGCAGGGGTACAAGACTCTCCTCTGCCTGCCCACCCCTCCCTACCACTGTGGCAGTACCATTACCTTAAGCTGGCCCACAACCATGCTGATGATGCAGCTATCTGGAGTGGGCTGATGGTCCTGCGCGGTGATGCTGTGCTGAATTTTCTGGAACGGAAGGCTCTACAAGAGAGAGAGTGGGAGGTGGGAGAACCAAGGCCAGAAGGGGTGGGAAAGGAGCCACCTGCACCCTGGCTTTCTTCCCTACTTACAGACAACTTCTCCACAATGGCAGCTTTCCCCTGGAACTGTTGTCCTTCCCACGTAAGGCATGACGCGTCAATCTGAAAAAGGCACAGGAAACCCCAGGGTTGGGGCCTCAGAGTACAAGTATCTCTAAGGCCCTGGAAAGACTCTGAAAAGGGCCTTGCTTGGAGAAGTGTGGCCACACTTCAGTTTCCCTGTCTAAAGAAGGAGACTGAGTATAGCCCCCAAACATTACACTATCAACATCTTCTACCCCATTGACCCTGGGCCCAGGCTTTGAAAGACTATTTAATAAAATATACTTCCCATTTGTATTTAAGAAGTCATATGGTCTCTGATATGCATAGGCCCAGGAGGGCTATATTGGCCTGAGCTCAGCCATCCTGCTGTGTGGTCAGTCAGTGTCAGTCCCAAAAGGTCATCAGAAATGTGGCCAGGCACGGTGGCTCACGCCTGTAATCCCAGAACTTTGGGAAGCCAAGGCGGGAAGATCACGAGGTCAGGACATCGAGACCAGCCTGACCAACATGGTGAAACCCCAACTCTACTAAAAATGCAAAAATTATCCAGGCATGGTGGCGCACGCCTGTAATCCCAGCTACTTAGGAGGCTGAGGCAGGAGAATTGCTTGAACCCAGGAGGCGGCGGTTTGTAGCGAGCCGAAATCGCACCACTGCACTCCAGCCTGGGTGACAGAGCAAGACTCCATCTCAAAAAAAAAGTCATCAGAAATAACTTGGAAAAATTCCACATTCATCACCCTCCAGGGCCGAGGCTAAGTTCCACTGTGGACTTTCTAGCTAGCCTTCTGGATACCCATGGGGTCAGGGAGAGATAGAGGCTGACAGGGCCTTCCAAGGCCTAGTCTGGGACCCTCCCTACCACCAAGAAGCAAAATCTCAAATGTAACCCACTTAGCTTAGTTCCACCTCAAATCTTCCCTTCCACAGCCTTCAAGGGCAGAACTCAAAAGGGCTTCTGCTGCTTACTAGCTGTGACATTAAGTAAGTTATTTCTCTGAGTCTTAGTTTCCTAACCTTCAAAGGGGTAATGTGCTGAGTATTATGAAATAATAAATATAAATTGTTCTTTTAGGACCTTGCTAACTCTCTTCTCTGGCTCAGGCCTGCTTTAAGAGATAATGAGGCCAGGTGCAGTGGCTCACACCTGTAATCCCAGCACTTTGGGAGGCCAAGGTGGGTAGATCACTTGAAGTCAGGTGTTCCAGACCAGCCTGGCCAACATGGTGAAACCCCGTCTCTCCTAAAAATACAAAAATTAGCTGGGCATGGTGGTGCGTGCCTGTAACCCCAGCTACTTGGGAGGCTGAGGCATGAGAATTGCTTGAACCTGGGAGGCAGAGGATGCAGTGAGCCAAAATCGCATGAATGCACTCCAGTCTAGGTGACAGAGTGAGACTCCATCTCAAAAAAAAAAAAAGGGAGAGTGATAATGAGGCACAAGTGCCAGGATCTCAGGTCAGATCACTTCAAGGTTTCAAAAACTCTATGCTGGGCATGGTAACTCACACCTGTAATCCCAGCACTTTGGGAAGCCAAGGCAGGCAGATCACCTGAGGTCAGGAGTTGGAGACTAGCCTAGCCAACATGGTGAAATGTCACCTCCACTAAAAATACAAAAATTAGGTGTAGCCGGGCGCGGTGGCTTATGCCTGTAATCCCAGCACTTTGGGAAGCTGAGGCAGGCAAATCACCTGAGGTCAGGAGTTCAAGAACAGCCTGGCCAACATGGTGAAATCCCATCTCTACTAAAAAATACAAAAATTAGCCGGGCATGGCAACACGTGCCTGTAGTCCCAGATACTTGGGAGGCTGAGATGGGAGAATAGCTTGAACCCAGGAGATGGACATTGCAGTGAGCCAAGATTGCACCACTGCACTCCAGCCTGGGCGACAGAGTGAGACTGCATCTCAAGAAAAAAAAAAAATTAGGCTTGGTGGTGCATGCCTGTAGCCTCAGCTACTCCTGAGGCTAGGCACAAGAATCGCTTGAACCCAGGAGGCAGAAGTTGCAGTGAGCTGAGATCACCCCACTGCACACCAGCTTTGTTGACAGAGTGAGACTCTGTCTCAAAAAAAAAAAAAAAAAACTCTACTATGATAATGACAATCAAATATCTGTGCTGGAATTGGTCTTCCACTAATAAAATTTCATTATTTTTTCCAAAATTTCTGAATGGACACTGACTTTCTGGAGACAGACACAGAAGACTGTGGAGAGTCAGCCCAATCAGGCTCTGAGACTGTGCCTGGATTACTCCTAACACCCCCATCCTGGGCTCACCTGCCTGATCAATCACATTTTTGTGACTGACTCTCAGGCAGAGTCAAGTACAATTAGTTCTTGGTGTATATGAACATCGTTAAAAGAGCAGCAAATGCCGGGCGCAGTGGCTCACGCCTGTAATCCCAGCACGTTGGAAGGCCAAGGTGGGAGGATCACGAGGTCAGGAGTTCGAGACCAGCCTGGCCAACATGGTGAAACCCCATCTCTACTAAAAATACAAAAAATTAACTGGCCATGGGGGCAGGCGCCTGTAATCCCAGCTACTCGGGAGGCTGAGGCAGGAGAATCACTTGAACCCAGGAGGCGGAGCTTGCAGTGAGCTGAGATCGAGCCATTGCACTCCAGCCTGGCGAAAGAGCAAGACTCCATCTCAAAAAAAAAAAAAAAAAAGAGCAGCCAGCAATGCCTGCATAGAAGGGTTTGTGAAATGACCTATCAGCCTCCCTGGGCTAACCTCATTTGTTTTCCATGAGCATTCAGGAGCCTTGGATCCAAAAGGAAGCTGGACCCCAGGCCTCCAAGAGAGCTCAGCTTTGCACTGAGGATGCTCATGGCTGCTGCCTCCAGAGGGCACCATGAGCCCTAACCTCTGCCTGTTGCTGCCCAATCCAAAACCATGTGCCATGACAAATGCTGGCCACATGGAATGGCAAGCCCAGAACAGCAGGATTCTCACTCTTGTGGAAGTTGACAAAAGGAAAAGTATAGACCAGGTAATTACTTGGGCCAAGCGTCAGACCCCTGTCCCGTGGACAAAAGTTCAGATACAGAGGTGTAGCCAGTCCAGATAGGGCTGCCAGAACTTGTGAACTGGACACACTGGCCCAACATCCAAATTGATCCCCTAGGGTCCATTCTGGCCCTAGAGCTGGAAACTTACGTAAATTGCGCCTAGTTGGGTTCTATCATTATCAAATAACTGGTAGTAATGTTGAATGAAGCTGGATCCAATCTGCTCCCAAATTGGCTTGTCTCCCATTCTGGAGCGTCACCCGGCCTCACGGAGACCTGCAAGACCAATGAGACCAGGAGGGAAGCATTGGTACCATGAGAGTAGGTGACCAGCCACTGACCCCCACCCCTCACTGGCCTTCCTGGAGTCCTTTGCTGAGATCTGTTCTCTCAGAGAACACGGACAGGCCCTGGGGAACTGGCAGGAGACCCCTCCCAAGCCAGACCAGTGCTAGGAGCCCAGAGGTAGATCAGACCCAGCCTCTCCTTTGAGTTCTTGGTTGATGAGACACATAGATGATAGGGTCGTGGAGCACACAGGAGGGGTGCTAAGGGTAGATCTACAACAAAGAAAGGTCAGAGCAGGCCCTTGAAAGCCCAGTAAGGGGAGGGGCCTTATGGGAGGAGTTAAGCACTCCTCCAGTATCTTTCCATGTAATCCTCTCAACAACCTGCAAGGACAGAGTTATTGCTATTCTTCCCACTTTACAGCCAAGAACAACTGATACCTGTGTGTGTGTACTATTTTGTACTACAGCCCTCAGGCCCCCAACACTGTCCCAGGGCTACGCTGACAGATGGAAGACCCAGTGAGGATGTGGGGAGATTCTCAAGGCCCCTCTTCTTTTTTTTTTTTTTTTTTTTTTTTGAGACAGAGTTTCACTCTTGTTGCCCAGGCTGGAGTGCAATGGCGTGATCTTGGCTCACTGCAACCTCCGCTCCCTGGGCTCAAGTGATTCTCTTGCCTCAGCCTCCAGAGTAGCTGGGATTACAGGCGCCTGCCAACACACCCAGCTAATTTGTATTTTTAGTAGAAATGGGATTTCACCATGTTGGCCAGGCTGGTCTCGAACTCCAGACTGCAAGTGATCCACCCGCCTTGGCCTCCCAAAGTTCTGGGGTTACAGGCGTGAGCCACTGTACCCAGCCAAGGGCCCTCCTCTGCCAAAAACAGCAAGTGATCCCTTAGTCTCATGGGGGCAGTTTACTTCCCCGAGGCCAGGTGATTACCTGACCTGGCCCTTTCTAGGATATTTCTTCATTGATGGGAGTGACTCCTACCCACTTCAGAGCTGGGGACATGAGTTCAAGGATCAGAGGGAAAGCTGAGGGTTGTGGGAAGAGGGGATGGAGGCTGTGAAGGGAAACGTGTCATCCCTTCATATCCCCTCATCCCAGCATTGCTTTTACCCTAAGGAGCTGTCTCTCTCGGGTCTCTGAGAGGAGGCCCCCTCCCAACTAGAGACCATGGCTGTAAGGATACTGGATGGAAAACCCAAGCCCCAGATGGGAGAGCCGCTTGGGCTTTGCTAGGCTGCTTCCAAGTAGGGAAGCCCACATCTTGCTGCAGATCCCCTGACTGCAGACCCACATGTTTTTCTGTGGATGGCCCCAACTGTAGAGGAGCCCACTCCCTCTGTCCTGATAATAGGACTCTGAACCAAAGCAGTGAGGAGGTGGGTTCCACCCCAGCAGACAAGCATTCGCAGTGGTGGGATCTGATGCAAGTCACTGCCCTTCTTAGGGCCTCAGCCTCCTCCACTATAAGATGGGGATGGCAACCTGACAGTGCCGGTGGTTGTGAAGCTTCTCTAAAGGAACATGATAAAGCCCTCAGCTCAACATGGTAAGTGCTAGCTCACTCCAGTCCGTGTGACCTCGCCCAAAGCCAGAGGAGCCAGCGGGGAGGAATCGTGTAGGGAAAGAGTGAGAACGCAGCCAATCCTCCGCTCTGTGACCAACACTCAAGCCAATGAGGGAGCAGGAAGCTAAGCCAGCTTTATTTTAGGTCCCCTAGGAGGTAGTGGCACTAAAAATAGAAGCTCAGTGCTGGGATGACTAAGAAATGTCCAGGAAAATCTAAAGCAAGCAGGGGAGAAAGCTTGGATCCAGTCACGCCTGCCACACAGGAACACAAGGTGTGTCCTAGTTCATACTCTGCCAAGAAAGAAATCAACAAGTGGGGAAAGCACAGGACCATCATCTAGTCTTCACTGTGGTCTTGGTCACATTTCCAAGAGGTCAGACACTGGCTGTACTCACACACAAACTTAGAGGACCTAAGGCAGAGCACAGCTCCCACCTCTGGCATTTCTGCCCCGTCCACCTGGTACTTGCTATGCTTAGTCACTCAATGTGCCCTGACCCTGCTGCAGCTTCCAAGGTGCCATACCCACTGCCTAAGAGCTCTGAGGGTAGGGGAAAAGCTGGAGGAATGGATAAGGGCCACATCTCCTTCTACCCTTGGCTCAGAGCAAAGTTGGGCAGTCCTCAGAAAGGGTATGCCAACCAGAAGAAACAGCACCAGCAAATGTCCCGGGGCATGAAAAGGGTCTCGCTCTGTCCCCCAGGTCAGGGTACAGTGATGCCATCTCATCTCCCTGTAGCCTTGACCTCCAGGACTCAAGCAATCCTCCCACTTCAACCTCCCAAGGAGCTGAGACTCCAGGCAAGCACCACCACGTCTGGCTGCTTTTTGTGTTTTCTGTAGAGACCAGGCTTCACCATATTGCTCAGGCTGGTCTCAAACTCCTGAGCTCAAGTGATCCACCCAGCTTGGCCTCCCAAAGTGCTGGGATTACAGGCGTGCACCACCATAACTGGCCTGTGATAACTTTCTGATACAAAAACTCCTTGACTGAAGTGGTGGTGGAAGGAAATGGGGTGGAGGGATAAAGGAAGAGAAAGACCCTTTGGCCTGGTAGGGCAGAGAAGAGTGGGGAAGAGTAAGCTCTCTGAGGAATAGGACACATCAGGGGCTCCCAGAAAATGACAAGGAACCTTCAAAACTATGTGGGATTGAGGCCTGCTTCACTGTCTTGTGTTTATTTCCAAGTAGTGATCACAACAGCCACATAGTCAGAATCCACTGTCATCCAGTGATGTCGCTGGGTCTTGCCCTAAGCTCACCTGGTACATCAGTGCTGACACTGGGTCCTCTGGTCAAGGCCCGTCTCTTTTTTCTGCTAACTCTGCATCCCTGAGCTCTAAACCACAAAGCTGACCATGCTCCTCCCCTACAAACACCCTTGCTTTTGGCTTAAAGGCCAAACTCCCTAAGCTCCACAGGTGGCCATCCACCCTCATCCCCATCTCCCTAAGCCATTCCCTCCTACCTCGATCCAGCTACATACAGACACAACAGAACCTACCGAGAGCCTGCTCACCATGTTTTGTACACAGGAAAGTCCCCTCCTGCGATCCCCACCCTTCCCACGGGAGGCAACACTCTTGAGTCCAAAAAAAGAAGCAAGAGTGCAGAGCCCCCATCCTATCCCCATGCAACATGAGGGAGGGGTCCAGGCCAGGCTGGAAGATGTTCCCCAGAATAGCCAGCAAGCTCTGATCTTGTTTCTAACACATTTACTGTGCAAGTAACAGGCTGGAAACAAAAAAGCCCGGGCTCAGAGGCAGCCTCACATTAGACTGGGGACTGACCATCATGACAGCTTCTCCTACAGCTCTTGTGAGAGGGCCGCTGACCACACCATCTCCTGCTTCACCCCAACAGTCCGCAGGCTGAGGCCAGGCTCCTTGAGGAGCAGAAAAGACTCTGATGACCTCTCACCCACTGAACACCAGCCTTCACTGACCCTTAGGTCTCTGTGAGTGCAAAGACCCTCCAAGAATGTCTCAGCAACTGTGGCCCTCTCCCAACACATTTGCACAGAGGTAGAGATGCCCCAGCCTTGTGAATAATTTTCAACTGTTCAGCCATAGATCCCAGGTTAAAACCTCTGACCCAGGAGATCCCGTTAGACAACAGAAAAACTCCATTTTTATCTTCCAATTTTAAGTGTTTCCAAGAACAAAACTCAAAATAACTGTCTGGCTGTGAACACTTCATTTTCACTAATGCATATGAGGCACAGAAATGTGCAAAGAGCTTATGTGCACTTGTTTGTAACCACACCCTGTGAGTCAACCCCCTTGTTAGAGATGACCAAAAGGAGATTCAGCGAGGTTAGCCAACTCCAACTCGCTCTAGGTCAGCAGCTGATAGGTGGTGGAATTGGACTGACCAGATTTGGAGGCCTCTCCAGAGTCAGGACTTCTAGTGACAACGTGGGCCTGGAGACAAGAACAGACTACATCAGTGAGAGCACTCCTCTGAGCCTGGCTCTCTCAGAAAGGGGCAAGGCAGTCCTGAACCAGGGCTTCCACCTCCAAACAAAGGCCTCAGGCAGAAGAGTTCCACATCAAACCTAGAGTCCAAACAACAGGAGTTTTCATGGAGGATGATGTCAGCTTTCTCAAACCTTCGAGGTCACAACCCTGTTCTACCATCTCAGCAAAGCAGACAGAGCAGACAGAGATCCTAGCCTGAGGCAGGAGAGTGATCGAGAAGACGCTATCACTCCTTCCAGACTGGCACACAGAAAGATTCTCATGTGTCTGCTGAAGCCCACAGGGAATGCCAGCAGATTTGCATGGCCTACAGTGAGGGCCCCAAAATTGGTACCAGTCGTGGCTATCCTCCACACATGCTATCACGGAGGCCAAAAACACAGCCTTGAGGCACAGCCTGGAAAGGACTCCTCCAACAGGGAAACTGATAGCCAACATGGCTTAAACCCCTCAGGCCCAAGGCTGGGCATAGTAGCTCACATCTGTAATCTCAGCACTTTGGGAGGCCCACGCAGGAGGATCACTTGAGTCCAGGAGTTCCAGACCAGCCTCAGCAACAAAGCCCCATATCTACAAAAAATTTTAAAAATTAGCCGGGCATGGTGGTTCACTCCTTTAGTCTCAGCTACTCAGGAGGCTGAGGTGGGAAGATCACCTGAGCCTGGGAGGTCCAGGCTACAGTGAGCTGTGAACTTACCACTGCAATCCACCCTGAGTGACAGGGCAAGACTCTGCCTCAGAACAAACAAAAAGGCTGGGCATGATGGCTCACACCTGTAATTCCAGCACTTTGGGAGGCCAAGGTGGGCGGATCACAGGGTCAGGAGATCAAGACCATCCTGGCTAACATGGTGAAACCCCGTCTCTACTAAAAATACAAAAAATTAGCTGGGCGTGGTGGCAGACACCTGTAGTCCCAGCTACTTGGGAGGCTGAGGCAGCAGAATGGCGTGAACCCAGGAGGCGGAGCTTGCAGTGAGTGGAGATTGCACCACTGCACTCCAGCCTGGGCAACACAGCCAGACTCCATCTCAAAAAAAAAGAAAAAAAAAAATAATAAAATATCTGGCCATGGTGGTGTACACCTGTAATCCCAGCTACCCGGGAGGCTGAGGCAGAATTGCTTGAACCCGAGAGGTGGAGGCTGCAGTGAGCTAAGAACGACCCACGGCATTCTAGCCTGGGTGACAGAGTGAGGCTCCATCTCCAAAAAAAAAAAAAAAAAAAAAAAAAAAGGCCTGGCGCAGTGGCTCACGCCTGTAATTTCAACATTTTGGGAGGCCAAGGCGGGTGGATCACCTGAGGTCAGGAGTTCCAGACCAGCCTGGGCACAACATGGTGAAACCCCATCTCTACTAAAAATACAAAAATCAGGTCAGGCGCGGTGGCTCACGCCTCTAATCCCAGGACTTTGGGAGGCTGAGGCGGGTGGATCACCTGAGGTCGAGAGTTCCAGACAAGCCTGGCCAACATAGAGAAATCCCGTCTCTACTAAAAATACAAAAAATTAGCTGGGCATGGTGGCAGCTAATTTTTCCCTGTAATCCCAGCTACTCAGGAGGTTGAGGCAGGAGAATCGCTTGAACCCGGGAGGCAGAGGTTGCGGTGAACCGAGATTGTGCCATTGCACTCTAGCCTGGGCAACAAGAGCAAAATTCCACCTCAAAAAAAAAAAAAAAAATCATCAGCTGGGTGTGGTGGCATGCACCTGTAATCCCGGCTACTTGGGAGGCTAAGGCAGGAGAACTGCTTGAACCTGAGAGGTGGAGGTTGCAGTGTGCTGAGAACACCCCACTGCACTCCAGCCTGGGCAACAGAGTGAGACTCCATCTCAACAAACAAACAAAAACAAACCCTCGGAGCCAGAGTGTAAAAAGCGTCTTGCGGGTGTGGTGGCTCACACCTGTAATCATGACTGTAATCCCTCGGACACTTTGGGAGTCCAAGGCAGGAGGACTGCTTAAGCCCAGCAGTTCAAGACCAGCCTGGACAACATAGTGAGACCTCATGTCTACAGGAAAAAAAAAAAAGCTGGACATAGTGGAATATGCCTGTAGCCCCAGTTACTCGGGAGGCTGAGGTAGGAGGATGGCTTGAGCCAGGGAGGTCCAGACTGGGCAACACAGTGAGATCTTGTCTCAAAAAAAAAAAAAAAAGTGTCCTGAAGGCAGAGCAGCAGCAACCAGACAGGAAGACACTGCTGGGTGTCAGTCCTTCTGGAAGTCCCCCGATTTTATGGTCTGAGGAGGGGTGCTACTATGTATTCTGTCCCATGGCACCTGGAACAAAGTCTCAACCACTTATCCTGTCCTAGGTGACCTGGCCCTCCTGGCTGTCCAACCTCATCTCTTGCCACTCCCTCCCCTCCTCTACAGTTGCACCAGGCAATTTCCTCTATCTGGAACATGCTGAGTCTGTTCTCATCGCAGGGCTTTGTAACTGCTGCTCCTTCTATCTGGACCACTCTACTTCCTAGATCTTCGTGTGTCACATATGTGCCAGCTCGAATGTCACCTCCTCATTCACACCTTCCCTGACCCCTTAGTCTAAAGTTGCTGTCTAGTGGCCAGGTACAGTGGCTCACGCCTGTAATCCCAGCACTTTGGGAGGCTGAGCAGGCAGATCACTTGAGGTCAGGAGTTTGAAACCAGCCTGGCCAACATGGTGAAACCCCGTCTCTACTAAAAATACAAAAACTAGCCAGAAATGGTGGCATGCGCCTATAGTCCCAGCTACTCGGGAGGCTGAGGTGGTAGAATCACTTGAACCAGGGAGGCAAATATTGTAGTGAGCCGAGATCATGCCATTGCACTCCAGCCTGGGCGACAGAGTGAGATTCGGTCTCAATTAAAATAAATAAATAATAAAGTAGCTGTCTGATTACCCATTTTGCCTCCTGTATTGTTTTCTTAGCACTTATCACTGCATGACATTGTCACAGTTTGGTATTTGTTTACGGTCTATCTCCCTGACAAAGCACCCCTAGTCATCCCTGTTCCCATGGTACCTGGCCCAGCCCTCAAACAAACTATTTGTTGACTAAGTGCATGAGTGTGTCAGAGCCTGGGCTGAGAGGCCAGCCCTTCTTCTCTGGAGGAGGAGTAAGTTCTGGGCAAACTCCACTCAAGTGGCCTACTGACCCACTTCCCCTCCACCCACACCTTCTGTCCAAGCTGTGAGGAAACAATTATTTGTTGTCCACCCAGCTATCTGTCTATGGCATGTGGCAATTGGGGCTTGGCCCCAATACTCTCTCATTCCCAAGGTCCTAGTGAGAGACAGCTGTGGCTAAACAGCAGGCACAGCCACACCCTCAAAGACCTGGCCTCTAGCCTGCTCCACTTCTCCCTTGTTATTTGACCCTTTGACTCTGTCCCATCATTAGTAATTGTAGGATGTTAGGAGGTAATGAATGGGGTATGGAGCAGGACCCAGCTGTAAGGAGTCAGTATGGGTTCCTAGGTGAATACTAGGTCAACAGCTAGGAAGAAGGTAGGTATCTCGCCCACACCATGGAGATGGCCTAGAATCAGGAATGGAAACTGCCTGGCCCGCCACTCCCCTGGCTGAAGGATGGAGTGCAATCAGCCCAGATGGCTGGCCAAGACAGAATCCTTTCCTGGGGCTGTCACCTGAGGTCTAGGTGCCCACAGCACCCTAAGGGCCCCTTCCTCCTCTTCTGCCTGCAGGGAGGGTTCTAGAGCCACTGGGCTTCCCTGACTGGCCCAGCTGAATCCCGAGACCTGCATTCTGGTCTCTGCTCTGCACTCACTCCCTATGTAACCTCCCTTTCCCCAGTGACTGAGAAGACCTCTGGGGCCCCATTCCTTCTACACAGCTCCCATCTGTGAACTGAGCCTCAGGCCATGAACTTGATTGTCAGGTAAACATGGACTTGGCTCCCCTAATGGGGCTTGAGACCCCTAAGTGACCACTCCTGTGGCCTGGCCAACACTGTTGTGACACGCTGAGACTGAGAAGAGCAGGGAATAAAGGGATGACCATGGCGTCCACAGAGTGGTGGAGGGAACACCTCCTGTGAGTCAAACACTTCTGTATTCTCTCACTTGAGTCTCACAACAAGCCCTGTGAAGCTGGTATGATTATCTTCACTTTATAGACAAGGAAACAAAGACTCCAAGAGGTTAAGAAAGAATTTAAGACCACAAAAGGCCACTGGCATAGCCAGCATTAGAATGTCCACAAAACTGGCCGAGATGGGGCCGGGCACAGTGGCTCATGCCTGTAAACCCAGCACTTTGGGAGGCCAAGGCAAGTAGATCACCTAAGGTCAGGAGTTTGAGACCAGCCTGGCCAACATGATGAAACCCCATCCCTATAAAAAATACAAAAAATTGGCCATGTGTGGTGGCAGGCGCCTGTAATCCCAGCTACTCCGCATGCTGAGGCAGGATAATTGCTTGAACCCAGGAGGCAGAGGTTGCAGTGAGCCAGGATCACGCCACTGCACTCCAGCCTGGGCAACGAGAGCAAAACTCCGACTCAAAAAGGAAAACAAAAGCAAAAAAAAAAAAAAACTGGGCCAGGGATGGTGGCTCACGCCTGTAATCCCAGCACTTTGGGAGGCCGAGGCAGGTGGATCATGAAGTCAGGAATTCAAGACCAGCCTGGCCAAGATGGTGAAACCCTGTCTCTATTAAAAATATAAAAATTTGCCAGGCGTGGTGGTGGGTGCCTGTAATCCCAGCTACTCAGGAGGCTGAGGCAGAGAATTGCTTGAACCTGGGAGGTGGAGGTTGCAGTGAGCTGAGATCACACCACGGCACTCCAGCCTAGGCGACAGAGCGAGACTGTCTCAAAAAACAACAACAACAAAAAAAAACTGGCCGAGATGCAAACAGCTGAGAGCCAATGTGGAGTAGCAGAAAGCACCTAAGTGACAAAATCAGGTGTTACAAGAACATGTCCATACACCTGTCCACCTTCTTCAGGGACGTCCAGATTGGCCACATCGTAACAGTGGGTGAGTGCCGGCCCCTGAGCAAGACAGTACGCTTCAACGTGCTCAAGGTCACCAAGGCCGCTGGCACCAAGAAGCAGTTCCAGAAGTTCTGAGGCTGGACATCTGCCCACTCCCCGCAATGAAATAAAGTTATTCTCATTTCCCCCATCCCCCCCCCCCGCCAAAAAAAAATCGGGTGGCAAGGAATGCAGCCCAGGCCTTGTCTTCCCCTATGAAATCAGCAAGCTCCATGGAGCCTCAGAATGGAAGAACCTGAGCACCTACTCAGCAGGTCAAAGCAGCTTTACACCTTAGGACAACTGAGAATTTGCATTCTCCTAGTCCTGAAACCACCTGCAAGTGGAACCAGTATCTCCACACAGAGCTCTTTCCTGGGGCAGCAAGCTTTCCAGTTTCTGCCCTCGGGAGACCCACTGGCTCTGATGGAATCATTCGAGACTTTAAGAAACAAACATTCCAAAATTCCCCCAGTTTACTGAGGACACTGGGACAAACAGCCCTCAGTTCCCAGGTACCCCAGAAACCCCTCTCTAATAAGGGTTCCCTATCCCCATAGCAGCCCTGTCTCCAGCCTGGGGGCTTAAGGAGCTGGCACACAGCAGGTACAGCAACAAATGAGTAACGCCCCAGACAATGAAAAGAAGTTCTTGGCCACTGGTCAGCCAGCAGTAGGAGCCCTGTGGCCCCTAGGCAGGCCACCCTGGGCCTCGTGTCCCTCTCCCTTGGCCACTAAGACACGTTCCCAGCCAAACCCAGACCCAAGCAAAGCATTCTGCCCAGGAGGGCACACTCCAGCTGATAGGGTGAGGAAAAAGAGGGTGAATAATATCACATGACCTAAGTCACTCCAAGGATAATCCATACACTGCTGGCTCCCCGAGGGAGGGACTCAAGAATTCCTGCCATATATGATCAAAGGAAGAGAGAATCACAGAATCACAAAGCCAGGAAAGGGGTAGCCAACTCAAACTGAACTGCAAACACACAAACATCATTCTCAAATGCCCTATCAAAACATTAATTAAAAAAAAAAACAAACCAGCACCCAGCACAAGGTTCGGCTCAACCTCAGCTTAAAGAAATCCTGCCCAACTTTTTTTTTTAAAGACAGAGATCTCCCTTTGTCGCCCAGGCTGGAGTGCAGTGGCGCGATCTTGGCTCACCGCAACCTCCGCCTCCCAGGTTCAAGCAATTCTCTTGCCTCCCGTGTAGCTGGGATTACAGGTACCTGCCACCATGCCCTGCTAATTTTTTGGAATCTTGGTAGAGACGGGGTTTTGCCATATTGGCCAGGTTGGTCTCAAACTCCTGACCTCAGATGATCCACCCACCTTGGCCTCCCAAAGTGCTGGGATTACAGGTGTGAGCCTCTGTGCCCGGCCAAGAAATCATGCCCAACTTTCAATGTCTATTCTGTGGAAAACTTTTAGGATTCACTCCCCTTGCCCCAAAAGGACTATTCCTCTGTCCTGGAGGCCTCAACGAAAATGGTCTGAATTGGATTCTAAAACAAGCGCTATTGGTATTTCCAAAGTCCCTGCTGTCTCCTGTTTCCCTCTGTAAGCCCCCAGGCAAGGGCCATCTGTTGAAGGAACATCCAAGGAGCCTCCCTGACCAGGTCTGCTGAACCTCCCACCTCTGTGGAGAATTCCTGTCTGGTGCCTGGGAAGATGCCCTGATGGGTACCACCACAGGAACAACTATTGGGCACTTAAAGTGACCATAGGAGGGTCTCAGTGAAAGGAGGAGAAGCCACAAACCCATGCTCCAAGCAGGGGACTAGAAGGCCTCGCACAGGCCAGGCAAGCAGTGGCTCACGCCTGTAATCCCAGCATTTTGGGAGGCCAAGGCGGGCAGACCAAGAGTTCAAGAGATCAAGATCATCCTAACCAACATGGTGAAACCCCATCTTTACTAAAAATACAAAATTTAGCTGGGCGTGGTGGCGCGTGCCTGTAGTCCCAGCTACTTGAGAGGCTGAGGCAGGAGAATTGCTTGAACCTGGAAGGCAGAGGCTGTAGTGAGCTGAGATCATGCTACTGCACTCTAGCCTAGGTGACAGAGCGAAACTCCATCTCAAAAAGAAGGCCATGCACAACAGGCCAGGCGTGGTGGCTGTTCCCTATAATCCCAGTACTTGGGAGGTTGAGGCAGGAGGATCACCTGAGCTCAAGAGTTCTGAGACCAGCCTGGGCAACACAGTGAGATCCCGTCTCTACAAGAAGTTGTAAAACTTGGCTGGGCACAGTGGCTCACATCTGTAATCCCAGGACTTTGGGAGGCTGAGGCAGGAGGATTGCTTGAGCCCAGAGTTCAAGACCAGCCTGGGCAAGATAGTGAGACTTTTGTCTCCACAAAAACTAAAAAATAGAATATAAAAATTAGCAGGTGTGGCCAGGCACAATGGCTCATGCCTGGAATCCCAGCACTTTGGAAGGCTGAGTGGGCAGATCACAAAGTCAGGAGTTCGAGACCAGCCTGGCCAATATGATGAAACCCTGTCTCTACTAAAAATACAAAAATTAGCCAAGCATGGTGGCAGGAGCCAGTAGTCCCAACTACTTGGGAGGCTAAGGCAGGAGAATCTCTTGAACCCAGAAGGTGGAGGATGCTGTGAGCCGAGATCGTGCCACTGCACTCCAGCCTGGGAGACAGAGTGAGACTCCGTCTCAGAAATAATAATAATAATTAGCCAAGCGTGATGGTGCGCACCTGTAGTCCCAGCTACTCAGGAGGCTGAGGTGGGAGGACTGCTTGAGCCCAGGAGGTCAAGGCTGCAGTGACCTGAGATGGCACCAACTGCACTTTAGCAGTGCCACAATCACAGCTCACTGCAGACTTGAACTTCTGGGCTGAAGTGATCCTCTTGCCTCACCTCCCAAGTAGCTGGGACTACAGGCACCCACCACCATACCTGGCTGGTTTCTATTTATTTAATTTATTTTAAAGACAGGGTCTCACTGTTGGTAAAAGAGTGAGACCTTATCTCATTAAAATAAAATAAAATAAAATAAAAAGGCTGCTGATGTACCCTAAGAAAAACTTTAAAAAGAAAGAAAAAAAGGGCCGGGAGCGGTGGCTCATGCCTGTAATCCCAGCACTTTGGGAGGCCAAGGTGGGTGGATCACCTGAGTGAGGTCGGGAGTTCGAGACCAGCCTGACCAACATGGAGAAACCCCATCTCTACTAAAAATACAAAATTAGCCAGGCGTGGTGGCACATGCCTGTAATCCCAGCTACTAGGGAGGCTGAGGCAAGAGAATCGCTAGAACCCAGGAGGCAGAGGTTGCAGTGAGCCGAGATCACGCCATTGCACTCCAGCCTGGGCAATAAGAGCGAAACTCTGTCTCAAAAAATAAAAAAATAAAGAAATAAAATAAAGAAAAAAAGGCCAGGCATGGTGGCTCAAGCTTATAATCCCAGCACTTTGGGAAGCTGAGGTGGGCGGATCGCCTGAGGTCAGGAGTTTGAGACCAGCCTGGCCAACATGGCAAAACCCCATCTCTACTAGAAATATTAAAATTAGCCGGATTATACCGGCAGGCGGGTATAATCCCAGCCACTCGGAAGGTTGACACAGGAGAATTGCTTGAACCCGGAGGGCGGGGGTTGCAGTGAGCCGAGACTGCGACACTGCACTTGAGCCTGGGCAAGAGTGACACTTCACTCCAGCCTGGGTGAAAAAAAAAAAAAAAGAAAAAAAGATAATAGTGTTTTGTTAAGGGAAACCTAGCCTTTTTTTTGGAGACAGGGTCTTGCTAGAGTGTCCCCAGGCTACAGTGCAGTGGCATGATCATAGCTCACGGTTCCTTGACCTCCTGCAGCCTCTTGAGCAGCTGGAACTACAGGTATACAACACCACAACCACACTGGCTATTTTTTTATTTTTCTTTTGTAGAAATGGGTATTGCTATGTTGACAAGGCTAGTTTTGAACTCCTGGCCTCAAGCAATGCTCCAGCTTCAGAGCTGGTGCTGAATCCTAGAATTTTTGATATAAGGTGGCTTCTAGTTATGAATTTTTTTTTTTCAAGATGGAGTTTCGCTGTTGTTGCCCAGGCTGGAGCGCAATGGCACAGTCTCAGCTCACTGCAAGCTCCGCCTCCCAGGTTCAAGCGAGTCTCCTGCCTCAGCCTCCTGAGTAGCTGGGATTACAGGCATGCACCACCACGCTCAGCTAATTTTCATATTTTTAGTAGAGACAGGGTTTTTCCATGTTGGTAAGGCTGGTTTTGAACTCCTGACCTCAAGTAATCCACCCACCTCAGCCTCCCAAAGTGCTGGGATTACAGGCGTGAGCCACTGCGCCCAGACTTGTTCTGAAATTTGAAAATTCTGTGTCTCCAGGGTGGAAACATCACACACCGGGGCCTGTCCTGGGGCGGGGGTAGCGGGGAGGGATAGCATTAGGAGATACACCTAATGTAAATGACGAGTTAATGGGTGCAGCACATCAACATGGCGTTATGTATACATATGTAACAAAACTGCAAGTTGTACACATGTACCCTAGAACTTAAAGTATAATAATAATAAAAAAAACAAAATTCTGGTCTCCCTTGTTTTTTGAGACAGGGTCTCACTCTGTCACCAGGCTGCAGTGCAGTGGCACAATCTTGGCTCACTGCAACGTCCGCCTCCCTGGTTCAAGCGATTCTCCTGCCTCAGCCTCCCAAGTAGCTGGGATTACAGGCACCTGCCACCATGCTCAGCTAATTTTTGTATTTTTAATAGAAACAGAGTTTCACTATATTGGCCAAGCTGGTCTCCAACTCCTAACCTCGTGATCCGCCCACCTCGCCCTCCCAAAGTGCTGGGATTACAGGCATGAGCCACCGCACCCTGCCTATTCTGTGTCTCTCTTAAGTAATTATTCCCCTCCCAAACCACCAACTCCAAAGGCAACGGAATAAAACAAGACATGGCTCAGAGAGAAGAGATGGGCTCGGCCAGGTGCGGTGGCTCACACCTGTAATCCTAGCACTTTGGGCAGCCAAGGCGAGTGGGTCACTTGAGGTCAGGAGTTCAAGACTAGCCTGGCCAATATGGTGAAACCCCATCTCTACTAAGAATACAAAAATTAGCTGGGTGTGGTGGTGGGCACCTGTAATCTCAGCTACTCGGGTGGCTGAGGCAGGAGAATTGCTTGAACCCAGGAGGCGGAGGTTGCAGTGAGCTGAGATTGCACCACTGCACTCCAGCCTGGGCAACAGAGCGAGGCTCTGTCTCAAAAAAAAATAGTGATAGGCAGATAGGCTCCTATACACGAAGGGACATAATTTTGAGCTAATTGAGAACTGAGGCATCTTGTATCCTGCCTCATCCTTGTGCGGCAATATCCCAACCACCGCATGCCAGGTCCCACTTCCAAGTCAGCCCTACATGAATAGAGGATGCAGATAGATCCTGGAGAACCTCAGGCCACTTCTCTTATATCTGAGACCTAGATGGCCCGCCAAGTTCCAGAAACATTTAACGAATTCTCAGGATCAGGATGCCTAGCAATGGCTAGCTGACCTCAGACAAAGAGGTTACAGGGAACGGCCAGGCGCGGTGGCTCACGCCTGTAATCCCAGCACTTTGGGAGGCCAAGGCGGGTGGATCACGAGGTCAGGAGATCGAGACCATCCTGGCTGACATGGTGAAACCCTGTCTCTACTAAAAACACACAAAAAATTAGCCGGGCGTGGTGGCGGGTGCCTATAGTCCCAGCTACTCGGGAGGCTGAGGCAGGAGAATGGCGTGAACCCGGGAGGCGGAGCTTGCAGTGAGCCGAGATCGCGCCACTGCACTCCAGCCTGTGAGACAGAGTACGACTCCATCTCAAAAAAAAAAAAAAGAAGTTACAGGGAACTTCTAGAGGTTGGAATGAGAGGGAGGGACCTGAATTCCTCCTACTCTTGAGTAACGTTGGAGAAGGAAAAGTATCTTTTTGTCCCTGAAGAAAACCCTTGTGATCACTGGGCAATTGTTCACATCTGTAATCCCAGCACTTTGGGAGGCTGAGGTGGGAGTATCGCTTGAACTCAGGAGTTTGAGACCAGCCTGGGCAACATATGGAGATGACATCACTGCAAAAAATAAAAATAAGGCCGGACGTGGTGGCTCACGCCTGGAATCCCGGCACTTTGGGAGGCCGAGACGGGCGGATCACGAGGTCAGGAGATCGAGACCATCCTGGCTAACACGGTGAAACCCCGTCTCTACTAAAAATACAAAAAGTTAGCTGGGCGTGGTGGTGGGCGCCTGTAGTCCCAGCTACTCGGGAGGCTGAGGCAGGAGAATGCTGTGAACCCGGGAGGCGGAGC
Source organism: Homo sapiens (assembly GCF_000001405.40). Taxonomy (NCBI): domain Eukaryota; kingdom Metazoa; phylum Chordata; class Mammalia; order Primates; family Hominidae; genus Homo; species Homo sapiens. Next base: position 67,849,739 of record NC_000016.10, on the reverse strand, counting down.
TTGCAATGAGCAGAGATCGCACCACTGCACTCCAGCCTGGGTGACAGAGTGAGACTCCGTCTCAAAATAAATAAATAGATAAAAATAAAAATAAAATTAGGCCGGGATCAGTGGCTCATGCCTGTAATCCCAGCACTTTGGGGAGGCCAAGGCAGGTAGACCACCTGAGGTCAGGAGTTTGACCAGCCTGACAAATATGGTGAAACCCCTTCTCTACTAAAAATACAGAAATTAGCCAGGCATGGTGGCGTGCGCCTGTAGTCCCAGCTACCAGGGAGGCTGAGGCAGGAGAATCGTTTGAACCCAGGAGGCGGAGGTTGCAGTGAGCCGACATCGCACCACAGCACTCCAGCCTGGGTGACAGAGAGAGACTCCGTCTCGAGAGAAAAACAAAAACTCTCCTGGTCAAGTCACCCAGGGCCATGAAATACGCAAACTACGCCATAGCCGTAAGCCAGCTCACCTGAAATCTGTGTCCTAGAAAGTACCCACGCAGACAATCTACAGGGTCTTGAAATAACTGCTTCTAGTTCTAGATTTCACCTCATTGTCCTGTGGGTAGTCCCTCCTTATTGCCCAGCTCCACTGGCAAAGTTGGCCTCTCCTGAGCCTCTTGGATGAACCTGATTTCCATGTCCTCATGGGCCAGGATATGGACTAGGAAAGTTACATCCAGAGAGAAGGCAGGGCTTGGTAAAATCTGAGCAGCATTCTTGCCTATTCTTCCTGACCAGGGAGAATAACTAGGCAGAGCAATTCATATGCAAGAAAACTTCTAGGTCAAGAGTACTTGGAAGAAGTGACCAGAAATGAACAGAAAAACATTACCTGGGAAAATATTCAAGGAGGAAGAAAAAAATATGCAGGGTCAGTGGCTTTCTTCACCTTGGGTCTCAATCAGCCCTTCTAAGAGACCTGATATTCTGCTTGCTCCTGAGGCCAGAGCTGCAGAGATTGAGCTGCTGCTGCTTTTTTTTTTTTTCTTTTTCTTTTTTTTTGAGACAGAGTCTTGCTCTGTCGCCCAGGCTGGAGTGCAGTGGCATGATCTCTGCCCACTGCAACCTCTGCCTCCCGGATTCAAGCGATTCTCCTGCCTCAGCCTCCCAAGTAGCTGGGATTACAGGTGCACGCCACCACACCCAGCTTTTTTTATTTTGGAGACAGAGTCTTGCCCTGTCACCCAGGCTGGAGTACAGTGGCATGATCTCAGTTCACTGCGACCTCCACCTCCCGGGTTCAAGCAATTCTCCTGCCTCAGTCTCCTGAGTAGCTAGGATTACAGAAGTGCACCTCCACGTTCAGCTAATTTTTGTATTTTTAGTAGAGATGCGCTTTTGCCATGTTGGCCATGCTAGTCTGGAACCCCGGACCTCAGGTGATCCGCTGGCCTTGGCCTCCCAAAGTGCTGGGATTGCAGGCGTGAGCCACCGCGCCAGGCCTGAGCTACTTCTTTAGTCTCTGGAAAGACTGCGGCTCAGAGAAATCAACGCTTTACATGCCATCTCTCCCCTAGTCCCAAGGTCTTCTCTGGACTGGTTCCTTAATTTACCATCTCTCAATCAGAAGCGCCTTTACAAAGGATATCAGGATAGTATTTTTTGGTCAAAGATAACTCTTCCCCCAGAACTCAGTAGGGTCTCTGATGGCATCAGTAAGGGCAATTTCATAAAGCAACCAGGTTCCTGCCTGTTTACAGGCAGCTCCAGTTGTTGGGAAGTGAGCAAGCAAGTGAGGGGAAGCCAGACTTTCTGGAGCTTCCAGCCCTAGTTCTGCCACCCAGGCTTCGGGAGGGCCCCACAAAGTCTGAAATCTACGTGCCCCACCCCCCAAAGCCCCTTCCAGCCCAGGTTCTGGTTTAGCACTAGGCTCAAGAACCTCAGGCCTGAATTCTACTTCCCGTGCATTAAGTCCCACCTTAACATCCCATTCTTATGAAGTCATCCTGTCCTGCGGGGCAATTCTGTGTTGCTGCTGGGGCCTGGTCACTGATAGAGAAGGGCGTGGGCTGGGCCTACCCGGCAGGAGCCGCCTCACCCCATCAGGCCCAGATCCTCTAAGACAAGACAGGGATAAAGTCTCCCGTGGAATCCCCTCCCGCCTCATATTCCCTGACCCTGCCCTCCCTGCGAGAACTCCAGTCCGGGCTCCACAAAGGGCGCGGTAAGAAACGTACACTTCCGAGGGGCAGACAAGGAGGGGGCGTTCACCTACACCCCGGCCGGGCTATGGTCGGGAACAGGGTGAGGGGCCCAAGCCCCGGCTGCGGCAGGCGGGCGCCCTTACCCATGCTGACTCTGGAGCGGGCCGGGTGGCGCTGCCCATCCCCGGATCCTTCGTAGGTGGGTAGCAGGACGTGGGGCTGGGGTCTGCCCGCTAGCCAGCCTGCAGAGCTTGCGGGGCTCGCGCAGGCCGGGCCAGGCTAGACGGGGCGGGGCCCTAAGGCCCCATCCGGACGGTCCTGACTAGAGAAAAAGGCCTGGCCATGGCGCAGGCCGGTGCACCAGCCACCAGCACGGTACGGCCCAGATAGGCGCCCGGCTGGCTCTCTGTGCGTTACCCCCGGCCGCCGCCTCACAGGACCGGCGGGAGGCGGAGCCGCGCGCGACACATGGCCCGGGCCCCGCGCGGCTTCGGGCCGCCGGGGGGGGGGGAGGGGAGGGGCCGCCCGGGGACTCTCAGCGGAGCCTCCCGGCAGCCCAGAGAGCGGCTCCTGCGGCCCAGCCCCCGCCCCGGCGTGCTGGCCCCGACACTCACCCGAGGGGCTGGCACGATGGCGGCAGCGGCAGCGGCAACCCAGCGCGGTCTGCGGCCGACTGTCCCTTCCCCCCTGCCTTCCTTCGCCCGCCCCGCTGCACTCTGGGAGACGCAGTCCCACCGCCCCCCCTTTCCGGCATGAGCGCGCCGAGAGAAAACTACAATTCCCGGCGTGCTATGCGCGGAGGCCCAGACACGGCCCGCAGCGCGGGAGGTGAGGCTAAGCCAGGGAGGGAGGCTGCCGGGGCAAGCCCCTGAGAATTGTGGTCTAGCGGAAGCCTCTGGAACACTAGAGGTTGGCGCCAGGCTAGGGTCAGGGCTCAGTTGTCTCCTGGTCTCAGCTGGCTCGGCCCCGCCCAGTCTGTGCACTGGGGTGGGGGTTGGCCCCGCCTCCGTGGGAGCCCAGCCCGGCCCCAAGCTGGCCCAGCTGCCCCTCCCTGGGCCCCTGGGCCGTTTCCGCTCACGAAACCCCCTCCCCTTGGGGCTATGGCTGCCGCTGTTACTCTTCCGAGCTGTGTGGCCTTAACCAGCCCGGGCGGAACGCACAGCTCCTGCAATCCCAACATTCGTGCGCCTGCACCTCGGCGAGTCGGGCCCAAAGCTGGTTTCGAGCAGGCTAGGCTATTCTTGGGCCGGAGACTCAAATGTCCCTCAGGTGGGGCTTGGTTGGAGAGGTTACCCTCAAACTTCTACAGTCAGGGGTCCCCCCAAAACATTCTGTAAGGTTTTTTTGCAGCAGATAGAGCAGCTAAGTGTTTCATTTTTATTAATGAGGAAAGAGAAATGACTGACTTACCCAAAATTTCGCTGTGATTTAAGTGACCAGATTGTAAATAGTTCTCTTCCTACCCATTGCCCTTTCCTTTCAACGCCCATTTGTTTTCTTGGTAACACAAACATTTGTGGTAAGGCCAGTCTCTAGGTCAGACCTGTGCTTGGCAAAGAGATCTGCAGCCAACTTGGGGTACCACAGGTAAGGGAAATGGCTACAAGGCCTCTCCAGGCAACTCCTAGCCTTCCTTCCTGGCCGGAGGTCTCTCAGTACTCCTGTTCTTCCACAAGAGTTTTGCACCTTCCCCCACCCACAGGCTACCCCTCCAAGAGATGGCTGGTAAGACCGGACCACACTTCTGTTTTTTAAATCTCAGGTCTGTCAACACTACACTTTGCCTGACTAGATGCTTATTACTCAGCTAGTGAGAACTCTGCATTGCCCCGCTTATACATCTGCATCTGGGATCTCCCTTGCTCTGTGAACTGTCTTCTTCTCCCTAAGAAGCCAAAACACTGCCCATAACCTCCAGACACCAGGGAGGGTCCAGGGAGTACTGCTGAGAGCCTCAAGGGAGCCAATGCAGAAACAGCAGAAGTCCCTTCAATAAATAGGAGCTCAAGGATACACTGAAGAGCATGGCTGGATCCTGGAAAAGGCCTTGCTCCGACCGGGAAGATGTGAGACTGGCCCAATAGGAGCAACAAAGGGCACTGCAGTGCTTCCACCACCTGATTACCAGCCAGATCTAACCCTAGGAAGACAGAGGTCCAGTCCATCCCCCAACCAGCCACCTACACAACCTATGTCTCACTCCTTCCCCACCACTTTCCCAACTCAGTGCTAAGGGACTAGAAGGGAAACAGAGACTTGAGTTTTAGGACCATCCCAGCATGTTGCCACAGACAAGTCCCCAGGCAGATGGCTTTGTCCATAAGTAAGAAAGAGAAGGGAGTCATATTTTATGGGGTCTGAAAGTCTCCGTTTGTGCCCCACCACCCACAGTAAACCCAGAGCTTTAAAGGCATTTACTTTTAGACATTGGCTTTGAGCTAAATTACTTGGAGCTATAGACAAAAGCAATGTAATCCTTGCCCCTTCAATATTCAATCTAAGAAAAAATAGAGGCTGGGCGGGGTAGCTCACACCTGTAATCTCAGTACTTTGGGAGGCAGAGCAGGCGGATCACCTGAGATCAGGAGCTCGAGACCAGCCTGGCCAACATGGTGAAATCCTGTCTCTACTGAAAATACAAAAATCAGCCCGACGTGGTGGCGGGTGCCTATAATCCCAGCTACTCAGGAGGGTGAGGCAGAAGAATTGCTTGAACCTGGGAGGCAGAGGTTGCAGTGAGCTGAGATCACACCATTGCACTCCAGCCTGGGTGACAAGAGCAAAGCTCCATCTTAAAAAAAAATAAAAAAAAAAAAATAGAGGCAGGCAGCCAAGAAAATGAGTCAAGGAATCACACCTCCCAACTTCTTAATGCTCTCTGTGGATACAGCTCTGTCACACCGAAGGTGTACCAAGGCCAAGGTATCTATACAACAGTCCTTGTGCCTGAAGCAGCCCTGGCTAGCTCCAGCTGCGCTCTTACCGGTTCACAGAGTAACTGCATGCACATGCATACCAGAGGCTGTGCTAAGCCTAAGGGATGTCATGGTGAGCAAAATTCAATCCCAGCTGAGAATTGAAACCCTCAGAGGCGAACTATCACAATATAGCTTAGTTACCAGTTGGTCCTTCTTGTTGAAAGGATACAGGGAGATAATCCATGGACAAACTGGGCCCATTTGGTGCAGTTTCCAAACTCTTTAGGGTGAGCTGGGCCAGGAACTCTGTGAGGACCTTATAAGGCCAGGATCCATGTGCTTAGGGCCCATTTTTGGAAAAACTGGTCATTGAAGCATCTCTACTTTCAGGGTCAGCCTGGTCTTTCAGAAAGGCTGAGGCCTATTTCCCCATGTTTCAAGGACATTTAACTATGTTTTTGTAAAAATAAAATGGCGAGACCCAAATAAAAACCTTACTTTTTGTTTAATTTGTTTTGCCAAACAAACACAGTGAAAACTTTAGTCTGACTAATTGTACAGAAAATAGAATTTGTAACCAGTAGCAAACAAAACAGGATAAACCTAAGTCCCTGGCAAGCTGGATCTCCATCAGCAGGTCATCCAGATCCCCTTGTAAATGGCCTCCTGGGAAAATAAGTCCTAGGAGGCAGAGGCACAGATTTACCAGTCCCCATCAGAATCACAGGCTGCACCTGGGAAGGAAAAGCATGAAAAGGAGGAGAACTGATGTTACTTGAATCTCTTATCACTACACACATTAGAGTTGTCTGACTGCTGACCAACCTTAAGGTATGGTTTTCCCAAACCTATAGTCCCTGGACATCCCACCTGCATCCCTAGAGGGTAAGTTTCAAGTTCAGTGGTTCTGAAGCCTCTGCTTAACCAGAATCTGCAACAATAACTGGGGAGGAAGGGTAGACAAAGTCATAATTGCTGGTGTCACCAGGGCAGAGTCTAAGGCCCCAGCTTCCACTTCAGGAGGAAACAATTGAGGATGCCAGGTCACCAGCAAGAGAGTCCAGCTGCCTTAAGCCTCAGTACTGTCAACCAGTGCCCAGGAGTATAGAGGAGTTCAACAATGGCCTGCGGTCCCCTGGCTGGATGGGGTCTGGGAGTCCAGCAGGCTGCCGGGGCACCAGTTCACATTCCGTGCTTCTTGCGGATGACAGCCATGGCAAGCAGCCGATCCTTCTCACGCAGTTCTTCGCGCAGCTTGGCCTCAGTGAGACGCAGGTGGCGAATGCTGCCTTTCATCTCTTTCATCTTCACTTCCATCAGAGCCAGGATGTCCCGCTGCTCATTCAGCTTGCGCAGGAGCTCCTCCTCCGTGGTGCCTGACGACAAGGAGTACGAATGGTCGGAGCCAGTATCAGGGAAGCCCTCTTCCCCTACCACCACCAACTGGGGGCCCATAGGGCACTCGGCAGCCTCCAGCCCTGCGGTAGCAGCCTGTAACTCCGACGCGGCGGCCGCAGCGGCTGCGCCCTCTGCGGCTGCAAACTCCACTTGCACTGTGAGATCGATGGGCTTCACGTCTTCTCCAGTGGGAGTGATGGGCGCCGGCTGTACGGATCCCGGAGCCTGACTGCTGTCTACAGTGGCCTGAAGGGTGAGAAGCACGGCCGCGGAAGCAGATACCAGGTTCGGCTGCAGCTGGGCAGTCTGGGCAGTGGAGGCAGAGGGTGAGGACTGCTGCTGCTGCTGCTGCTGCTGCTGCTGTTGCTGCTGCTGCTGCTGTTGCTGCTGTTGCTGCTGCTGCTGCTGTTGCTGCTGCTGCCTGCGGCGGGCGGCCGCGGCCCCAGCGGGTCTGCGCGCTACTTTGCGCTCATTGACGCCGCGCAGCGGGAAGATGGTGGGGACGCGTACCGTGTAGGTCTTGCGGCCGCCCTGGAAGTGAACGCTGCAGAGACGGTGGCCTGTGGTGGGCTGGAAGGTGGAGAAGCACCCACTGACGCCGGCACGCGACACGTTCTTGAGCCAGAGGCGCCGCAACTCAGCGTCCTTTGGAAACGTGTAGAAGTGCAGCGCCTTGTCCCGGTGCGAGTTGTTGTAGCAGCCTGGCACGCAGCACGTAAAGCCAGGCATGGCTGCGCCGCGCGGCCCGGCCCGGCCCACCGGCCTCCTGCGCTCTTCGACGGCCCAGTGGCTACGCCGCCGCCCGCCCCTCGACGGGCGGCGCCGCGCGAGGCCTTGGGTGGTATCCCACCACTGCCGCTCGGCGCAGCCGGCCCGCCCGGCGCCCCGTGCCCAGAATACGCTTCCTGCCGGCCCGCGCCGCGCCGCCCGCCTGGCTGCCCGCCTGCGCTCGGGAGTGGGCCCCGGGGACGCCGCGAAGGACCGCCTGAGAAAGAGACTACGCCCCCCACAATGCCCCGCGCCAGAAGCGGCTCACTTCCGGGGCGGGTGTGTGCGGATTCCTGCCGCCTTCCAAGGCACTGCGATAGCCTCCGAAGAGCAGATTCTTTCCCCAGCCCGTCTTGTCCCCGGCGGGCGAGAGAGGCGTATTAGGTTGGAACGCTGTCGCCTGGACTGCTCCTCACGAGGACCCGAATCCTGATAGGGGCGTGGAGCGGGGCGGTGCGCGCCTCACCGGTGCGCAAGCGCGGTGGGTATATGCCCACGGAGACTACAAATCCCGTGATGCCTCGCGCTGAACTAGGCGCCTTCCCTCCGAAGCGCCGCCTAAGGGAAAGATCGAGTTACTGCGGACCAGGATTCGGGCGAGGTTGTGCTGTTTGCCAGAACCAGTTCCCCAGCCCCGAGCCCCTTTGAGTCGACGGCATTGCTGCAGCAGAGGGAGACGAAACCTGGGCCTCGGCGCCCCGAAGGGTCTCAGGAGCCCCTTTCTTTGCGTTGGGGACTCTCTCCTGATTCAGCTGCTGCCTGCGTTGACTAACTGATCTAAACAAAGTCTCCAGTAGACGCCTACTATGTGGCTGACACGGTGCCGGGAGTTTGCGGGAGTCAGACCGACTGGGCTCCTCTCTTGGAGCCTGACTACCTAGACGGATAAGCGTCTGTCTTTTGGATAATAGATCTGAATGCACGCGAATGGATGTCTACTCACAAATAGTAATCGCTCCAAAGGAATTAACAGGAGAGCAGAGAAATGGGGGGGAGGTGGTGGGGGCCAGGAATAAAAAAACGAACGAAAGCTTGGGTAGGGAGAAGTAGCCAATTCTTGTCCCAGGAACCAGTCTGTAAGGCCACATGGCAGAAAAGAGCTAGGCTCCGCCATTAAAGAGCCTGGAAAGGGGTGGCCCGGGTAGGGCCAAGCGTAGGAAAATACCAAACTGGGACATGTTAAGGATTTGGGGTTTTATTCTGCAGGCCACTGAGAGCTATTAAAGGATTTTATGGGAAAGGATTTGCATTGTAACAATACACCTCCCCCCACCTCAACTTATTTGAGGGAATCTTTTTTTTTTTTTTTTTTTTTTTTTTTTGTAAAGGAGTCTCACTGTGTCGCCAGACTGGAGTGCAATGGTGAGATCTCGGCTCACCGCAACCTCCGCCTCCTGGGTTCAAGCAATTCTCCTGCCTCAGCCTCCGGAGTAGCTGGGACTACAGGCGCATGCCACCATGCCCGGCTAATATATATATATATATATATATATATATATATATATGTATTTTGTATTTAGTAGAGACGGGGTTTCGCCATGTTTCTCAGGCTGGTCTCGAACTCGTGAGCTCAGGCAATCTGCTCGCCTCGGCCTCCCAAAGTGCTAGGATTACAGGCGTGAGCTAGGATCACGGCGCCTGGCTGGGGGAAAATGTTTTAAAGAACACAAAATGTTGTGGAAAGCCAGGGAGGGGCCAGGCAGTTCTCCAGGTGAATTACCTGCAAACTAGCCCTCCTTTGCCGAGTTCTTCCTTCTCCCAATTTTTTTTAAACTTTTACTTTAGGTTCGGGGGTACGTGTGAAGGTTTACTACATAGGTGAACTCGTGTCACCGCGATTTGTTGTACAGATTATTTCATCACCCAGGTATTAAGCCCAGTACCCAATAGTTATCTTTTCTGTTCCTCTCCCTCCTCCCGCCCCCCGCAATTAGACCCCAGTGTCTGTTGTTGTCTTCTTTGTGTTCATGAGTTCTCATCATTTAACTCACACTTGTGAGAATATGTGGTATTTGGTTTTCTGTTCCTGCATTAGTTTGCTAAGGATAATGGCCCCCAGCTCCATGCATATTCCCACAAAAGACATGATCGTGGTCACCTCCCAATTTTTCTTGTCCTTTTTTCTCTCCTGATAGCAGATCACAGGCATGAAATAGAAACCTAATATATATTATTTCTTTTTTTTCTTTTTTTATTTTGAGACGGAGTCTCGCTCTGTTGCCCAGGCTGGAGGGCAGTGGCGCGATCTCAGCTCACTGCAAGCTCTGCCTCCCGGGTTCATGCCATTCTCCTGCCTCAGCCTCCCAAGTAGCTGGGACTACAAGCGCCCGCCACCGTGCCCGGCTAATTTTTTTTGTATTTTTAGTAAAGACGGGGTTTCACCGTGTTAGCCAGGATGGTCTCGATCTCCTGACTTCGTGATCCGCCCGCCTCGGCCTCCCAAAGTGCTGGGATTACAGGCGTGAGCCACCGCGCCCGGCCTCTAATGTACATTACTTCTAATTATATTATTGGACATAAAAACAAAATGGGGCCGGTGTAGCCCCTGGTAAAAGATATGCATTCATTTGGGTGAATCATTTATACAACGGTATAAACGTGAACACACATATTGCATTTTTACTTATGTATTTATTTATTTGAGATGGAGTTTCGTTCTCATTGTTGAGGCTGAAGTGCAGTGGTGCGATCTCGGCTTACTGCAACCTCCACCTCCCAGGTTCAAGAGATTCTCCTGCCTCAGCCTCCCAAGTAGCTGGGATTACAGGCGCCAGGCACCACAACCAGCTAATTTTGTGTACTTTTAGTAGAGACAGGGTTTCGCCATGTTGGGCTGGCTGGTCTCCCACTCCTGACCTCAGGTGATCCACCCACCTCGGCCTCCCAAAGTGCTGGGATTATAGGTGTGAGCTACCGTGCCCAGCCTATTTATTTATTTATTTATTTTTATTTTTCTTAGACGATGTCTCACTCTGTTGCCCAGGCTGGCGTGTAGTGGTGCAATCTTGGCTCACTGCAACATCCGCCTCTTGGGTTCAAGCAATTCTTCTGCCTTAGCCTCCCAGGTAACTGGGATTACAGGTGTGCACGACCACACCCAGCTAATTTTTTTTGGTTTTTTTTTTTTTTTTTTTGAGGTGGAGTTTTGTTCTTGGTCAGGCTGGAGTGAAGTGGCACGATCTAGGCTCACTGCAAACTCCACTTCAGGGTTCAAGCAATTCTCCTGCCTCAGCCTCCCAAGAGCTGGTATTATAGGTGCCCACCACCATACCCGGCTAATTTTTGTATTTTTGTAGAGCGGGGTTTTCCTCATGTTGGCCAGGTTGGTCGCAAACTCCTGACCTCATGCAATCCACCCATCTCAGCCTCCCAAAGTGCTGGGATTACAGGCGTGAGCCACCGCACCCGACCTAATTTTTGTATTTTTAGAAGAGATGGAGTTTCAACATGTTGGGCAGGCTAGTCTGGAACTTCTGACCTCAGGTGATCCGGCCACCTTGGCCTCCTAAAGTGCTGGGATTACAAGTGTGAGCCACTGCACCCGGCCAATATTACATGCTTAAATTTTTTTTTTTTTTTTTTTGAGACAGAGTCTTGCACTCACACTGTGGCCAGGGCTGGAGTGCAGTGGCACAATCTCAGTTCACTGTAATCTCTGCCTCCCGAGTTCACACGATTTTCCTGCCTCAGCCTCCTGAGTAGGTGGAATTACAGGCCCACACCACTACACCCGACTAATTTTTTGTATTTTTCATAGAGACAGGGTTTCACTATGTTGGCCAGACTGGCCTTGACCTCCTGACCTCATGATCCACCCACCTCAGCCTCCCAAAGTGCTGGAATTACAGGTGTGAGCCACCGCGCCTGGCCATTTTTTTTTCTTTTTTTTTTTTTGAGACGGAGTCTCGCTCTGTCACCCAGGCTGGAATGCAATGGCACGATCTCGGCTCACAGCAACCTCCATCTCCCGGGTTCAAGCCATTCTCCTGCCTCAGCCTCCCGAGTAGCTGGGACTACAGGCATGAACCACCATGCCTGGCTAATTTTTGTGTTTTTAGTAAAGATGAGGTTTCACCACGTTGTCCGGGCTGGTCTCGAACTCCTGACCCCAGGTGATCAGCCTGCCTCGGCCTCCCAAAGTGCTGGGATTACAGGCATGAACCACCGTGCCTGGCCATGTTTAAATACGTGTGCAGTAGAGATAAAATTCAGCAAAAGATCATTGTAACTGTTATGGTTCAAACTCTACCTGTCTCAGGACTCACCTTGCTCAAAAAATGTTGAGAGGCCAAATTGATGTAATTTCTTTATGCACAGAATATTGAAAATTATGCCCAATGAAACTCTAATTTCCAGTACATAAAATCACCTGTCATCTACACTTAATCTTCTACCTCAAAGCATATCTGGAATGCATGGCTTTCTCCCCACCTCCACGATCCAGCTCACTCTCTGTCTTAATCACCCCTGGAGAAAGGCAAGAACCTCATCACATGTCTCCCTGCCTTCAATCTTGCCTCTCCTGCAATCTGTTCTTCACATGACTGCCAGAGAAAATCTGATATGTCATACCTCTGCTTAAATTCCTCCACTGGCTTCCTATTCCATTTAGAATAATGTCCAGATTCTTTCCCAGAGCTTGCAAGACCCCATATTAGTCTAGCCCTGTCATTCTCTTTCGCTCCTCCCTGCCTCACTTCATCCCAGTATTTTTTTTAAACAAGTAATTATAACGTTTAATTATGTGAACAAACAGAATACTACTGTACAAAGAATGAAGCTCATTGTTTGTTTGTTTGTTTGTTTGTTTGTTTTTGAGACGGAGTCTCACTCTGTCGCCCAGGCTGGAGTGCAATCTTGGCTGACTGCAACCTTCACCCTCCAAGTTCAAGCGATTCTCCTGACTCAGCCTCCCGAGTAGCTGGGATTACAGGCACCTGCCATCGTGCCCGGCTAATTTTTTGTATTTTTAGTAGAGACAGGGTTTCACCATCTTGGCCAGGCTGGTCTTGAACTCCTGACCTTGTGATCCACCTGCCTCGGCCTCCCAAAGTGCTAGGATTACAGGTGTGAGCCACTGCGCCCAGCCAAAGTTCATGTTTTAATCTTTTTTGAAACATGTTTGACCAGCCTGGGCAACATGGTGAAACCCCGCCTGTACGTAAAATACAATAATTAGCTGGGCATGGTGACTCACTCCGGTAATCCCAGCTACTCAGAAGGCTGAGGTGGGAGGATGGCTTGAGTCCAGAAGGTTGAGATCTTCAGTGACCTGTGATCCCACCATTGCACTCCAGCGCGGGTGACAGAGCGAGACCCTGTCTCAAAAAAAAAAGAAAAAAAAAAGGCAAGGCACGGTGGCTCACGCCTGTAATCCCAGCACTTTGGGAGGCCGAGGCGGAAGATCACCTGAGGTTAGGAGTTGGAGACCAGCCTGGCCAACAGAGCGAAACCTCGTCTCTACTAAAAATACAAAAAATTTCGTAGTGGCTCACGCCTGTAATCCCAGCACTTTGGGAGGCCGAGGCGGGCAGATCACAAGGTCAGGAGATCGAGACCATCCTGGCTAACACGGTGAAACCCCGTCTCTACTAAAAATACAAAAAATTAGCCGGGCGTGGTAGTGGGCGCCTGTACTCCCAGCTACTCGGGAGGCTGAGGCAGGAGAATGGCGTGAACCTTTGGGAGGCTGAGGCAGGCGGATCACCTGAGGTCGGGAGTTCAAGACCAGCCTGACCAACATGGAGAAACCCCATCTTTACTAAAAATACAAAATCAGCCATGCGTGGTGGCACATGCCTGTAATCCCAGCTACTCGAGAGGCTCAGAAGGCAGAGGTTGCGCCATTGCACTCCAGCCTGGGCAACAAGAGCAAAACTCTGTCTCAAAAAAAGAAAAAAAATACAAAAAATTAGCCGGGCTTGGCGGTGGGCCCCTGTAATCCTAGCTGCTTGGGAGGCTGAGGCAGGGAGAATTGCTTGAACCCAGGAGGCAGAGGTTGCAGTGAGCTGAGATCGCACCACTACACTCCAGCCTGGGCAACAAAGCGAGACTCCATCTCAAAAAAAAAAAAAAAGATGTTTGTTTTTTTCCATATTATTCAATAGTTCAAGGTTTTACTAGTAAATGAATAAATAATTTAAAACTGCAGGCTGGGGCCGGGTGTAGTGGCTCACGCCTGTAATCCCAGCACTTTGGGAGGCTGAGGTGGGCGGATCATGAGGTCAGGAGGTCAAGACCATCTTGGCCAACATGGTGAAACCCCGTCTCTACTAAAAATACAAAAAATTAGCCAGGTGTGGTGGTGGGCACCTGTAATCCCAGCTACTTGGGAGGCTGAGGCAGGGAGAATTGCTTGAAACCGGGAGGCAGAGGTTGCAGTGAGCTGAGATTGTGCCACTGCACTCCATCCCGGGCAACAAAGTGAGACTCCATCTCAAAAAACAAAAAACAAAAACAAAAACAAAACTGCAGACCAGGCGCCATGGCTCACGCCTGTAATCCCAGCACTTTGGGAGGCTGAGGCAGGCGGATCATGAGGAGTTCGAGACCAGCATGACCAAAATGGTGAAACCCCGTCTCTATACAAAAATTAGCTGGGCGTGGTGGTGCCAGCCTGTAATCCCAGCTGCTCAGGAGGCTGAGGCAGGAGAACATCTCAAAAAAAAAACAAAAACAAAAAAAAAACTGCATTTAGGTAGTAACCATGGAAATATGTCTGCAAAAGGATAGCAAATTGAGTCAGATAACACAGATATCAGATCTAAATGACAAGGAATATCGATAGCTTTTTCTCTACAGTTCTCTTATTTTGAGAAGCAAGAATCTAATTTTTTGCTTAATTTTTTTTTTCCGAGATGGAGTCTTGCTTAGTCGCCCAAGCTGGAGTAGTGTGGCTCGATCTCAGCTCTGCAACCTCTGCCTCCCAGGGTTCAAGCAATTCTCCTGCCTCAGTTTCCAGAGTAGCTGGAATTATAGGTGAGTGCCACTACACCCAGCTAATTTTTGTGTTTTTAGTAGAGACAGGTTTAACCATGTTGGCCAGACTGGTCTTGAACTCCTGACCTCAAGTGATCCGCCCGCCTCAGCCTCCCAAAGTGCTGGGATTACAGGCATGAGCCACCATGCCTGGACTTCTTGGCTCAGCTTTTTTAACACAAGCACAAATATGCCCATGCTTGTCTCAGGTATCTGATAATTTACACTTGATCTCAGTGCAGATTCTGGGAAAGTGAACTCCACGGAAGACTCAGAAACCAAGTTCTAATTCAGTTGCCATGAAAACTTAAGGTGAGAGGATTGTCAACCAGTGAAAAATACGGAGGAAAACACTAACAGAATATGGTAAGCATCTCTAGCATTAAAAATTTTTAATGGCCGGGCGCAGTGGCTCACACCTGTAATCCCAGCACTTTGGGAGGCCGAGGCAGGCGGATCACTTGAGGTCAGGAGTTTGACACCAGCCTGACCAACATGGAGAAACCCTGTCTCTACTTAAAATACAAAATTAGCCGGGTGTGGTGGTGCATGCCTGTAATCCCAGCTACTCGGGAGGCTGAGGCAGGAGAATCGCTTGAACCCAGGAGGTGGAGGTTGCGGTGAGCCGAGATTGTGCCATTGCACTCCAGCCTGGGCAACAAGAGCAAAACTCTGTCTCAAAAAAAACCCCAATTTTTATTTATTTATTTTGCTAGATGTGGTGGTAATGGGGAAAACATTAATAGAACTTTTGAGAGCCGGAATTCATCTCAAAATTGCTCGTGTTTGGAGATCATAATAACATCAGTGCTGGATCACAAACAGCCTATTAGCCTTGGAGCCTGCTTCCTGGTCTCTTCTGATAGAGATAGGCCCTATAGACAGATTTGCAAAGCAGATCTTTTAAAAATGCTTTTATTATTTTTTGATACAGGGTCTCTCTCTGTTGCCCAGGCTGGAGTGCGATCACGACTCACTTAAGTCTTGAACTCCTGGGCTCAAGCAATGCTCCTGCCTCAGCCTCCCCATTATCTGGGACTACAGGCGCGCACCACCATGACTGAATAATTTATTTTTATTTTTTGTAGAGACCAGGGGGCAGGGGTCTCACTGTGTTGCCCAGGCTGCTCTCGAACTCCTGAGCTCAAGCTATCCTCCCGCCTCGGTGTCCTAAAGTATTGGAATTACAGGCGTGAACCACCGCCTAGCCTGCAAATGCAAATCTAACCAGGTCATATGTAGGATAAAAATCTTTTTCCTGGCCCAAGTGTCTCTCCTCATCTTCGGAGAGGGAGATGGGAATGAGAGAGCCTTCTAATAATAGCAATTGCTAGTTACCAGTGCCCTGGCTTATCGTGTGTTAGACTCTGAGTTAAACATCAACTCCTTGAATCATTACAAGCTCCTTATCAGGTGGGTATCAACCTCAATTTACAGATGAAGAAGCCAAGACTTGGGCTGCTTGCATTACATTAACCGAGGTTTACCCGCAGCGAGGCTGCCTCCAAAGCATCCGGAGTTTGCAACCATCACTGTCCACCCCGCGAGCTGCGATAGTGCGAGAACTACAATTCCCGTGGGGCTGTGCGGGAGCATCGCGAGAGTTACATTAACTGTGGCGGCGGGAAGGCGGAGCCTGCAGCTGGCTGGGCGGTTAGGAGGGCCCGGGGCCGAGACGATGGCTGACCACAACCCTGACAGCGACTCCACGCCGCGCACGCTGCTGCGACGCGTGCTGGATACAGCGGACCCGCGCACCCCGCGGCGACCCCGGAGTGCTCGGGCTGGGTATGTGAGGGGGCTCCCCGAGTACTTGAGCAACTAGAGGGACCGGGGAGTGGGGTCTGGGTGGAACCCAGCGTCGACTCTGTTCGAAGAGGAAAACTGAGTCTCAGAGAGGAGCAGGGTCTGGGTGGAACCCAGCGTCGACTCTGTTCGAAGAGGAAAACTGAGTCTCAGAGAGGAGCAGGGCCTGGGACTCTGAGAACTGGTTCCATTGCTCTAGCCGGGCCCGGGCCAGCTGTTTGTGCCCCTGCCCCCAGGGCTCCAGGCAGCCAGCCCTCGGGACCACAGAGCCTGACTGATCCCGGGTCTCTGGGGGCTCGGCCACTGGAGATGGAGGATAGGGGTTCAGAATCTCACCTTCTGCTCTGTTCTCTAGGCAGCTTTCCCCAGACCAGCCAGGGTGTGCCTAGGCATTTGCCCTGAACTTCTGCGTCCCGAGGGTTCCCACTGTTCCTGCTCATTGTCTTACTGTCCTTGTAGCTCCCAGCTGGGAAATGGGAAAGGAGCTAGAGGACAGCCTGGGCAGAAGTTGGGAGGCAGCAACTGGAAGATGCTTTGCTAAGGAGCAGGGAATTTGGCCTGAGTCAGTGGGAGTGGCAGTGGGTGAGGGCTGTGGTGAGCTCATGGTGCAGAGGATGCATACGTTGACATCTGCCAGACTGGGACAGTGGAGTTTCTTTATAGGGAATGAGAAGCCATTCATTATAGGTTTTACACCCATGAGGTAGGAGCTGCGCCCTGGGAACACTTATGTGGCTCTGGAATCTGAGAGGGACTGGACTGGAGAGACTAAGGTGTCTGGGGTACCCAAGTTCTTAAAAGATTTTAAAATACTTTAGTATCCATCATGGATTGTTACTTTCATGTCTGGGGTGGATGCTTTTCCAATTGCCCCTCTTTTCTGTGTGGCTAACCCCTACTTATCCTTTGTGATTCTGCTGAAGTCACCTCTGTGAAGCCTTTCCCAGCCCCTCCTGGTTGGTTCACTCATATGCCCTCTCTATTCCCATACCCCAGGGGTCTTCTTCGGTCCACACTGCTGGTGACATAGGGCTGGGAACAGGGGCGATGGTAGGGGCAAGTGGTTTCTGGGTCCCTAGCCCTGAGGGAAAACGGCTCCAGACCAAGACCCCTGATGAAGGCATGTCTCTATATTCTCTATCCCTCCTCACCGTAATTCTCGGCATAATTGCTGGTCTTTACACAGAGCCCGGAGAGCCCTGCTTGAAACGGCTTCCCCCAGGAAGTTGAGTGGCCAAACAAGGACGATAGCCAGAGGGCGTTCCCATGGAGCCAGGGTAAGTACCCAGCCCACTGACCCCAAAGGGCCCTGGCTGCCTCGGGGAGGGGGGTTGAGGTCTAGCTCTGCTCTGGAGCCCACCTTGAGGAAATCTCAAGGCAGACGGACAGACTGGTTGCTTGGTGCTTTGCCGATAGTCTGTTGGCAGATCGGCCCATATTCAGGCCAGTGGGCACTTGGAGGAACAGACACCTCGGACGCTGCTGAAGAACATCCTACTAACTGGTAAGTGAGCGCTGGCCTGCCGGTCAGAGTTAGGTACCAGTCCAACCCCAGTCTTGTGGTATCTTTTATTCAGGGTGGCCTGTTCTGTCAGCCCCACCCTCTCCTTGGTGTTTCTGCAGCCCCAGAATCTTCCATCCTGATGCCTGAGTCGGTAGTGAAGCCAGTGCCAGCACCGCAGGCGGTCCAACCCTCCAGACAAGAGAGCAGTTGCGGCAGGTACACAGAACTCCCCCACCTTGGATTGTGCTATGGGCAGCTTAGTCCGGGAGTTTCTTGGGGGTTGCAAAAGCCAGAATTGGACTTCCTGGCCTGTCTGAGATAAGCTCCATTCTTATAGCCTGGAGCTGCAACTTCCTGAGCTCGAGCCCCCCACAACCCTGGCTCCAGGTCTGCTGGCCCCTGGCAGGAGGAAACAGAGGCTGAGACTGTCAGTGTTTCAGCAGGGAGTGGACCAGGGGCTGTCTCTCTCCCAAGGTGAGGCCCTGGACACCACTTTTGCTACCCTCTCCCTCCTGTCCTCTGGAGAGGCTGAGGAGTCCTGAGAGAGGGCCCTCACAGGCCTGGATCACTTACCATGGTTTTCTTCTTTTACATTCTCTTGCCGGTTGCTGACAGAGCCTCAAGGGAATGCTGATGCCTCTTCCCTCACCAGGTGCTGCTCTGGGTGTTTCCTGTTCTGGGAGTGGGTGGAGGAGAGACTTGGGGAGGGAGGTGCTGCCTGGGATGGAATCTGCCCATACTACTTCCTACCAGTTTTAGCCTCACAGCATCTGTTCTAAGAGATGAGAGCCCCAGGGCAGATGGAGGGATCTGTGGGCAAACTGGGTCTCAGGTACCTGACTTTCCTCTGTGCCTCCCCACCTCACCAGATCCCTCAACCTGACCTTTGCCACACCTCTTCAGCCACAGTCAGTGCAGAGGCCTGGCTTGGCCCGCAGACCTCCAGCCCGCCGAGCTGTAGACGTGGGTGCCTTTTTGCGGGATCTGCGAGATACTTCCCTGGCTCCTCCAAGTAAGGTTGGGTTTTCCCCTGCTGGCCTTTGGGGAAAGCTCTCCCCGCTATGACAGATAGGAGGTGATGCTGAGTCAGGGTTGCACCCCTCTCGGTGGGGTCAAGGACAGCGAGCAACTCTGGTCAGTGGGTCTACAAGGAATTTCTGCTTGCTTTCTACAGGGGGCCTCTTTCCTTGGTCCCTCGGTGTCTCCCAGGGCCCCATATCCTTAG
This sequence comes from Homo sapiens, assembly GCF_000001405.40. Taxonomy (NCBI): domain Eukaryota; kingdom Metazoa; phylum Chordata; class Mammalia; order Primates; family Hominidae; genus Homo; species Homo sapiens. The sequence continues at coordinate 67,831,002 of NC_000016.10, read as the reverse complement.
ACTATAGGGCTGGAGGTTGTAAAGGGGTGTGGTGTGGTGGCCAAAACTTGTTGAGAGGGGCCAGGTTTCAGGATCAGCTGGCCAATTCAAACTGACCTGGGAGCCTGATTGCAGAAAACAAGTTCACCAGAGTAAGAAGAGGGTTTGGGAAGACGGAGCAGAACAAGCAGCGAAGAGGTATTTTAAGTGGGCAGCTGGTGGGCGGGCAGCTATAGGGGCCTGGGACTGCCAGGCAGAGGAACAGGAAGGTAAGCAAGGAGGGCTGTAGGCGATAAGGCCTCGCGTGCTAGGTCGTCTTCTTTCTCTGAAGGCCACTCAGGGTGGACCCATGCAGCCCACTGTCCAGGCCCTGGCAACGCTGAGTAGCAGCCGGTGGGCCTGGAATACGCTGAGAGCCAGCTGGCCCCTGATCTCCAGGTGACAGCCTCAGAACCTGTTACTACTCTGCCCACAGACATTGTGTTGGAGGACACCCAGCCGTTCTCTCAGCCCATGGTTGGCTCCCCCAACGTGTATCACTCCCTGCCCTGCACGCCTCACACTGGGGCTGAAGACGCTGAGCAGGCTGCCGGTCGCAAGACACAGAGCAGTGGGCCTGGGCTGCAGAAGAATAGTGAGTGTGTGGCACTGGTGGCCTGGAGCCAAATTTAGCTTGGGTGAGAGTTGACAATGGTAGTTTTCCTTCCTCAAGCCCCTCTGTGCCCCTAGAGCACCCTGGCTGTGGCTGCCTCCTTCATCCAAGAGCAGAGTCCATGTTGGGCCAGGAGACTTCAGATCCATGTCCTGGTGCTGCCTCTGGCTTTGTCTTTCCTCAGTGGGCAGGACTGGGTCTGCTGGTCCATCTTTACCCTTCTCTGAGCTATGCAGCCTTGGCCTGCTGCGTCTCCGGCCTGTATTCTCTCCCCTTCACTCAGGCCCTGGGAAACCAGCCCAGTTTCTGGCAGGAGAGGCAGAGGAGGTCAATGCCTTTGCTCTGGGCTTCCTGAGCACCAGCAGTGGTGTCTCTGGAGAAGATGAAGTAGAGCCCTTACACGATGGAGTTGAAGAGGCAGAGAAAAAGATGGAAGAAGAAGGTGTGAGTGTGAGTGAAATGGAGGCAACAGGAGCACAAGGACCCAGCAGGGTAGAAGAGGCTGAGGGACACACAGAGGTGACAGAAGCAGAGGGATCCCAGGGGACTGCTGAGGCTGACGGGCCAGGAGCATCTTCAGGGGATGAGGATGCCTCTGGCAGGGCAGGTAAGAGGCCCAGTGCAGGGAGTGACTGGTGACAGCTGTGTTCAGGCCCTAGCACACAGAAAGGCCTTGTCTGGGTTGTGTTTCCGGGCACTGGTGGTGGTAGGGGGTCAGGGAGACACTGAGGGGCACCTGCTTGGCTGGAGCTAGGTGGGGCCCACCAGAAACAGGACAGAAATACTGTGGCTGTGCTGGCCTGGGTGAGATGGTCAGGCCTGGAATCCCTGTGACCCCACCCTTCTTCTTTGTAGCAAGTCCAGAGTCGGCCTCCAGCACCCCTGAGTCTCTCCAGGCCAGGCGACATCATCAGTTTCTTGAGCCAGCCCCAGCGCCTGGTGCTGCAGTGTAAGATCCCACAACCCCATTCCTCATGGGCCTCTTGGGAAGGGAGCATTGGGTATGCTGTGTACATAGGGTCCTCCCCCTTCCTACGGGTATGCAGATGATTACCCAGCAGGGCAGCTTCAGCTGGGCTGGGGAGAGCTCACCAAGAGCACCCCTGCCATCCTGGTGCCTGCCTCCACGGCTTAGAGGAGCCTGGGTGAGGGGAAAGTATGTGGTTGGTTTGTAGTCAGAAAAGGCTTCCTGGAAGACGATTAGCAGAATCGGGAAAGGCAGCAGTAGAGTAAGGAGAGAGACTATCCATTCTAAGGCCTGGAGTCATGGACCCAAGCAGGTACCAATATAGATAATAAGTCTGAACCAGGATGTCGAGTCGACTGTGGAGGGACAGAGCCCCAGGGAAAGACTGGCCTCTATGTGGCCCCCTGACCCAACTGCCCCTCAGCAGGTGGTCAGGGCTGCTGGTCCTGGCTGGCCAAGGGCCACGTGGTCCCCAGCCTCAGCAGAAGCCAGCAAGACTTGCTCTTGAATAAGAGCCTCCTTGAGGCAAGTTCAGCCCCCTCTGTCCACTGTTGCCCTCAGCTTATCTTCAGAGCCTGCAGAGCCTCTGTTGGTCAGGCATCCCCCTAGGCCCCGGACCACCGGCCCCAGGCCCCGGCAAGATCCCCACAAGGCTGGACTGAGCCACTATGTGAAACTCTTTAGCTTCTATGCCAAGATGCCCATGGAGAGGAAGGCTCTTGAGATGGTGGAGAAGTGGTGAGTCCTGGGCACATGGGGTAGGGAGAGGAACCCCTCGGGTCATGATCAGACTGTTCAGCCTGCTCTATCCCCACCTTCTTGACAGCCTAGATAAATATTTCCAGCATCTTTGTGATGATCTGGAGGTATTTGCTGCTCATGCTGGCCGCAAGACTGTGAAGCCAGAGGACCTGGAGCTGCTGATGCGGCGGTGAGAAGGCGGAAGGTGTGGGGGTGCTGGCTGGGGGAGTTTTGGTGCTGATTCTGCCTGTCCCTTCTCTTCCTCCACTGCAGGCAGGGCCTGGTCACTGACCAAGTCTCACTGCACGTGCTAGTGGAGCGGCACCTGCCCCTGGAGTACCGGCAGCTGCTCATCCCCTGTGCATACAGTGGCAACTCTGTCTTCCCTGCCCAGTAGTGGCCAGGCTTCAACACTTTCCCTGTCCCCACCTGGGGACTCTTGCCCCCACATATTTCTCCAGGTCTCCTCCCCACCCCCCCAGCATCAATAAAGTGTCATAAACAGAATATTCTGCATTTTGGTGCATGTCCTGGGGCCAGCCAGGCAGGGACTGATTCCCCCCCACAACTCCCCAGCACAGTCTGGAGAATGGCATGGATTCAGACAAACACTTTTATATTAAAAGCTAGGGGTTAGCAGGACTGGAGTACGCAGGCTGCCCACAAGTTCCTAGCTTGCAGGCTCTGGCTCTCGAGGTCCCACACGCCTGATGTCAATCACCTGAAGCCGCTCCAGGGCAGTCTGGAGGATTTCCACCACGGCTTCTTCCTTCTCGTCACCCTCCTCTGGCATTTCCGACTCAGGGAGCTGGAAGGCCTGGCTCATGTAGGTGTTCACTGTCTGCTTGTCCAGGCTGGGGTCGATGGTCATCAGGCCCCCTCGCAGCTTGGGCAGAGTCACTTCCTCATGGCTGCCCCACAGGAAAGAGAGTGACAGGCCCTGACCCCTCCTCTCCGTGCCCCAGACTCCCAGGTGCCCTCCTCTGTGCTGGGCTGAGCAGTGGATGGTGCATGGTGCACAGGGAGACCCAGGGGCTTCAGGGGCCCAGCCTGTGGGACTCGCCTATGGATGAGGGTCACTCACAGTTCTATGCCAAGCTCCTGCTTTAGCTGCTGTAAGTACTCGTCCTTCTCATCCATGTATTGTTCCCAGAGTTTTTGCACAAAGGGCTCACTCTGGCCCTCCTCATCCTGGGAGGGGCCACAAGTCAGGGGGAGGGCACATTGGGTAGGGTCCAGCCAAGGCTAGGGCAGGGGCCAGGCCAGTCCCCGGACCCCACACACCCACCTCCATAAACAGTGAGCGGTAGTTGAGCAAGTCTGCATTGCTGCTGCTGGGATGCCAGCCCCCTGCCTCCATCAGCTCCTGGATTTGCTCTTCTGTCTTGAGAGGGAAGGTACTCTTGAGGACAGTGCTGTAGGGGAGACATGAGGGCCAACAGGGACCTGCTGAGGCCTGCTTGTGCCTCTCCCTAGTGCTCAAAAGGGAGTGAGTGCCGAGGCTGTGGCCCTTCCCACCAGGTGCCCCTTTTCCCTACAGATGCAGGAATAGTTGGGTAGGAGTTGGGGGTAGCCTGGACTGGCCTCTCACTTGAACTGCTCCATGGTTAGTAGCCCCTCGTTCTGACTGTCAGCATTTGTCATCTCCTTCAGCAGCTGGGCTACTGTCTCCTTCTGGGTGACATACACATTCTCACTCCGCTATAAGGAGAGAAGCATTATTCACCTGCTGTTCCTGGGAGTGGTGGGGGCAAAGCTGGTCTATGCTAGGGACAAAGACCCCTCTCAGTCTCCCCAAGGGGAATAGGCCCCAGCTCACCTTTCCCATCAAGACTGCATAGAACTGACTCATAACCTCGTTGGAGTGGAAGATCTTGATATTTTCAAAAATAGTATAAGCCCAGGCCATGGCATCACTGGGCCCAAAGCGATGCTCCAGGAAATTGAAGAAGAAATCTGGGAACGTCTCTTTCTGCGGGATCGAGGAAATGCTCAGTCAGAGTCTTACGGTTGGTTGGCCCTCATCCCTGTCACCTCTGGACCTGCAGAGGACTCTGGATCTGAAGACCATGCTGGGCCAGAGTGGCTGGTGAGATCTGACCTGCTCCTCAGCAAGACGTTCCTTCCAGGCATCCTTGAGGAGGTTGACCACGTCCTTCTTGCTTGGCTTCTTGTTCTCCACGAGGCCATCAAACCGAAGAAAAGCAGGGATGGCTTCCCCATAGCCCTAGGAGGGAGGATATCAGCTCATCTCTGGACCCATCTGTGGCCCCACCCCCAATCAGGGAAGATCCCCAGTTGGTTCCCCAAAAGCTTGTCTGAGCAGCAGGGCATGGCTGTTCTGACTCTGGCCCAAGCCCCACTCCTGGGGCCTCCCCTACCAGACCAGGGAAGAAGTCTTTCTCCCGCAGCAGCCCCGAACCAATCTCTTCCAGGAGCACGTCCACCAGCTGGTCGCTGTTCTTGCCCTCAGCCAGCATCTGCCAGCGCTCTGGGCCCCCAGCCACCACATCTGCATGTGGGGAGAGGGAGCTGGAGTCTGGGCCCACATGTAAGCAGGACCTGGGGCCCTGCCGGCTGCCCTCACCTTTGCACTTGGTCCAGTCAGGCCGCGGCGTGGAAGTGCGCTGGATCTCCTGCAGCTCAGAGAAGAATTGGTCCCGTTCCTTCAGCGTGCTCATGTGCAGCTGCATGAGGATCTCATGCTCCTTGCGAACCTCCTCGTAGCTGGCTCTCAGGGTGTCCAGCTGTGGGCAAGGACATTGGCCCTGGCCCCCCACCTGTGAGACCCCGTCCTACCCTCCTGGCCCTGCCTGCCTGCCAGCACCTGCTCCTGAAGATCCTTGTTGGTCTTCTCCTGCATTTCAAAGTCCCTCCTGGGGACCACATCTCCAAAGTTGGCCTTCATGTTGTTGAGTTCCATCTGCGTGCGGGTCAGGTCTTGCCGGGTCATCTTAAGAGCCAGGGTTAACTTCACAGGGTCCTCCCCCCAGATGCCTGCCAGGGGAAGGGGCCCACCAGCCCGTGTCACCGTGGCTTTCTCAGGGGTTGCCTGAAGCCCTCTGCCCTTCCTGTTTGGGGTTCCCTGGTTCTTGCCCACAGCACTACCAGCCTAGGGTTTCAGGCTAAAGTCTAGAAGCCCAGGAAACTGAGTACCAGGCCTGTCCAGCCCACTGGGAGCCTAGGCTGCCTCAGCTACCAACTGTGTTCCTACAATTCTCAGTTCAACTCAGAAGATACACAGCCCTGCGGGAGGCAGGGACATCTCCCCTCTGAATGGTTATGGAATGAGCAGGTCTTAGGAATGCTGAATGAATGGGGCTTAGGGGTGAGACCAGAGTCTTCCAGCGTCTCAGAGAAGAGAGAAACCCGATTCCCAATTCAGGCTTACCTGGCGACTGGGCTAATGACATGTCCTCCCGCTGGTACCGCAGCTCATTCAGGTCTGCGATGAGGATCTTACAGGCATCTCGCTCACTGAGGTAGTGCAGGTACTCCTCAGCCAAGTTCTTCCTCAGTTTGGTCACCTGGCAAGAAGGTGGCTGTGTGGTCAGGGGCTGCCCCTGGACCCCTGTATGCAGCTGGTCACCCCAGGGAGTGGGCTGGGTTCTGGGGGGCCCCATCAGGGACTGTGAACAGGAAAGGTGAAAGAAGAAGGAGATTGGCCATTTCTGAGAATTCGGCAAGGTGCCAATGTTTCCCCCTGTGGGGAAAGTACTGAGCCTAGCAGCAGGGCAGAGGGTGGAGTTAGCAAGGCTCTGGGGGAAGGTGGTGGCTCAGTGTGTCACTCTCCGTAGAAAGGCAGAGCAGGGTAGGGGGTCACCCTTGTCGTGGAGTTGGCAGGAATTCGGGGACTTGGTCATCATCACACCACTTCCATTCACCTCGCTCTGCAATGAAATCTTCTCCTCATTCTTTTTGTCGATGAGTTTTAGCAAGTTCATCTTCTCTTTCTTGAGCAGGGAGATTTCATATTTCTCCTCAGCTCTCATGGCCAGGATCCTCTCATTGCAGTCCTCATTCACAGTGACAAGCTTGGCCTTCAGGGGCTCCAGAGCCCGAATCTTCTCCCTTTGGTGGGCTAAGCAGAGACAGGTGGGAGAGCTGCTTTGGGGCCATGGAGAACAAACAGCCAGAAGACACCCTAAGGTCATGGGTGAGTGGCTATGTCGCTTGCAAACCCCAAGAATCTCTGCATGCCTTGTTCAAAGCCATGGTCCCTGTTTCAGGCCTTCCTGCACTTGATTTTAAACAAAGGGCAGAGTTCAGATGAAGACCGGGGTCTCTCCTATGTCCTTTCCCCTACAGCCTTAAGTCCTGCAGCTGCACCATGCCCTGCACCTCCTGAGCCTGGCAGGGGAGCCTGCTGACTCCCAGAGGTGCTGACTCTCTCCTGGGGTTCACTCCATTTTCAACAGGGACTGCCCCCCTGTGCTTCTCAATGACAGGTGTTGTCAGGTGCTCTGGGGTGCCCTATCATGGAACAGTCTGTGCAGAATGGCTGAGGGGCCTTGGTGACCTCAAGGCCCAGTTGGTAGCTGCCCCAGCCCTGCTGTGGAGCACCAGAAGGTCGAATAGGATCTTCTCCACCCCTTCCAGGCTGGGACAAGGAGGGGAGCTGCATTCTTTTTTTTTTTTTTTTTTTGCGATGGAGTCTTGTTCTTTTGCCCAGGCTGGAGTGCGGTGGTGTGATCTCAACTCACTGCAACCTCCACCTCCTAGGTTCAAGCAATTCTCCTGCCTCAGTCTCCCAAGTAGCTGGGATTACAGGTGTGTGCCACCATGCGCAGCTAATTTTTTTGTGTTTTTACTAGAGACAGGGTTTCACCATGTTGGCCAGGCTGGTCTCAAACTCCTGACCTCAAGTGATCTACCGCCTCGGCCTCCTAAAGTGCTGGGATTACAGGCGTGAGCCACTACGCCTGGCAGGAGGTGCATTCTTACCCAGCATCCCCTCATACGCATTCTTGATGGAGGATAGTAATGGCTTGTACGTTTTGAAGTCCTCTATGAAGAACTCAAAGATCTCTCTGTAAGGCTGGCAAGAAAAGGGAACCCATCATCTCCTAGCCCACAGCTGCCAACCTTAGTGGGGAACTGTTTTTCTTTTTCTTTTTTCCTGAGACGGAGTGTCGCTCCATCACCCAGGCTGGAGTGCTGTGGTGCAATCTCAGCTCACTGCAACCTCTGCCTCCCAGGTTCAAGTGATTCTCCTGCCTCAGCCTCCTGAGTAGCTGGGATTACAGGCACGCGCCACCACACCTGGCTAATTTTTGTATTTTTAGTAGAGATGAGGTTTCACCATGTTGGCCTGGATGGTCTCGATCTCCTGACCTCGTGATCCACCCACCTCGGCCTCCCAGAGTGCTGGGATTACAGGTGTGAGCCACTGTGCCTGGCACTGTTTTTTTCTTTACTGGGCTTAGCAGTATTCCAGCATGAGGCTGCCAGGTCACTTATATTCAAGTAAATGCCCTAGATACCACCCGGGTACCTCACAGTGCCACGGAGCCTGGGGGGCAGCTCTCTGGAGGCCTGTCCTGATGCTGTCTCTGAGGCCTAGTGGACTGCCATGACCATAGACAGACATCCACTCTGTGCCTGAGCCCCTCTCTGGCTCTCCAGGCAGCCAGCCTCTTGCCTTCTAGACACTGCATCATTGGCCTCTCACTTGTAACCTCTCCCCATCTTAGAGCCTGGTAGATTCAGGAGATTGAAGGTTGTACCCTTGCATCCTGACATGCAAGTAGGGGTGTGGTCTTCTGTCCCATTTGGACACATGGGAGGTTTCTGGAGGCAGCATTGCTCACTGAAATGAGCACAGTCTCCAGAGTCAGCCCTGAGTTTGAAGCCCAGCCCCACTACGCCATAGTGGTATGCTTTCTTCCTTATCTGTTCAGGAGATCGATGTAAGGCCCCAGCCCAGGGCCTTGCACTTGCACATAGCCAGTGCTCAGTAAATGCTTTAGTCAATGACTAAGTCAAAAGGCAGGGATTCTCTGTCATCATCCTTGTTTAAGCAGATTTGGTGATTCTCTCCCTACTATACACTGGTATCTGGGTTGGATCTGATCTCTCTCTCTCTCTCTCTCTCTCTTCCTCCCTCCCTCCTTATGCATCTGTGCTGGTTCCTTAAGCTTGGGGTTGTTGCCACTGGACTGGTAAACACGGTGTGACCCCTGCTTGCCCAACTGCCAGCATTCAGGCTACGTTCACTGATGTCCAGTGGCCCAACCTGGGTACTGGGGATCACAGAGCTGCAGGGACTGGGCACAGCATCCAGGCCACCTGACTCAGGTGAGGAAACTCCAGCCTCAGGAGACTTTTGGATCCACATTGCAGCCTTGCCTGCTCACTGGCGTTTTCTTTTTTTTTTTTTTTTTTTGAGATGGAGTCTCACTCTGTTGCCCAGGCTGGAGTGCAGTGGCGTGAACTTGGCTCACTGCAAGCTCCGCCTCCCAGGTTCATGCCATTCTCCTGCCTCAGCCTCCCGAGCAGCTGGGACTACAGGTGCCTGCCACCACACCTGGCTAATTTTTTTGTATTTTTAGTAGAGACGGGGTTTCACCATGTTAGCCAGGATGGTCTCGATCTCCTGACCTGGTGATCCGCCTGCCTCGGCCTCCCAAACTGCTGGGATTACAGGTGTGAGCCACCGTGCCTGGCCTTCTTTTTTCTGTTGACAGAGTCTCACTCTGTTGCCCAGGCTGTAGTGCAGTGGCATGATCTCGGCTCACTGCAACCTCTGCCGCCTGGGTTCAAGCAATTCTCCTGCCTCAGCCTCCTGAGTAGCTGGGACTACAGGTGTGTACCACCACTGCAGGTTTTGTATTTTTAGTAGAGGCAGGGTTTCACCATGTTGACCAGGCTGGTCTTGAACTCCTGACCTCAAGCGATCCTCCTGCCTCAGCCTCCCGAAGTGCTGGGATTACAGGCATGAGCCACTGTGCCCGGCCTCACTGGCATTTTCATGGGATGTTTCATGCTTCTGTTCAGGGAAGGAGACCCAGGAGAGCTGGGAGAGGTGGGTCTCCCCTGAAGGTCTGAGGTGCTCAGTCCTTGTAGGTGAGGCTTTTTTTTGTTTTTGAGACGGAGTCTCACTCTTGTCGCCCAGGTTGGAGTGCAGTGGTGTGATCTTGTCTCACTGCAACCGCTGCCTCCCGGGTTCAGGGTTCAAGCGATTCTCCTGCCTCAGCCTCCTGAGTAGCTGGGACTACAGGTGCCCACTACCATGCCTGGCTAATTTTTGTACTTTTAGTAGAGACGGGGTTTCGCCATGTTGGCCAGGCTGGTCTTGAACTCCTGACCTCAGGTGGTCCACCCGCCTTGGCCTCCCAAAGTGCTGAGATTACAGGCGTGAGCCACTGTGCCCGGCCGGTAGGTGAAGCTTCTTCCCACCCTTCCCCCGCCCTCCCCAAGTTTCTTCTGTGGCTCTGACCTGCAGCCTTAGTTCCTGGGTGGAATCTGTGCCCAGGTCCAGCAGGAGGAGCTCCTTGCGTAGGTAGTTTTCCAGTTCCTCCAAGTACTGGGGCTTGGCAGTGCGAAAGGGGTGCTGCTGGCAGCTCCTGCAGGGGACAGTGGCTGATATGTGGCCAGCACCCCCACGGGGCCCTTGTGCCCTCAGTCTGGGGCAACACACGCCCCTGCCCTGTCTCCTGGCCCAAAGCCTGGCCCATGCCAGCTCACCCACCATGGGACTGACCCTGGCTTACCCTACTCGCTTCCGGTAGTCATCTGAACAGGGTTTTCGATTTTGCAAAATGGTCTGGCCACTGGTGTATGTGGGCCATGGGGACAGGTGCCCACCCATGGAGAACTGACCAGTCTGCAGGGAGGTACAGGTGGGGTTGCCATGGCAACATTGCTCCCCTTCCTAATGTTTCTCTCCATCTCTCCTCCCCCAGTCCTGACTTTTTTTTTTTGAGACAGTCTTGCTCTGTTGCCCAGGCTGGAGTGTGGTGGCACGATCTTGGCTCACTGCAACCTTCGCCTCCCAGGTTCAAGCTGTTCTCTGCCTCAGCCTCCCGAATAGTTGAGATTACAAGCACCCACCACCACACCCATCTAATTTTTGTATTTTTAGTAGAGACGTGGTTTCACCATCTTGGCCAGGCTGGTCTTGAACTCTTAACCTCGTGATCCACCCACTTTGGCCTCCCAAAGTGCTGGGATTACAGGCGTGAACCACTGTGCCTGGCCAGCCCTGATGTGTTTTACAAACATCTCTCAACATGGTTCATAATTAAGACTGTGGGTTCTTGAGTTAGAGAAGACTCGGGTTAAGTCTCAAATGTCCCTTATTAGCTATGTCACAACTTCTCTGAGCCTTAGTTCTCACGTCTGTAAAATAGGGATGATGGTAGTCTTTGTCACAGTGTATTGATGTGAGGATGCAGTGAGAAAGCATAGTCGGGCGCGGTGGCTCACGCCTGTAATTCCCAGCACTTTCGGAGGCTGAGGTGGGTGGATCACGAGGTCAGGAGATCGAGACTATCCTGGCTAACACGGTGAAACCCCGTCTCTACTAAAAATACAAAAAAAAATTAGGCCGGGCATGGTGGCTCACGCCTGTAATCCCAGCACTTTGCAAGGCCAAGGCGGATGGATCACGAGGTCAGGAGATCGAGACCATCCTGGTTAACACAGTGAAACCCCGTCTCTACTAAAAATACAAAAAATTAGCCGGGCGTGGTGTCGGACACCTGTAGTCCCAGCTACTCTGGAGGCTGAGGCAGGAGAATGGCATGAACCCAGGAGGCGGAGTTTGCAGTGAGCCAAGATTGCGCCACTGCACTCCAGCCTGGCGACAGAGCGAGACTCAGTCTCAAAAAAAAAAAAAAAAAAAAAATTTAGCCAGGTGTGGTGGCATGTGCTTATAGTCCCAGCTACTCAGGAGGCTGAGGCAGGAGAATCCCTTGAACCCGGGAAGCGGAGGTTGCGGTGAGCTGAGATTGCACCATTGCACTCCAGCCTGGACAACAAGAACAAAACTCTGTCTCAAAAAAAAAAAAAAAAAAAGAGGGAAAGCATAATGTGTGCTTCACATGGACCCTGGTACTTGCTAGGAACTCAGTAAAGATTAGCTATTCTGGCCGGGCACAGTGGCTCATGCCCGTAATCCCAGCAGTTTGGGAGGCCAAGATGTGCGACTTTTAGCACTTTGAGGCCAAGGTGGGCAGATCACTTGAGGTCAGGAATTTGAGACCAGCCTGGCCAACATGGTGAAACTCCATCTCTACTAAAAATACAAAAATTAGCCGGGCATGGTGGCACACGCCTGTATTCCCAGTTACTCGGGAGGCTGAGGCAGGAGAATCGCTTGAACTCGGGAGGCAGAGGTTGCAGTGAGCTGGGATCGACCCCTTGCACTCCAGCCACGGGGACAAGAGTGAAACTCCATCTCAAAAAAAAAAAAAAAAGACTATCAAAATGGATGTAATTATTTATGTATGTATGTTTATATGTATGTATTTATTTATTTATTTGAGATGGAGTTGCCAAGCTGGAGTTGCCCAAGCTGGAGTGCAGTACAGTAGCACGATCTCTGCTCACTGCAGCTCTGCCTCTTGAGTTCAAGCAATTCTCCTGCCTCAGACTCCCGAGTAGCTGGCCTGCCACCATGCCCAGTTCTTTTGTATTTTTAGTAGAGATTACAAGTGTGAGCCATCGCGCCCAGCTCACGCCTGATTCCCAGCACTTTGGGAGGCGGAGGCAAGCGGATAACCTGAGGCCAGGAATTTGAGGCCAGCCTGGCCAACATGTTGAAACCCCATCTCTACTAAAAATACAAAAATTAACCAGGCCTGGTAGTGCACGCCTGTAATCCCAGCTATTTCGGAGGCCGAGGCAGAAGAATTGCCTCAACCCTGGAGGCAGAGGCCACAGTGAGCAGACATGGCACGACTGTACTCCAGTCTGGGCGACAGAGAGAGACTCTGTCTCAAAAAAAAAAAAAAAAAAGGATGGGGTCTCACTATGTTGCCCACGCTGGGCTTCTCGAACTGTCCTGGGATCAAGAGATCCTCCTACCTTGTCCTCCCAAAGTGCTGGGATTACAGGCTTGAGTCATGATGCCCAGCCTAATTTTTATAAAAGCACAAAATAACCCTGGAAGACACCTGGGAGTTTATTTTTTATTTTTTTCTTAGAGACAGGGTCTTACTCTGTCACCCAGGCTGGAGTGCAGTGACCCAATAACACCTCACAGTAACTACAAACTCCCGGGCTCAAGAGATCCTCCCACCTCAGTCTCCTGAGTAGCTAGGACTACATGGGCACACCACCATTCCTGGTTAATTTAAAAAATCTTTTTTGTAGAGATGAAATCTCCCTGTGTTGCCAGGCTGGTCTCAAACTCCTGGTCTCAAGCAGTCTTCCTTCTTTGGCCTCCCAAAGTGTTAGGATTACAGGTGTGAGCCAGCCTTGTTTTTCAGAATTTTATTTATTTATTTTTTTGAGACTGAGTCTCGCTCTGTCGCCCAGGCTGGGGTGCAGTGGCACAATCTCTGCTCACTGCAGCCTCCACCTCCTGGGTTCAAGTGATTGTCCTGCCTCAGCCTCCCGAGTAGCCGGAATTACAGGCGCATGCCACCACGCCCAGCTAATTTTTGTATTTTTAGTAGAGATGGGGTTTCACCATGTTGGCCAGGCTGGTCTTGAACTCCTGACCTAGTGATCTGCCCACCTCAGCCTCCCAAAATGCTGGGATTACAGGTGTGAGCCACTGCGCCCGGCCCAGACTATTTTTTATTATTTGTTTTTATTTATTCATTTATTTTGAGACGGAGCCTCACTCTGTTGCCCAGGCTGGAGCGCAGTGGCACTATCTTGGCTCACTGCAACCTCCACCTCCCAAGTTCAAGCAATTCTCCTGCCTCAGCCTCCCGAAGAGACTGCAGGCACGCACCACCACACCCGGCAAATTTTGTATTTTTAGTAGAAACGGAGTTTCACCATGTTGCCCAGGGTGGTCTTGAACCCCTGACCTCAGGTGATCCACCCACTTCGGCCTCCCAAAGTGCTGGGATTACAGGCGTGAGCCACCGCGCCCGGCCGTTTTTCAGACTTGTAAAAGACCAGTCCTTGGCCGGGCGCGGTGGCTTACGCTTGTAATCCCAGCACTTTGGGAGGCCAAGGCGGGCAAATCACGAGGTCAGGAGACGGAGACCATCCTGGCTAACACGGTGAAACCCTCGTCTCTACTAAAAACGCAAAAAATGGCCGGGCGCGGTGGCTCACGCCTGTAATCCCAGCACTTTGGGAGGCCGAGGCGGGTGGATCACGAGGTTAGGAGATCGAGACCACGGTGAAACCCCGTCTCTACTAAAAATACAAAAAAAAAAAAAAAATAGCCGGGCGCGGTGGCGGGCGCCTGTAGTCCCAGCTACTCAGGAGACTGTGGCAGGAGAATGGCGTGAACCCGGGAGGCGGAACTTGCAGTGAGCCGAGATCGCGCCACTGCACTCCAGCCTGGGCGACAAAGCAAGACTCTGTTTCAAAAAAACAAAAAACAAAAAAAAAACCGCAAAAAATTAGCCAGGTGTGGTGACACGTGCCTGTAGTCCCAGCTACTAGGGAGGCTGAGGCAGGAGAATCGCTTGAACCTGGGAGGTGGAGGTTGCAGTGAGCCAAGACTGTGCCACTGCGCTCCAGCCTGGGCGAGGAGCGAGGCTCCGTCTCAAAAAATAAATTAATTAATATTAAAAAAAAAAAAAAAGACCAGTCCTCGTGTTCTGTCTACTGTTTCTACCGGGAGAAAATGTGGCTACCCTCCTTTGCTTGCAGAGGCGAGTGGAAGCTGGAGAACCAGCTGCCAGGGCCGGGTCTCGGCTAGGTTATTAACAGCTGAGGGATCTCCGCCCGGGTGGCTGGAACGCAGTGCTCCCGGGCGCTCCGTGCTCTCTGCTTCCCCCTGTAGGTAAAAACGGGAAGGCGGCCCCGGAGGGACGGCGGGAGGGAACACTGCCCCCTGGTGGTTGATGCCGCGCAAAAGAAAGAATGAAAAAGCCTGGCCCACAGAAGGTGGCAGCTGAGAAGGGTGCCCGGGAGCCTCAGAGCTCTCCCCTAGTCATCAGGTTTTTGGGCTGCGCTTGGTCTCTGCGAATAATCCATACTGACCCCTCCTTTCTCCTCCCTGGAGTCACTCCCGCAGGGGTGTTGGGAGTCCCCAGCCCCACAAAGTGTGTGGCCCATGTGTTTCCAAATTCCCCACGAGGGTCAGGGTCACAGAAGGAAAACCACCATACAGCCCATGCTGTTCCACTGTGAGCCAGAGTTGTAAGTTTACTCAAATGTGTTTTTTCCTTTATGAGATTTGGACAATGGCTATTTGCTGATTAATAACAATCCTATGATCATATCAACAAGAGCCCAAAAGTACTTAATAAGACAGCATTGGGGCCAGGTACAGTGGCTCACGCCTGTAATCCCAGCACTTTGGGAGGCCGAGGCGGGCGGATCACGAGGGCAGGAGATCGAGACCATCCTGGCCAACACGGTAAAACCCCATCTCTACTAAAAATACAAAAAAAATTAGCCAGGTGTGTTGGCGGGCGTCTGTCCCAGCTACTGGGGCGGCTGAGGCAGGAGAATGGGGTGAACCTGGGAGGTGGAGCTTGCAGTGAGCCGAGATTGCGTCACTGCACTCCAGCCTGGGCGACAGCGAGATTCCGTCTCAAAAAAAAAAAAAAAAAAAAAATTAGCCGGGCATGGTGGTGTGCACCTGTAATCCCAGCTACTCAGGAGGCTGAGGTAGGATAATCACTTGAACCCAGGAGGCGGAGGTTGCAGTGAGCCGAGATCGCGCCACTGTGCTCCTTCCTGGGTGACAGAGCAAGACCCCATCTCAAAAAAAAAAACAGTATTGAGCTCAGTGTGGTGGCTCACACCTGTAATCCTAGTGCTTTGGGAGGCCAAGGAAGGAGGATAGCTTGAGCCCAGGAGTTCAAGACCAGCTTGGGCAACGTAGTTAGACTCTGCCTCTACAAAAAATGCAAAAAATAGCCAGGTGTGGTGGCGCACTCCTGTAGTCTCAGCTACTCAGGAGGCTGAGTGGGAGGATTGGTTCAGCATGGGAGGTGGAGTCTGCAGTGAGCTGTGTTTGTGCCACTGCACTCCAGCCAGAGTGTCAGAGCAAAACTCTGTCCCCCCCTGCCAAAAAAATTAGCTGGGTATGGTGGCATGTGCCTATAGTTCCAGCTACTTGGGAGGGTGAGGTGGGAGGATCACTTGAGCCCTGGCATTTGAGACTGCAGCGAGCCATAACTGCACCACTGCACCACTGCACCCTGACAGGCAAAAGCCTGTCTCAAAAAAAAAGATGGCATTCTTTTTTTTTTTTTTTTTTTTTTTGAGATGTAGTCTTGCTCTGTTGTCCAGGCTGGAGTGCAGTGGTGTGATCTCGGCTCACTGCAACCTCCACGTCCCAGGTTAAAGCAATTCTCGTGCCTCAGCCTCCTGAGTAGCTGGGACTACAGATGCACCACCATGCATGGCTAATTTTTATATTTTTAGTAGATATGGGGTTTCGCCATGTTGGCCAAGCTGGTCAAACTCCTTACTTCAGGTGATCCGCCTGCCTCGGCCTCCCAGAGTACTGGGATTATAGGCATGAGTCACTGCGCCCGGCTCTTTTTTTTTTTAATTTAAATTTCATTTCTCTTCTGATACCTTTGGTACAGCATTCATTTTTATATACAAACTTTAAAAAAGAGGAATGGCGGAGAGATCCGGAGTGAACATGGTAGAGACGCATCTCTTTCCTCCTGCCTTCACACACCTACTCAGCAATTATGGAGCTATCAACATTTGGCAGACATTCAGGTAGCCTGTTAGATTCTAGGGCCATAAAGATAGAAAGATACAGTCACAGCCATGAAGGACCTTGGCAGATCTGGTGTGACCGTCCCAGCAGGTAGCACAGTGCCTGGTGTGTTGGCGGGAGGGATGAGAGGTAAGGGCCGCTGCAGAATGCTGAGCTGCTGGGGAGGGATGTCTGTGGGCAGAGGCGAGTTCTCTCTCTGCCTAGGGAGATCCGGGAAGGCTTTTCAGATAAGGAGCAGGCAGCCAGTGTACACCCTTCTCCCCAAAGCCTGGTGGGCCTGGCCTCTCTGAGCCACACTCTCTAACTGAGAAGAAGCCACTCTGGTGGGCATGTTTCAGGTGGGCATGTTTCAGGTGGGTGGTACTCTTGGGTTGCAGGAAGGGAGACGGATAGGGTCTGGGGGCTGACATTTGGGGTTCCAAAACAACATTGTCACTAACCAGCGTCCTTCGTTTCTGAAGAAGCTTGCGATTCTGGGTGCTCTTGTCTTCTGTGAGAAAGGATTCGTCTATGGTCACTCCTGAAGGCCGTGGCTGTAATCTGCACAGAGAAGGGAAAGCTGATGGTGGGTGACAGAGTCCAGAGTGGGAAGAGAACTCCCATCCTTTCTAGATCCACAAGGCATAGCCGTCTCCCTGAGCCAGGCTCTGGGTGCTGCCTCCGGATTCCCAGAGACACTGCCAAGCAAGTCCCTGGCCTTGGGTCCAAACCATTTGCTTACATTCCCAGAAACATTCTTTTCATCACCAAAATTTCACCAACTACTGCAGCAGCAGGACATCCTCCCCATGAACCCAGAGAACCCCATGGGCCTATACTTCTGTTCAGTGTTCAACTGTGGCTGTGGTATTGGTTTCATGTACACAACTCTGGCATACTCTGGGGCTGTGATACAAAGGGCAGGTGCTGTAGGACAAGAAGCACAGGGTCTGGGGTCCAGGATCTGGGGTGTGAGTCTGAGTCCTGCACTTACTGGCAGCTGATAGGGTCTAAGGGCTGACATCTGGGGTTCTAATAGGACCACCCTTGAGCAAGTCATTTAATATTTCTCAGCCTGGTTTCTTCACAAAGAAGTGGAGACAACTCTTTTTTTTTTTTTTTTTTTTTTTTGAGACGGAGTCTTACCCTGTCACCCAGGCTGGAGTGCAGTGGTGCGATCTTGGCTCACTGCAACCTCCATCTCGCGGGTTCAAGCAATTCTCTGCCTCAGCATCCCGAGTAGCTGGGATTACAGGCACCTGCCACCACGCATGGATAATTTTTGTATTTTCAGTAGAGACGGGGTTTCACCATGTTGGCCAGGCTGGTCTTGAATTCCTGACCTCATGATCCACCTGCCTTGGCCTCCCAAAATGCTGGGATTACAGGCGTGAGCCACTGTGCCTGGCCAGGGACAACTCTTGCTTTGCCTATCTTACAAAGTTATGAAGTTTATTTTATTTATTTATTTATTTTGAGATGCAGTCTCACTCTGTCACCCAGGGTAGAGTGCAGTGGCGCCATCTCAGCTCACTGCAACCTTCACCTCCTGGGTTCAAGCAATTCTCCTTCCTCAGCTTCCTGAGTAGCTGGGACTACAGGCCCCTGCCACCATGCCCAGCTAATTTTTGTATTTTTAGTAGAGATGGGATTTCACCATGTTGGCCAGGCTGGTCTTGAACACCTGACCTCAAATGATCCACCCACGTCCACCTCCCAAACTGCTGGGATTACAGGCGTAAGCCACCGCGACCGGCCTGAAGTTTAAATAAGAATGAGCTGAGTGTGGTGGCGGGTGCCTCTAATTCCAGCTACTCAGGAGGCTGAGGCAGAAGAATCACTTGAATCTGGGAGGCGGAGGTTGCAGTGAGCCGAGATTGCACCACTGCACTCCAGCCTGGGTGACAGAGTAAAACTCTGTCTGAAAGCAAAACAAAAAAAATTAGATGTGCATCTGGGCGTGGTAGCTCATGCCTGTAATCCCAGCACTTTGGGAAGCCAAGGCGGGCAGATCGCTTGAGCCCAGGAGTTCGAGATGAGCCTGAGCAACATAGTGAGACTTTGCCTCTATTTTTATTTATTTATTTATTTCTGGTTTCAAACTCCTGACCTCAGGTGATCTGCCTGCCTCAGCCTCCCAAAGTGCTGGGATTACAGGCGTGAGCCACTGTACCTAGCCAATTTTTTTTTTTTTCTTGAGACAGAGTCTGACTCTGTTGCCCAGGCTGGAGTGCAATGGCATGATCTCGGCTCACTGCAGCCTCCGACTCCCAGGTTCAAGCAATTCTCTTGCCTCAGCCTCCTGAGTAGCTGGGACTACAGGTGCACGCTACCGTGCCTGGCTAATTTTTGTATTTTTAGTAGAGATAGAGTTTCACCATGTTGGCCAGGATGGTCTCGATCTCCTGACCTCGTGATCTGCCCGCCTCAGCCTTCCAAAGTGCTGGGATTACGGGTGTGAGCCACCGTGCCCGGCCTATTTTTTTTTAAATAAATAAAAAAAAATGAGATATGCAAAATACCATGTAAACTGCAATGAACTGCATAGATGTTCATTATGACAGTAGAACAGGAAAAGCCTCTTAGAACAGCCATCCTAGGAAGGCATTTGGGGACCAACAGGAAGGGCTACTGTGGGCAGGCAGGCTCAGGTGGAACAAAAGGAAGAAGTAATTCCAACAATCCATGGGGTGGGGGTGTGTGATTTATGTTGCCAGATAGATCTTGTGTTCACTCCTCTTGCTTGCTGGTGATTTTGGGCATGCCGCTTAACATCTCTGAACCTCAGTGTCTTTGCTTATAAAAGTAGGATTAGGACTACCCAAACTCCAGGGAAGTTGAGAGCCCTAATGTGAACCCAGTTGAGAAACTCTGCCCTGTAATGCTGCTCAGCTATAGTCCATGGAGCAGTAATATTCCAAACCCTAGTCCTCTATTGCTTCTCAACATTGGACAAGTGTGAGCAAAACATATGGATTAAGCAGTCGGTGAGGAGAAGGAAGAGTGTCTGCCCAGATGAGCTTGGGTGTGAGACAGTCTTGGAGACCAACAAGATACAACAGATCAACCCCAAGTGCTCACTGGGTTAAATCAATACCTTCTTATCAAGACTAATATATTATTCGCCGTGCAGTGGCTCAAGCCTGTAATCCCAGCACTTTGGGAGGGAGAGGTGGGCAAATCACGAGGTCAGGAGTTCAAGACCAGCCTGGCCAACATAGTGAAACCCTGTCTCTACTAAAAAAATACAAAAATTAGCCGGGTGTGGTGGCGGGCACCTGTAGTCCCAGCTACTCGGGAGGCTGAGGCAGGAGAATCTCTTGAACCTGGGAGTGGGAGGTTGCAGTGAGCCGAGATGGAGCCACTGCACTACAGCTTGGGCAACACAGAGAGACTCTGTCTCAAAAAAAAAAAAAAAAAAAAAAAGACTAATCAATTCTCCAAACTCTGTTCTTGCTCATGCTGGAAGCACCAGGAAAGGCAAGGTAAGCAAGAAAATTGGGGAATTCTATAAATTCTGAGAAGCTGTTGAATGGAAAAGTTCAGTAGGTAACAGATGTTGTTAGTTTTGAATATCAAAGGAGACAACATTATAAAACAGACTTAAAACAAGGCAAACCAAACACCTGCTAGGGCCTGTACACTTATCCAAAAAGCTTGGGCTTGGGCGTGATGGCTCACACCTGTAATCCCAGCACTTTGGGAGGCCGAGGTGAGCAGATCATGAGGTCAGGAGATCGGCCGGGCGCGGTGGCTCACGCCTGTAATCCCAGCTCTCAGGGAGGCTAAGAGGCGGGAGGATAGCTTGAGCCCAGGAGTTCGAGACCTGCCTGGGCAATATAGCGAGACCCCGTTCTCCAGAAAAAGGAAAAAAAAAAAACAAAAGACATGAGGTCAGGAGATCGAGACCATCCTGGCTAACACGGTGAAACCCTGTCTACTAAAAATACAAAAAATTAGCCAGGTGTGGTGGCACGCGCCTATAGTCCCAGCTACTAGGGAGGCTGGGGCAGGAGAATCGCTTGAACCCGGGAGGCAGAGGTTGCAGCGAGCTGAGATCATGCCACTGCACTCCAGCCTGGGCAATAGAGTGAGACACTCCATCTCAAAAAAAAAAAAAAGTTTAAGATGTTTTATATTAAATATTTTATGGTAACCCTCAGAGGGGAATGGGAAACATTTATATTTCTACCTCAAAGCTGGACCAAACTCAGTTATTTATTTACTTTTATTTTTATTTTTTTAAGACGTAATCTGGCTCTGTCGCCCAGGCAGGAGTGTAGTAGCATGACCTCGGCTCACTGCAACCTCTGCCTCCCGGGCTCAAGTGATCCTCCTGCCTCTGCCTCCCAAGTAGCTGGGATTGCAGGTGAGCACCACCAAGCCCGGCTAATTTTTGTATTTTTAGTAGAGATGGGGTTTCACCGTGTTGGTCAGGCTGGTCTCGAACTCCTGACCTCATGATCTGCCCACCTTGGCCTCCCAAAGTGCTGGGATTACAGACGTGAGCCACCGTACCCGGCCTCAAGCTCAGTTATTTAAGTGGTAGTAGGCAGTGGGTTTGTCAGGGTTATATCTTGGTATTCAGTGAACGCAAGCTGCTGAGTTCCATCCACCAAGTGCCAGGGTTATGAGGGTGAAAGGAGAAAAGCCGATAGGGAGGAGAAACCTGCCCCAGGAAAATGCACAATTCGAAGGTCCCTTGCAGAGGGTCCTGATGACATGTTCCACAGTGCTAAGGTCTAGCTTATCCATCATGCTGCCCCTTTTTAAAGGGAAAGGATGAGGACATCCACAGTGTCTCTAAGAGAAACAGTGAGTCTGGCCCAACATCACTAAATGCTGGTGAATAAGGAATATGGTAGATTAATGATGTTGTATTTTTTTTTAAATTTTATTTATTTACTATTTTTTGAGACAGGGTCTCACTCTCTTGCCCGGACTGGAGTGCAGTGGCCCGATCTCGGCTCACTGCAACCTCCGCCTCCCAGGTTCAAGCGATTCTCCTGCTTCAGCCTCCTGAGTAGCTGGGATTACAGGTGCATGCCACTACCGCCTGGCTAGTTTTTGTATTTTTAGTAGAGATGGGGTTTCACTATGTTGGCCAGGCTGGTCTTGAACTCCTGACCCCAAATGATGTACCCACCTCAGACTCCTAAAGTGTTGGGATTACAAGCATGAGCCACTCACTGCTCCCGGCCTGTATTATTTATTTATTTATTTATTTATTTTTTTTTGAGACGGAGTCTTGCTGTGTCTCCCAGGCAGCTGGAATGCAGTGGCAAGATCTCAGCTCACTGCAACCTCCTCCTCCTGGGTTCAAGCAATTCTTGTGCCTCAGCCTCCAGAATAGCTGGGATTACAGGCACAGGTCACCATGCCTGGCTGATTTTCTTTCTTTTTTTGAGATGGAGTCTCACTCTGCTGCCAGGCTGGAGTGCAGTGGCATGATCTGGGCTCACTGCAACCTCCACCTCCTGGGTTCTCCTGCCTCAGCCTCCCGAGTAGTTGGGACTACAGGTGCAAGCCACCACACCTGGCTAATTTTTGTATTTTTAGTAGAGACAAGGTTTTACCATGTTGGCCAGGATTGTCTCGATCTTTTGACCCCGTGATCCGCGCACCTTGGCCTCCCAAAGTGCTGGGATTACAGGCGTGAGCCACCACGCCCGGCCATTTTTTTTTTTTTAATAGACAGGGTCTTGCTTTGTTGCCCAGGCTACAAGGCACTAGTGTGATCACAGCTCACTACACCCTCTCGAACTTCTGGGTTCAAGTAATCCTCCTGCCTCAGCCTCCTGAGTAGCTGAAACTTTTATTATTATTATTATTATTATTTGTAGGGACAGGGTCTTACTATGTTTCCCAGGCTGGTCTTGAATTCCTTACCTCAAGTGATCCTCCCACCTTGGCCTCCCAAAGTATTGGGATTACAGGCATGAGCCATCATGACCAGCCCTGTGCTTCTTTCTTAAAATGAATGGGGATTCTCTTTCTGGGTCTGCTTCATATCCTTTTCATAGAGAATGGCAGTTTACTAAATTAATCCTGTGCTGGGTAACAATTCTCTTTCTCTCTCTCTCTTTTCTTTTTCCTTTTTTTTCTTTTTTCTTTTTTTGAGACGGAGTCTCACTCTGTCGCCCAGGCTAGAGTGCAGTGGCGTGATCTTGGCTCACTGCAACCTCTGCCCTCTGCCTCCCTGGTTCAAGCGATTCTCCTGCCTCAGCCTCCCAAGTAGCTGGGAATACAGGTGCCTGCCACCATGCCCGGCTAAATTTTTTTTTTTTTTGAGACGTAGTCTCGCTCTGTTGCCCAGGCTGGAGTGCAGTGGCAGGATCTCGGCTCACTGCAAGCTCTGCCTCCCAGGTTCATGCCATTCTCCTGCCTCAGCCTCCCGAGTAGCTGGGACTACAGGTGCCCACCCCCATGCCTGGCTAATTTTTTGTATTTTGTAGAGACCGGGTTTCACCACGTTAGCCAGGATGGTCTCGATCTCCTGACCTAGTGATCCCCCCGCCTCGGCCTCCCAAAGTGCTGGGATTATAGGCGTGAGCCACCGTGCCTGGCCTCTTAGGGGCTTTTGTAGGCTTTTCTCTGTCAAGGCAGCAGACCCTGAAGAGTTTAGGTGGGATTGGGTGGTGTTTTTTTTTTTTTCCCCCACTGGGAATGAGTAGAAGGGGGGACACTACATTCATTCAACACTTACTGGGTGCCTATTACATACAAGAGCTGTGTCAAGAGCTTCACATATTCTGCCTAAATGTTCCCAACAATGTTTGTGGGGTGGGCTGTATCATTCCCATGTTTGAGATATATAAGCTGAGGCCTGGAACTTGAAGGGCCCTGTCTGAAGTCCCAAAACTAGAAAACGATTTAGCCAAAATTTTTGTTTTAATCCGTATGTATGGCTCTCCAGGCTGATGGAGCTGGTCATATTTTGCAGTACCCAGAGGCTATACACCTGAGTACAGGCAGAAGCTACCCAGAGGATGATCTCTCCAGGCTTCTAAAGTATTTCTTTACTTGTTCAATGGTAATATTACTACTTTATACAGTTGTTGTGAGGATTAAATATGGTACGTAGGCCGGGTGTGGGGGTTCACGCTTGTAATCCCAGTTTGAGAGGTCGAAGTGGGAGGGTCGCTTGAGTCTAGGAGTTCGAAACCAGCCTGGGCAACGTGGTGAAACCTCGTCTCTACAAAAAACAAACGAACAAAGAAACACCCAAAAATTAGCCAAGCGTAGTGGCGCATGCCTGTAGTCCCAGCTACTCGGGAGGCTGAGGTAGAAGGATCGCTTGAGCCCGGGAGGTCGAGGCTGCAGTGAGCCGTAGTAGTGCCACTGCACTCCAGCCTGGGCGACAGAACGAGATCTTGTCTCAAAAATAAAATATTTAAAAATGTGGTATATAAAGCATTTGGCATATAGTACATTCAATACAAGCTGGTTGTTACTAGTAATGATAAAGTGCGCCTACCGTTTTGCTAGCACGTAACGTCTTCACTGGGCTAAATCAGCCCGATTCTAACCATTGACTCTGTGGTGCTGGAGCCCTAGATCAATGGTCAGAGGCCAGCAGGAGGTGCAGAGGTCCGGATCAAGTGCCATTTCCCTCTCTAGAAGTACTCAAACCCTCATCTCTGCCCTCATCCCTGCCAGCGCCTACCTCGACGCGGACGAGAAGCTGTGGTACCGCGACTGCTGGCAGGCCATGACCCACGGGCAGGCGGGCAATCAGCACCCGCGGCCTGGGAAGCTGTGGTAGCGTACAGCCGGTCGCCATGGCGACCAGGCCCCAGAGGCCCCCCCGCGGCGGGGGCGGAGTCAGGGATGCGCCACGCCCCCGAGCCTAGCGCCCGCGGGCTGGGAG
Organism: Homo sapiens; assembly: GCF_000001405.40. NCBI lineage: Eukaryota > Metazoa > Chordata > Mammalia > Primates > Hominidae > Homo > Homo sapiens. Next base: position 67,806,992 of record NC_000016.10, on the reverse strand, counting down.
TAGGACAAAGTAGCAAAGGTGGACTGGGACCCGGCAGCGGGTGCCCTGAGAGTCAACCACTACAGCCGATTTGACCCCAGGTACCAGAACTGAGGCAGGGGGATGAACAGAGGCCATGGGGAGGGAAGTGTGCTGAGAGGCCGGAGCCGCTTTGCCGGCGGGAATGGTAGTTTTCGGTGTCCCGACGTCTCGATGGGACAGGCTTATGGCTGAGGACGGTTATACTACATCTCCCAGAATTCTCTACCAGCCCGAGTTGCTCCGCCTCTCGAGAGCTCTGCATTGTGGGGTATGGAGTTCGAAATGTGGTAAGGCGTGTCAGTGTCCAAAGAGGGGTGCCGGACTCGGACTCGGTTTCCCTGCGGCCCAGGGAGGCTCACGGGCCATTGGCTGAGCGGGGCGGATCTGGTCCCGCTCCTCCCCGCCCCCAGTGACACAATAGTAGCTCCCTCCAAGATGGCGGCAGCGACGGCAGACCCGGGAGCTGGGAACCCGCAGCCTGGGGACTCCTCCGGCGGGGGCGCTGGGGGCGGGCTGCCGTCCCCTGGGGAGCAGGAGCTGAGCCGGCGCTTGCAGCGCCTGTATCCCGCGGTCAACCAGCAAGAGACTCCGCTGCCGCGCTCCTGGAGCCCCAAGGACAAATACAACTACATTGGTCTCTCCCAGGGCAACCTCCGCGTCCACTACAAAGGTATCGGCCCGTCAGGCTGGGGGGAATTAAGGCTAGAGCGTCCGTGGGGTGGCTCTGCTGCCAGGCCCCCGCCCTATCACCTCCCTTTCCCTGCCTAGGTGCTCCAAGTTAGGGCTTGGCCCTTTCAGGATGTCCAGGGTGGTGAGGCTGAACAGGCCGAGGGCTGACTGCCTGTTCTCTGTCCTGAGACACCTGCCGTCAAGAGAACCGCAACAGGTGTCCAAACCCAGTGCTGGGCCGGACCTTCCACTCCAGGGCCTCCGTGCTTATCCTAGGCTGGCGCCAACGGCAGCGGGACCTTTCGCCACTGCTTAGAAGAAAGGGGTGGTCACATACCTACCATTAGCGTGAGACTCATGGGCTTCCCCACCTGCCAGGCATCCTAGACTGAGCCTGGGGTTCCGTGCTAGAGTTTGGGGGGTGTCTTCCAGGTCGGCCTCATCCTTCTTCCCCTGGCCTCCCAGGTGGGCTGCCTGGATTCTAGAGAGGCTGCCAGCAGCACTTGAGTATCTCTCACATTGCCTCTACCCTTGTTTTGTTTGTATGGGCAGTGTCTCAGGCAGGACTGCTGTTCTCAGGAGGAGGTGAGGCAAAGGTGGAAGGTTTAAGTGTTTATTCAGTTGTCTAATGATTCCTCGGCCTGTGTAAGTGCGTCCTCTGGCCACAGAGGAGTGGAGTTGTCATGGAGGAGTTGCAGAGAAAAATGAGGCTTCCATTTGCATTTCCTTCTGCTGAAATTTCTTACTTGCCCTCTCCTGTTAGGTCATGGCAAAAATCACAAAGATGCGGCCTCAGTGCGTGCCACCCACCCCATACCTGCTGCCTGTGGCATTTATTACTTTGAAGTGAAGATTGTCAGCAAAGGAAGAGATGGGTAAGCCCTTCATGACCACCCTCTTTCCCTGATCATGGAGCTGATCCCTGTGGTCAGAGTTCAGGTCCTTTGGCTGGCACTTGTTGCTGATGTGAGCTGGGGAGCCGCATGGGTCTGGGCTGCCATTATTTCCTGACTGTGGGCATGGTCTGGTCTAAGCAGCAGATCTTGATGGCCAGTGGGTGTGTTGGGGGTAAAGCAGGGATTATTTTTAGTGATGATGTAATTTGATACCTAGAAGGTTAGGCAAACAAGTAACAAGTTTACTTTAAAAATTTAGTGTCCAGAATGGAGTTTCCCTCATGAGCATGTGGTGTTTTTGTGACTTCCTTCCTTTCACATTCTTGCTGTATTCATGAGGTTCTTTTTTATGGCATTTAGTCATGTGGAGGCCCTGGTAGCCTTCAAAGAGATAGTAGAGTCTTTGCAGCATTCATGAAAGCTTCTGTGGCCACCGGCCTGTCATCTCAGGGTAAACAGCATACACATGATCAGAATCAGGTGACCTTGCTGCTCATAAACTTGTTTTTCAGTCCAAGGACTTGAACACTACTAGTTGGATCAACTTTAGGAAGGTCCTCATTAAAGTCAGCATTAGGAGCCAGGCACGGTGGCTCACGCCTGTAATCCCAGCAATTTGGGAGGCTAAGATGGGCAGATCACCTGAGGTCAGGAGTTGGAGACTAGCCTGGCAAACATGCTGAAACCCTGTCTCTACTAAAAATACAAAAAAATTAACTGGCATACCTGTAATCCTATCACTTCAGAAGACCGAGGCGGGCGGATCACTTGAGATCAGGAGTTCAAGACCAGCCTGGCCAGCATGGTAAAACCCCATCTCTAAAAAAAAATTCAAAAATTAGCTGGGTGTGGTGGTGTGCACCTGTAATCCCAGCTACTTGGGAGGCTGAGGCATGAAAATCACTTGAACATGGGAGGTGGAGGTTGTAGTGAGCTGAGATTGCACCACTGCACTCTAGCCTGGGCAATAGAGTGAGACTCTGTCCCAAAACCAAACAAAAAAAAAAGTCAGCATTAGGGAGACTCCCTATTTTAGGATGATCCAAGCAGACACAGGAAATCATAGGGGAGATACTTAATTTTTTTTCTTTCTCCCAGTCTCCCTTTTTTTCCCAGTGATTGTGACGAAGCAGGTGTGTAAGTTATGAAGTAACATGACTGCAGCTACCTTGGAAAGGCTTTCCTCATCAGACTTTAGGTTTGGTGTCTGAAGTTTGCCAACCCCTCTGGTGACCATGCCAACGCTGAGGGTGTGTTCTCGAACATTCAGAACTTCTTTCTCCTAGGGACTGTCCCCTTTGTAGTGCATGCAAAATGCTTGGCCAAGGGACTAGGCTGGGGGCAACACTGCCAGAGTCAGAGCCTTGCCTACTTCCTCAGTGATGTAACTTCTCTGCCTGAGAGGTCTCTGTGGTCTTGGGTAGATGTTGGAGCTTCAGTCTCCTGATCTGCACTGTGAGGATCCAGGCCAGCATCTAAGCTGCCTGAACTCCAGAATTCTATGCCTCTGAAATTCTGATCATGGGAAGCTGCTGTATCTTTCTCTCTCTCTCTCTTTTTTTTTTTTTTTTTTTTTAATGAGATGGGGTCTTGCTCTGTCTCCCACGCTGAAGTGCAGTGGCAAGATCACAATCACAGCTCACTGCAGCCTCGACCTTCTGGGCTCGAGTTATCCTCCCACCTCAGCCTCCTGAGTAACTGGGAATACAGGTGCATGCCACCACGCCTGGCTAATTTTTTTTTTTTTTTTTTTTTTGAGACGGAGTTTTGCTCCTGTTGCCCAGGCTGGAGTGCAATGGCGCAATCTCAGCTCACCACAACCTCCGCCTCCCAGGTTCAAGTAATTCTCCTGCCTCAGCCTCCTGAGTAGCTGGGCTTACAGGCATGTGCCACCACACCAGGCTAATTTTGTATTTTTAGTAGAGATGGGGTTTCTCCATGTTGGTCAGGCTGGTCTCAAACTCCTGACCTCAGGTGATTCGCCTGCCTTGGCCTCCCAAAGTGCTGGGATTACAGGTGTGGGCCACCGCACCCAGCCTAATTTTTTAAATTATTTGTAGAGATGAGGTCTTGCTATGTTGCCCAGGCTGGTCTCTAGTGATCCTCCCACCTTGGCCTCTCAAACTGCTGGGACTACAGGCATGAGCTACTGCACCCGGCCATCTTTCATTTTTATCCCCATCTAGTGCGTTTACAGACAGGAAAGTTAAATTTATGGGAGGGCTTCAAAGCTCCTATTTTCACCTTCCACCGTCTGATAGAAGCACATATATTTAGTGTGCTTGAACTAGTGTGAATGAGAATAGCCCCTTAAAACAAGCACCTTGAAAATAATGTTGACTAAAATGGTGGTGCTGGAGTCTCATACTGCCACAGAAACTGAAGTGCACTTCTTAAATTTGTAGGGAGGAAAATGGATTGTTTTCTCCTAGTCTTTATCATAGATAACAGCTGAGTTAGTTATCTAGGTAGAGAGCAGAGACCAACTTCAGAAGGGAAGTGTTTACACTTAGAGACCTGGATTCTTTTTTTCTTTTTGTATTTTTTGAGAGATGAGGTCTGGCTATGTTGGAGATCTGGATTCTTTCAACTGGTTTTAACATTTCAGTTTTAGTCGATCTTGCTGTGTCATGTTAGATTGGTGAACTATAGGTGTTGACTGGAAGTCTAAAGAAAGGTGGGCATCTATTCCCAGCATTTTACATGTGGTAAACATGGCTGTTGAGCTGATCTGGAAACATCAGATGTTAATTAATTAATTTATTTATTTGCCACACAGTCTCCTTTATCATCCAGGCTGGAGTGCATTGACTCAATCTCGGCTCATTGCAACCTCTACTTTCTGGGTTCAAGTGATTCTCCTGCCTCAGCCTCCCGAGTAGCTGGGATTACAGGCATACGCCACCACGCCTGGCTAATTTTTGTATTTTTAGTAGAGATGGGGTTTCGCCATGTTGGCCAGGCTGGTTTCGAACTCCTGACCTCAGGTGATTCACCTGCGTCAGTCTCCCAAAGTGCTAAGATTACAGGCATGAGCCATGGTGCCCAGCAAGGAAACATCAGTTTTAGAAAGGTCTCAGGTCATGTATACCTGTGGTATCCTGCTTCAGTTGACCACTGTCAGATGGCAAGAGTATGAATAGCTCCTCATGGTCTCTTTATGGAATCCCTGAAAGCCTTCCCATGGCTGGGATGCAGCCACATGTTAGTATGGGCCAGGTGGGTTTTGAGGAGGCCAAAGGCAGTTACACAGGGCAGGCAGACATCAACTGGCTCATTTCCCTTTTTTTGTAGATTTTTTTTTTTTTTTTTGAGGCAGGGTCTCGCTCTGTTGCTCAGGCTGGAGTGCAATGGCATGATCACAGCTCACCGCCACCTCAACTTCCTGGGCTCAGTCAATCCTCCCACCTCAGCTTCCTGAGTAGCTGGGACTATAGGTGTGTGCCATCATGCTTGGCTCATTTTCTTATTTTTTGTAGAGATGGGGTCTCACAATGTTTCCTAGGCTGGTCTTGAATTCCTGGGCTCAAGTATTTCTTCCACCTCAGCCTTCCAAAGTGCTGGGATTATAGTCATGAGCCACCATGCCCAGCTGATTTTTTTTTTAACTATTTTATAGAGATGGGATCTTGCTGTGTTGTCTAGGCTGGTCTCCAACTCCTAGCCTCAAGTGATCCTCCTGCCTCAAAGTGATCCAAAGTGCTGGGATTGCAGGCAGGAGCCACCATTGTCAGCCTCCCATGGATTTTGGAGGTGTGTTTTTTATCCTGGTTTAGTCCATGACCCAAGCATTAACTGGTTGTCTAGCTTTCCTGTGTTACCTAGTTTGATCCTCACAGCATCTCTGGCAAGTGGCTAGAGCAGGTGATCATCTACCTTCCCATTTTGTGAGTGAGCCCTGAGTCCCTGGGATGTTTGGTGGCCTACCCTGGCTGCAGGGCTTAGGGTGTGCAGTGGAGTAGCCTGACTTATCAGATGTCCTCGCCTGATCCTAGACACACATGTCCATGCTGCTGCTGCCTTTCCCCATTGTAGCTGTTGCATTTCTTCCCTGGGTAGAGTGAAGGAATGTTCTGTTGGATTCCTACCAGATTGCAATGTTAGGGGACAGAGCTGAAAGGTGCATGGTGCTGTGTAGGGCCAGAGAATTGTGGCATGCTCTGGGCCGGGCTTGATCAACTTACTGTTCCATTTAATCTGTAAACTTGCTTTTCTGTAGATTTGAGTACACCTCCTTTGTAAAAGGTATTTATAAACCCAGTTGTTAGTGTCATTGTTCTCCAGAACGTCCTTTGTTTTGACAATATCTTTTGGAGAAGAACACACTAAGCTAGTCTAATAAGGAAAGTTTCATGTCAAGATTTCACAGAATATTTATATATACCTACTATGTTCCAGGCCCTATACTAGGTATAGGGAGAACAGATGTAAAGCCAGCACAGATCAGCTTTGTCCTCAGGAAGCCTGTGGCCCATTCAGTAGAGAGTGGACTGAAAGTCTTTCTGCAAGAGGAGGCAGAGCCTGGGAACAGTTGGGAGGAATGAGTAGGAGTTCCCCAGTAGGCGAGACCTGTTAGACCTATGAGTCTGATGGGTAACTAGCTTGACTTCTGGGTGCTAGGCTTTCTGGGCACTCCTCAAGTATAAGAGAGCTCTGTGGAGTAGGAGGGGCTGTGTTTGAGCTAAGAGCTTGGCACAGACTGATGGGCTTCAACTGCATTTTGCCGAGTCACCAGAGCTGTGAACTCGGGGAGCGGGTCTGGTGGGGTGAGGAGACATCAGAGCACTGCCAGTGGTGCCAGGAGATAAGGGGCATCCAGGTCTGTCTTTCTAGGAAGCGAAGGAGGGCCTGAAGCTGAGGGTCCCTGGGGAGGAGCAATGTCTGCAGGCAGAGTTCATGGACCTGTGGGTGTCCCTGGCTCTTAGTGATGACACATGGAGGGTGTGGCTGGCTAGGCTGACAGATGCTCCAGTGTGACCCTCAAAATAGACTGTAACATCATCCCAGCGGCGGAGGCCTCCTGACATGTGATGGTTGCTTTACCCAAGAGTAGTAGGCCTGGGCTAGAGCACTGGAAGGCATGGAGAGGGGTGGGGGCATTTTCCTCTGTAGCCAGTGTCTGGGCCCAGGCCCAGAGCAGGGGTCTCTGACCACAGCCAGCCTTCCCTTGCTCCTGCAGCTGACTTCCTTTGGCCAGGCAGCAGTGCACTCATTCATTCATTCCAGACACCAGGGCGCAGTACCCATTGTTTTTTTTTTTTGGTTGTTGTTGTTGTTGTTGTTTTTGAAACAGAGTCTCGCTCTGTTGCCAGGCTGGAGTGCAGTGGCACAATCTTGGCTCACTGCAAACCTCCGCCTCCTGGGTTCAAGTGATTCCCCTGCCTCACCCTCCCGAGTAGCTGGGACTACAGGCGTGCACCACCATGCCCAGCTAGTTTTTGTATTTTTAGTAGAGACGGTGTTTCACCATGTTGGCCAGGATGTTCTAGATCTCTTGACCTCATGATCTGCCCTCCTCAGCCTCCCAAAGTGCTAGGATTACAGGTGTGAGCCATCACATCCATTGTTTTGTCCCAGCCTGGGCCCCAGGAGCACAGGCATGAGGCCCCACCGGTGGTGTCGAAGGGTCAGGCCACCGTATGTGTCATATCCAGGGGTGGCCTGGAGGATGGACTGTACCTCAGAGTTTGAGGAAAACATCATAGAATCATATAAGAGGTGATGTGGGCTCTGGAAAGAGGAGTTAGAGTGTTCTAGGTGAACAAAGTGAGAAGCAGATGCTTCAGGCAGAAGAAACAGTGCATAAAAAGACATGGAGCTGGCCGGGCGCAGTGGCTCACACCTGTATTCCCGGCACTTTGGGAGGCCAAGGCGGGCGGATCACGAGGTAAGGAGATCGAGACCATCGTGGCTAACATGGTGAAACCCCGTCTCTACTAAAAATACAAAAAATTAGCCAGGCATGGTGGCGGGCGCCTGTAGTCCCAGCTACTCGGGAGGCTGAGGCAGGAGAATGGCGTGAACCCGGGAGGCCGAGCTTGCAGTGAGCCGAGATCGCGCCACTGCACTCCAGCCTGGGCAACAGAGCGAGACTCTGTCTCAAAAAAAAAAAAAAAAAAAAGAGATGTGGAGCGCAGAACATGAGGTCGGTAGGGCCAGACTGAAAATACCTTGTGTGTGGCCTGGCTCATGCCTGTAATCCCAGTACTTTAGGAGACTGAGGCGGGCAGGTCACTTGAGTTCAGGAGTTCGAGAACAGCCTGGCCAACATGGCGAAACCCCATCTCTCCTAAAAATACAAAAATTAGCCAGGCGCTAATAATAGTGGTGGTGCATGCCTGTAATCCCAGCTACTTGGGAGGCTGAGGCAGGAGAATCACTCGAACCTGGGAGGTGAAGGTTGCAGTGAGCCGAGATCACGCCACTGCTCTCCAGCCTGGGTGACAGAGTGAGACTCTGTCTTAAAAAAATAAAAAAGAAAATACCTTGTATGCTGTGGCCAGGGAGCGTGGGCTGTATCTTGAGGGCAGTAGCAGTGTGGGGGGCTGTGGATCTACCCATGCTTTTGAGAGTGAAGAAAAGAAGAGACTCTGCCAGTCTGGTTCAGCCAGGCTTCTCTGGCCAAGAGCCCTTGTCCAGGGTGGGCCAGTGACTTTAGGTCTTTGGCTCTAGCATGGTTTTCTCATAGCGGTTGTCTTTTTTTCTCTTGGCTGTTCCTTTGGTATGAAGAGATGAAGGGATGGGGTGTGAAAGACTGGTAGCCAGGAGGCTTCTCAGAGGTGAGAGGACTCTGCTTGTGCTGGAGTTCTGGTATTTTGGTTTTGCCAGCTCCCATCTGAAAGACAGTAATGCCCCATGTTTTATACCCAAGCATCTCCTCTGGTGAGCCAGAATCAGCCAAAGTGATTTTCCATGGAGACCTAGAGAGCCACTGTTAATTAAGATATCTTGATTAAGATCTCACCTGCCACATTCCTGGTGTGGAGGACCATCTAAGCTTAGGCCCTTCCAGCTGAGAGACAGCTGTGGCTGGCTTCTCACCCTGGATCCCCTCACCAAGTTCCAGTCTACATGCATTGTACAGTGCTGTTGAGAACTTTGGTGCTCATATGTCATCTGGGGAAGGCGTTGTCCTGCCCGCCCTGATAAGAAGGTGCTGTCCTTGCCCAAGGTAGGTACAGGCCGTGGTTGTGCCCCATTTTCCCTTACTGCCCCCCGGAGTTGATGGTCTTACAGGCAGATGCTGAGCTTTGGGCTGCACTTCTACTCAGGTAACACATTGTGCTATTTGTGGAGACATGGAATGTTTGGGTTCTGGAACACAGGGTAGGATGTTTGGGTTCTGGAACACGGGGTAAGAGAACTGGAGTCTAGATGGTGGCCACTGTTCTTTGCTTTTTTTTTTTTTTTTTTTTTTGAGAGAGGGTCTCTCTCTGTCACTCAGGCTGGAGTGCAGTGGCACAATCATGGCTCACTGCAGCCTCGACCTCCTGAGTTCAAGCAATCTTCCTACCTGAGACTCTTGAGTAGCTGGGACTACAGGTGCATGCCATCATGCCTGGCTAATTTTTATTTTATTTATTTAATTTATTTTTTGAGACAGAGTGTTGCTCTGTCACCCAGGTTGGAGTCCAGTGGAGTGATCTCGGCTCACTGCAACCTCCGCCTCCCAGGGTTCAAGTGATTCTCATGCCTCAGCCTCCTGAGTAGCTGGGATTACAGGCGTGTGCCATGACACCTGGCTAATTTTGGTATTTTTAGTAGAGACGAGGTTTTGCCATGTTGGCCAGGCTGGTTTTGAACTCCTGACCTCAAATGATCTGCCCACCTCAGCCTCCCAAAGTGCTGGGACTACGGGTGTGAGCCACCATCCCCAGCCCTGGCTAATTTTTAAATTTTTTGTAGAGACAGGGTCTTGCTATATTTCCTAGGCTGGTCTGGAACTCCTACGCTCAATCAATCCTCCTGCCTCAGCCTCCCAAAGTGCTGGGATTACAGGCATGAGCCACCACACCTGGCCTGTGGCCACTTTTCTGGTAGGGCCTCCCTCCTCACTGTATGTTGCTACCCAGGCTCCAACTGTGAGCTGAGAGTGGGGAGCGTCGTTGCCTTCTTTATAGCTGGGGCCTTCTTGGTCAAGGATTAGCTTTTAGAGAAATTCCTAGAATTCACTTCACCTCCTGCCTTTCTGCCTTGATGGTGTTTTTGTTCTCTGGAACTTTTGGTCTTTTCCCTGTATGGGTCATGGTGTAAGGGAGATTCCTTGTTAGAAGAGAAGCAGAAGCTCATCAGGCCAGAGCACAGGAGGATGAACCTAGCAGCCCCATGTGGCAGGCACTGTGTGCCATTCCTATTATGGGACCATTGGGAAGGAATAAAGGGCTCCAGAGTGGGTCTTGTGTGGTCGGGTCAAGTTGGAAAGAAGGGACTCATCAGTGGAAGAGGGATGGATAATTATGTCTAAATGCAAAGATGTTCCTCTGCCTCTCCATTCTGTTCAAAATCCATATAAAATGTCTTTGTAATTCTAGGATCGTTGGTGTTGTGACTTGGTGGTGGAACAGAGCCTAGCCCTTCTGTCATGAAGGGGCCAGAACAAGATGCTCTGTACTATATAGGGAAGTTGGGAGGGGACTGGGGAAGCCCTTGGCACCCCTCTTATGCCATTTCTTGTTACTTAACTCTTGGAATTAGAGATGCTTGGGGTTTCAGGGGAGTTTAGTTTAGGTCAGGGGTGGCAAGTGTGAAGGCCCCAATACCCCACAATACCCTCAGCTTCTATGACCAACATTACTGATTGACAGTAGCACTTGTTCTTGTCCAGACAGAGCCCAGAATTTTTCTCAATGCACAGCACATCAGGCAGCTATAATTTACTGGTCAGAGTTTCATCATGAGATGAAATCTACTAGCCCTCAGGGTGGAGGTGGTTGGAAGATAAGTGGATAGAGGCCCAGATGGTTGAGGGCTCAGCTTATTTCTTCTAAAGGAGAGTCCCAAGGCAGAGCTGAACCAAGAGGAAAGAAACAGAGGGGTTGGATTGCTGAGTAGAACTGATTCTAACCCAGTTTATAAAGCCATGTATCTGAAATTGGCATGGACTTTTTAAAAAAATGGAATGCCCTGTTTTTATAACAACTTGCACCAGTAGTTTGTCAGTAGTTATATTTACTTTTATAAAAATCAAAATAGGCTGTGTGCTGTGGCTCACACCTGTAATCCCAGCGCTTTGGGAGGCCGAGGCAGGCGGATCACAAGGTCAGGAGTTTGAAACCAGCCTGGCCGACATGGCGAAACCCTGTCTCTACTAAAAGTAAAAAATATTAGCTGGGCATGGTGGCAGGCGCCTGTAATCCCAGCTACTCAGGAGGCTGAGTCAGGAGAATCACTTGAACGCGGGAGGTGGAGGTTGCAGTGAGCTGAGACTGTGCCACTGCACTCCAGCCTGGGCAACAGAGTAAGGCTCTGTCTCCAAAAAAAAAAAAAAAAAATCAAAATATTTTTATTTTACGTATAGAAAACATTTGTTTGTTTGTTTGTTTGTTTATTTTTGAGACGGAGTCTCACTCTGTCGCCCAGGCTGGAGTGCAGTGGTGCGATCTCAGCTCACTGCAAGCTCCACTTTCCGGGTTCACGCCACTCTCCTGCCTCAGCCTCCTGAGTAGCTGGGACTACAGGTGCCCGCCACCGCACCTGGCTAATTTTTTGTATTTTTAGTAGAGATGGGGTTTCACCGTGGTCTCGATCTCCTGACCTCGTGATCCACCCGCCTCGGCCTCCCAAAGTGCTGGGATTACAGGTGTGAGCCACCGCGCCCGGCCGAAAACCTTTATTTTTAAAAAATTATTTTATTTGTTTGTTTATTTTGAGACGGAGTTTCACTCTTGTTGCCCAGGCTGGAGTACAATGGCACGATCTTGGCTCACCATAACTTCCGCCTCCCGGGTTCAAGCGATTCTCCTGCCTCAGCCTCCTGAGTAGCTGGGATTACAGGCGTGCACCACCATGCCTGGCTAATTTTGTATTTTTAGTAAAGACAGGGTTTCTCCATGTTGGTCAGGCTGGTCTTGAACTCCCGACCTTAGGTCATCCTCCTACCTCAGCCTCCCAAAGTGCTGGGATTATAGGTGTGGACCACCGCACCCAGCCTATTTATTTTTTTGAGGCGGGGTCTCACTCTGTTGCCCAGGCTGGAGTGCAGTATTGCAATCATGGCTCTGCAACCTCCCCTCCTGCTCAAGAGATTCTCCCACCTCAGCCTCCTGAGTAGCTGGGACTACAGGCACATGCCATCATGCTCAGCTAATTTTTTTTTTTTTAAGTAGAAATGGAATTTCACCACTTGCCCAGGGTGATCTTCCTGGGCTTAAGTGATCTGCCTGTCTTGGCCTCCCGGAGTACTGGGATTACAGGTGTGAGCCACTGTACTTGGCCTTTTTTTGTTGCTGTTTTTTTTTTTTGTTTTTTTTTTTTTTTAATTTGAGGCAGGGTCTCACTCTTGTCACCTAGGCTGGAGTGCAGTGGCAAGATAGTGGCCTGAAATTTTTTTTTTTAACTGTTAAAGAATATGTAGGATTTTTTTTAGGCTGGGCCCAGTGGCTCAAGCCTGTAATCCCAGCACTTTGGGAGGCTGAGGCAGGTGGATCATGAGGTCAGGAGATCAAGACCATCCTGGCTAACACGGTGAAACCCTGTCTCTACTAAAAATACAAAAAAATTAGCTGGCCATGGTGGCACACACCTGTAGTCTCAGCTCTTCGGGAGGCTGAGGCAGGAGAATTGGTTGAACCTGGGAGGCGGAGGTTATAGTGAGCCGAGATCGTGCCACTGCACTCCAGCCTGGGAGACAGAGTGAGACTCCATCTCAAAAAAAAAAAAAAAAAGAATATGTTGGATTTTTTTAATACCTGATAAAGTCTACGTTTAAAAAATACACAGCAGGCCGGGTGTGGTGGCTCGTTTTTTATTTTGAGACGGAGTCTCGCTGTGTCACCCAGGCTGGAGTGCAGCAGCATGACCTCGGCTCACTCCAACCTCCGCCCCCTGAGTTCAAGCAATTCTCCCGCCTCAGCCTCCTGAGAGCTGAGGTTACAGGCATGCACCACCATGCCTGGCTAATTTTTGTATTTCTAGTAGAGATGGGGTTTCGCCATGTTGGCCAGGCTGGTCTCAAACTGCTGATCTCAGGTGATCTGCCCGCCTCGGCCCCTCAAAGTGCTGGGATTACAGGCTTGAGCCACCACCCCGACCAGTCCCAGCACTTTGGAAGGCCAAGACGGAAGGATTGCTTGAGCCTAGGGGTTCAAGACCAGCCTGGACAACATAGTGAGACCCCCACCTCTACGAAACATTTTTAAAAATGAGCGGGGTGTGATAGAATACTTCTGTAGACCTAGCTACTTGGGAGGCTGAGGCAGGAGGATTGCTTGAAACCAGGAGTTTGAGGCTACAGTGAGCTATGATTGAGCTACTGCATTCCAGTGTGGATGAGAGAGTGAGACTCGTCTCAAAAATAAATAAATAAATAAATAAAATAAAAAATAAAAATAAATAGCAGAGGGATAGAGAGATGCAGGTTTAAACAAATGCAGGCTTATGGCCATTATGTGCATAGTACTAGTAGAAGCAAATGCAGAAAACAGAAACCAGAAATTTCCAGTAGAAAGGGGTTTAATATATGGACTTTGATGCTTATAAAATTATCAAGACTTAGAATTTTCATGTAGTGGTGGACTAGGCTACTTAAATAATGTCTCCGATTGAAAATAAGATGGCAGATAAAATATTACAAGCGAGGCTGGGCACGGTGGCTCACGCCTGTAATCCCAGCACTTTGGGAGGCTGAGGTGGGCGGATCACCTGAGGTTAGGAGTTTGAGACCAGCGTGACCAACATGGTGAAACCCTGTCTCTACTAAAAATACAAACATTAGCCAGGCATGGTGGCGTATACCTGTAATCCTAGCTACTCGGGAGGCTGAGGCAGGAGAATTGCTTGAACCTGGGAAGCGGAGGTTGCAATGAGCCGTGGTCGTGCCATTGTGCTCCAGCCAGTCAAACAAGTGAAACTCCATCTAAAAAAAAAAAAAAAAAAAAAAATTACAAGCCAGCCAACTCAAGGCCAGTGTCTGGATGAACACCTGTAACTAGAGTTAAGGGTAGTGTCTGTGTACCAAAGGACATTTGTGGTGTTCACACACTGCTATGCTTGTGTGCTTCAGCTCCGTAATTACACAGGGCCATAGAGGTGGAGGTTAGACCCCTGTGGGGTCTAATGGGAACTCTCTCAAATTAAGCTGGGGCATTAGTGGCTACACCCTCCGGTTACGGGCAGTGCCTTTGGGTTTTTGAATGTGGCAGGCTCTGGAAAGTCAAGGTTTGGTACTTGAGACTCTGTTAGTACATTAGAGAAGGAGCTCAGAACCAAGGATGTGTAACCTGCCTAGGGCCACCAATAGGGGCTGTTCTGCCCCTTTTGTCTGGTAATCTCTCGGGGTGCTTTGATAGTGCTGGTGACATTGGGCACATGAGGGTCTCCTGACCCATACACAGAACCACATTTCTCCATACGAGCACCCTAACTTGAGGCCCCTTTGCTTTCTGGCCTATTCTTTTTTTTTTTTTTTGAGACGGAGTCTTGCTCTGTTGCCAGGCTGGAGTGCGGTGGTGTGATCTTGGCTCACTGCAACCTCTGACTCTCAGTTTTAAGCGATTCTCCTGTCTCAGCCTCCTGAGTAGCTGGGACTATAGGTGCGTACCACCATGCCCAGCTAATTTTTGTATTTTGTATTTTATGGGGCTTCACCATATTGGCCAGGATGGTTTCGATTTCTTTTTTTTTTTTTTGAGATGGAGTCTCGCTCTGTCACCCAGGCTGGACTGCAGTGGCGGGATCTCGGCTCACTGCAACCTCTGCCTCCCAGGTTCATGCCATTCTCCTGCCTCAGCCTCCCAAGTAGCTGGGACTACAGGCGTCCGCCACTACGCCTGGCTAATTTTTTTTTTGTATTTTTTTTTAGTAGAGATGGGGTTTCACCGTGTTAGCCAGGATGGTCTTGATCTCCTGACCTCGTGATCCGCCTGCCTCGGCCTCCCAAAGTGCTGGGATTACAGGCGTGAGCCACGGTGCCTGGTCTAGCCTATATTTTTTGAATAGTTCTAAGGCCCAGGTCACTCATCTCTGTAATGCCCTTCCTCTTAGTAGCAAATCTACACAGAATTGGGCTCAGTGGGTGACTGCATGGCTTCCTGGGGCAGGGGCGGGTATGGTTGCTTGCTGGAGGAGCAGCTTACACGTAGCAGCCAGTGTCATGATGGACTGAAGCTTGCTTTATTTATTTATTTACTTTTTTTTTTTTTTTTTGAGACGGAGTCTCACTCTGTTGCCCAGGCTGGAGTGCAGTGGTGTGATCATAACTCACTGCAGCCTCAAACTCTTGGGCACTAGCAATCCTCCTGCCTTGGCCTATCAAAGGCTGGTATTACAGGTGTGAGCCAGCACACCTGGCATTGACTATGGCCTTAAGTGGGCCGATTAGACTATGAAATAAAATTCCTAGCACTGAATATTAGCCCTCATTTCAGACCTAAATATCAGTTGTTGTTTTTCCTGAACCATCTTCCAAGGATCATTTTGTAACTGAGGTCCCAGAGTTCCCCTTTGATGTAGAGGCTGTTGATTTCTTTTCTGGGGCAGGTTCTGATAGCAACAAGATTGCCAGCCTGCTGAACTGTGGCTAAGGTATTAGATGTCAAGATGAAACTGTCCAGTGAGATTCCTGGAGCCCCTGGGAGGTCTAGGGTTGGGGGTACTGGTGACTAGCCCTTTCACCTGAGGGTAGGTGGCAGAGCTGGTACCTTCCTGCAGCCTCCAACAGCCATCTCAGCCCTGAGGCTGAAGACCTTGTCTCTTCTCTCCTTTTCATCACTTCCTACCAGAGCCCTGTGGGTGTAGGGACATCCTGCTGATGGAGCTTAAATTTAAAACGTCGAGCCCCATTGGCTCCTGTATCTTATGCAGCAGTTCTTAAAAGTGCCCATAGGCTTGCCAGCCCATGAAATATACCTTCCCTCTAAAAAGAAATTGGTAAAACTGGGCCGGGCATAGTGGCTCACACCTGTAATCCCAGCACTTTGGGAGGCCGAGGTGGGTGGATCACGAGGTCAGGAGATCAAGACCAGCCTGGCTAACATGGTGAAACCCTGTCTCTACTAAAGATACAAAAAATTAGCCAGGCGTGGTCGCACACGCCTACAGTCCCAGCTACTTGGGAGGCTGAGGCAGGAGAATCGCTTCAACCCGGGAGGCAGAGGTTGCAGTGAGCCGAGATTGCGCCAATGCACTCCAGCCTGGGCGACAGAGCGAGACTCTGTCTCAAAAAAAAAAAAAAAGAAATAAATTGGTAAAACTGGCCAGGCTCTGTGGCTTATGCCTGTAATCACAGCACTTTGGGAGGCTGAGGTGGGTGGATCATGAGGTCAAGAGTTTGAGACCAGCCTGGTCAACATGATGAGACCCCGTCTCTACTAAAAATACAAAAATTAGCCAGGCATGGTGGCGAGTGCCTGTAATCCCAGCAGCTCAGGAGGCTGAGGCAGGAGAATTGCTTGAATCTGGGAGGCGGAGGTTGCAGTGAGCCAAGACTGTGCCACTGCACTCCAGCCTAGGCAACAGATTGAGGCTCCATCTCAAAAAATAAAAAAATAAAAAATTGGTAAAAGTAGAAACAGTTGGGTCCTTCTTCACTCTTGTCATTTGCTGTGGGCTAAGTGCGGGACTTCTGGCCCCAATGTGAGGCCAGAATACTCTTATGCTGCCCATTGTGCTCTGTGCCAGGGCCTCCCTTGTCTCATCGGGAAAAGCCAGATGCGGTCCTTGCTGGTTTGCAGGGCCATAGGGGTGTTCTTGGTGTCTCTGTGTATGTGTGTGTGGTAAAATATATGTAACATAAAATATGCCATTTTATCCATTTTCAGTGTGTAATTCAGTGGTATTAATTGCATCCACAATGTTGTGCAACCATCACCATATCACTGTCTATTTCTAGAACTTTTCCATCACCCCAAACAGAAACTCTGTACCCATTAAGCAGTAATTCTCCATTTCTCCTTCCTCCTAGTCCCTGTTAACCTCTGATCTACTTTCTGTTTCTATGAATTTGCTTATTCTTGATAGTTCATGTAAGGGGAATCCTACAATATTGGTCCTTTTGTGTCTGACCCATTTCACATAGCATTATGTTTTCAAGGTTTATCTGTGTTGTGGCATGTTTCATAACTTCATTTCTTCTTCTTCTTTTTTTTTTTTAATTTGAGACAGAGTCTCATTCTGTCACCCAGGCTGGAGTGCAGTGGTGCGATCTCGGCTCACTGCAACCTCCGCCTCCCAGGTTCAGCAATTCTCCTGCCTCAGCCTCCCGAGTAGCTGGGATTACAGGTGTGCACCACCACGCCCAGCCAATTTTTGTATTTTTAGTAGAGATGGGATTTCGCCATGTTGGTCAGATTGATCTTGAACTCCTGACCTCGTGATCCGCCTGTCTTGGCCTCCCAAAGTGCTGGGATTACAGGTGTGAGCCACTGCGCCCAGTCCATTTCTTCTTATTTATTTATTTAGTTGTTTTTAAGATATATGGTTGTCTGGGCATGGTGGCTCATGCCTGTAATCCCAGCACTTTGGGAGACTGAGATGGGTGGATCACCTGAGGTCATGAGTTTGAGACCAGCCTGACCAACATGGTGAAACCCCGTCTCTACTAAAAATACAAAAAATTAGCCAGGCGTGGTGGTGTGTGCCTATAATCCCAGCTACTTGGGAGGCTGAGGCAGGATAATCACTTGAATCCAGGAGGTGGAGGTTGCAGCAAGCCGAGATGGTGCCATTGCACTCCAGCCTAGGCAACAGAGTGAGACTCCATCTCAAAAAAAAAAGAAATATGGTCTTGTTCTGTTGCCCAGACTGGAGTGCAGTGGCACAATCATGGCTCACTGTATCCTTGAGCTCCTAGGCTCAAGAAATCCTCTAGCCACAGCCTCCTGAGTAGTAGCTAGGATTGCAGGCATATGCCACCATGCCTGGGTACATTTTTTTTTTTTTTTGAGATGGAGTCTTATTCTGGTGCCCAGGCTGGAGTGCAGTGGCATGATCTTGGCTCACTGCAACCTCTACCTCCCAGGTTCAAGCTATTCCCCTGCCTCAGCCTCCTGACTAGCTGAGACTACAGGCGTGCACCACCACACCTGGCTAAATTTTGTATTTTTAGTAGAGATGGCATTTCACCATATTGGCCAGGCTGGTCTTGAATTCTTGACCTCAAGTAATCTGCCCGCCTCAGCCTCCCAAAGTGCTGGGATTATAGGCGTGAGCCACTGTGCCCGGCCTGCCTGGATAATTTTTTTTTTTTCCTCTTTTGAGACGGAGTCTCACTCTGTTGCCCAGGCTGGAGTGCAGTGGTGTGATCTTGGCTCACTGCAGCCTCCACCTCGGTTCAAGCTATTCCCCTGCCTCAGCCTCCCAAGTAGCTGGGACTATAGGCGTGTGCCACCACACCTGGCTAATTTTTGTATTTTCAGTAGAGATGGAGTTCACCATGTTGGCCAGGCTGGTCTCGAACTCCTGACCTCAAGAGATCTGCCCGTCTCGGCCTCCCAAAGTGCTGGAATTATAGGTGTGAGCCACTGTGCGCGTCCTGCCTGACTAATTTAAAAAAAAATTTTGGGGGCAGGAGCGGTGGCTCATGCCTGTAATCCCAGCACTTTGGGAGGCCAAGGCAGGCAGATCACGAGGTCAGGAGATCAAGACCATCCTGGTTATATGTTGAAACACCGTCTTTACTAAAAATACAAAAAAAAGGGCTGGGCGCGCTGGCTCACGCTGTAATCCCAGCACTTTGGGAGGCCGAGGCGGGTGGATCACGAGGTCAGGAGATCGAGACCATCCTGGCTAACATGGTGAAACCCCCTCTCTACTAAAAAAATACAACAAAAAATTAGCCGGGCATGGTGGCGGGCGCCTATAGTCCCAGCTACTCGAGAGGCTGAGGCAGGAGAATGGTGTGAACCTGGGAGGCGGAGCTTGCATTGAGCCGAGATCGCACCACTGCACTCCAGCCTGGGCGACAGAGCAAGACTCTGTCTCAAAAGAAAAAAAAATTTGTAGAGGCCAGGCGTGGCTCTACAGGCTGACAGAGTGAGACTCTATCTCAATCAATCAATCAGTCAGTCAATCAAAGTTCCAGCTACTTGAGAGGCTGAAGCAAGAGGATTGCTTGAGCTCAGGACTACAGGCTCACGCCTGTAATCCCAGCACTTTGGGAGGCTGAGGCGGGTGGATCATGAGGTCAAGAGATCAAGACCATCCTGGACAACATGGTGAAACCCAGTCTCTACTAAAAATAAAAAAATTAGCTGAGTGTGTTGGCATGTGCCTGTAGTCACAGCTACTCGGGAGGCTGAAGCTGGAGAATCACTTGAGCCCAGGAGGTGGAGGTTGCAGTGAGCCAAGATCGCACCACTGCACTCCAACCTGGGCAACAGGCGAGACTCCATCTCAAAAAAAAATTTTTTTTTTTCTAGAGACAGAATCTCGCTATGTTACCCAGGCTGGTCTTGACACCGGGCCTCAAGTGATCCTCTTGCCTCAGCCTCCCAACGTGCTGGGATTACAGGCATGTGCCACCATACCCAGCCTAGAACTTCATTCCTTTTTATGGCTGAATAATATTCTGTTGTACTTATATATACATCACATTTTGTTTATCCATTCTTCTGTTGATGGACGCTTAGGTTGCTTTCACCTTTTGGTTATTGTGAATAATGCTGCAGCAAACATTGGTGTACATAGTGTTTGAGTTCCTATTTTCAGTTCTTTTGGGTGTTCACCTAAGAATGGTATTGCTGGGTCATATGATAATTTTTATTTAACTTTTTTGGGTAACTACCGAACTTTTCCATAGTGGCTGCACCATTTTACATCCCCACCAGCAGTGTGTGAAGGCTCCAATTTCTTTACATCCTTGCCAACATTTATTTTATTTCTTTCTTCATTTTTTTATTTTTTAAAGCCTTGCTGTCTTGCCTAGTCTGGTCTTGAACTCCTGAGCTCAAGCAATCCTCTTGCTTCAGCCTCTCAAGTAGCTGGAACTTTGATTGATTGATTGATTGATTGATTGAGATAGAGTCTCACTCTGTCACCCAGGCTAGAGTGCACTGGCGCTATCTCAGCTCATTGGAACTTTTGCCTCCCGGGTTCAAGTGATTCTCCCACCTCAGCCTCCTGAGTAGCTGAGATCACAGGCATGTGCCACCACGCCTGGCTAATTTTTGTATTTTTAGTAGAGACAGGGTTTCACCATGTTGGCCAGGTTGGTCTCAAACTCCTGACCTCAAGTAATCTGCCTGCCTTGGCCTCCCAAAGTGCTGGAATTACAGGTGTGAGCCACCATGCCTGGCCTATTTATTCTATTTTTTCGTTGTTGTTTTTGAGATGGAGTCTAGCTCTATCCCCCAGGCTGGAGTGCAATGGCTTGATCTGGGCTCACTTCAACCACCACCTCCCTGGTTCAAGTGATTCTCATGTCTCAGCCTCCTGAGTAGCTGGAATAACAGGTGTGTACCACTACGCCTGGCTGATTTTTGTATTTTTAGTAGAGACAGGTTTCACCAAGTTGGCCAGGCTGTCCTCGAACTCCTGACCTTAACTGATCTGCCCGCCTCGGCCTCCCAAAGTGCTGAAATTTCAGGCGTGAGCCACTGCACTTGACCTGGAACTTTTAAATTATAGCTATTCTAGGTATGAAGTGGTAACTCATTGTGGTTTTGATTTGCATTTCCTAATGACTAGTGATGTTGAGGATCTTGTTATGTGCTTATTGTATGTGGCTATCTGTATAGATTCTTTGGAGAAATGTCTGTTCAAGTCCTTTGCCTGTTTGGGTTGTTTGTCTTTCTGTTGTTGAGTTATAGGAATTCTTTATTTTTGATATTAAACCCTTATCAGATCTATGATTTGCAAATACTTTTTCCTATTCCATTGATTGTCTTTTCACTCTCTTATTTTTTATTTTTATTTTTATTTTTTTCAGATGGATTTTTGCTCTGTCGCACAGGCTGGAGTGCAGTGGTGCAATCTTGGCTCACTGCAGACTTAACCTCCTGGGCTCAAGTGATCCTTCCACCTCAGCATCCCAAGTAGCTGGGACTACAGGTGCATGCCACCATGACTGGCTAAATTTTAAATTTTTTGTAGAGATGGGGTCTTGCCATGTTGCCTAGGCTGGTCTTGAACTCCTGGGCTCAAGCAGTCCTCCTGCCTCCACAGCCTCCCAAAGCACTGGTATTACAGATGTGAGCTACCATGCCTGGCCTCTTGATGATGTCTTTTTTTTTTTTTAATTATTATTATTTTTTTTGAGATGGAGTCTCGCTCTGATCTCCGCTCACTGCAAGCTCCGCCTCCCAAGTTAACGCCATTCTCCTGCCTCAGCCTCCCGAGTAGCTGGGACTACAGGCGCCTGCCACCATGCTCGGCTAATTTTTTGTATTTTTAGTAGAGACGGGGTTTCACCGTTTTAGCCAGGATGGTCTCGATCTCCTGACCTTGTGATCCACCACCTTGGCTTCCCAAAGTGTTGGGATTATAGGCGTGAGCCACTGTGCCTGGCTTTTTTTTTTTTTTTGAGATGGAGTCTCACTCACTCTGTTTCCTAGGCAGGAGTGCAGTGGTGTGATCTCAGCTCACTGCAACCTTTGCCTCCCGGGTTCAAGTGATTCTCCTGCCTCAGCCTCCTGAGTAGCTGGAATTACAGGCATGGACCACCATACCTGGCTAATTTTTGTATTTTTAGTGGAGACGGGGTTTTGCCATGTCGACCAGGCTGGTCTCGAACACCTGACCTCAAGTGGTCCGCCTGCCTCAGCCTCTCAAAGTGCTGGGATTATAGGCATGAGCCCCGATGATGTCTTTTGATGCACAGAAGTTTTAATATTAATTAAGTCCAATTCATGTATTTTTCTTTTTGTTCATCCTTTTTGTATCATCTCTAAATCCATTGTGAAATCAAAGGTCATGAAGATTTACCCTTACGCTTTCTTCTAAGAATTTTATGGTTTTGGCTCTTTCCTTTTTATTTTAGTTTTTCCCTTCCTTCCCTCCCTCCCTTCTTTCTTTCTTTCTTTTTTATTTATTTATTTATTTTTGAGACCGACTCTCGATCTGTCACCCAGGATGGAATGCAGTGGCACGATCTCGGCTCACTGCAACCTCCTCTTCCAGGGTTCCAGTGATTCTCCTGCCTCAGCCTCCCGAGTAGCTAGGATTATAGGCACCTGCCACCACGCCTGGCTACTTTTTTTGTATTTTTAGTAGAGATGGGGTTTCACCATGTTGGCCAGGTTGGTCTCAAACTTCTGACCTCAGGTGATCTGCCCGCCTCGGCCTCCCAAAGTGCTGGGATTACAGGCGTGAGCCACCGCACCCAGCCTATTTTTTTTTTTTTAAGTGCTACTGGGCCAGTGCCAGATTTTTGGCCCAGGGCCTTACCTCTTATATTTAGATCATTTTCTTTTCTTTTCTTTTTCTTTTTTTTTTTTAGATGGAGTTTCGCTCTTGTCACCCAGGCTGGAGTGCAATGGCTCAATCTCGGCTTACTGCAACCTCCGCCTCCCGGGTTCAAGCGATTTTCCTGCCTCAGCCTCCCGAGTAGCCGGGATTACAGGCATACACCACCAAGCTAGGTTAATTTTTTTTTTTTTGGGATGGAGTTTCACTCTTGTGGCCCAGGCTGGAGCGCAATGACTCGATCTTGGCTCACCGCAACCTTCACCTCCCAGGTCCAAATGATTCTCCTGCCTCAGCCTCCAGAGTAGCTGGGATTAGAGGCATGGGCCACCACGCCCGGCTAATTTTGTATTTTTAGTAGAGACGGGGTTTCTCCATGTTGGTCAGGCTGGTCTCAAACTCCCAACCTCAGGTGATCCTCCCGCCTTGGCCTCCCAAAGTGCTGGGATTACAGGCGTGAGCCACCAGGCCTGGCCTAATTTTGTATTTTTAGTAGAGATAGGGTTTCACCATGTTGGTCAGGCTGGTTTCAAACTCCTGACCTCAAATGATCCACCCGCCTTGGGCTCCCAAAATACTGGAATTAACAAGCGTGAGCCACCTCTCCCGGCCTCCACCTGATTTTCTTATGTTGAACCATCCTTGCCTTTCTGGGATAAATCCCATTAGGTTGTGGTATATAATCCTTTTAATACACTGTTGGATTTGGTCTGCTACTATTCTATTAAGGATTTTTGCATCTATATTCATCTATATTGCTCTATAACTTTCTTTTCCTTTGATGTCTTTTTTTTTTTTTTTTTTTTGAGACGGAGTCTCTCTCTCTGTCACTCAGGCTGGAGTGCAGTGGCGCCATCTTGGCTCACTGCAACCTCCACCTTCCAGGTTCAAACACTTCTCTGCCTCAGTCTCCCGAGTAGCTGGGATTATAGACACCCGTCAGCACGCCCGGCTAATTTTTTTGTATTTTTAGTAGAGATGGGGTTTTACCATCTTGGCTAGGCTGGTCTTGAACTCCTGACCTTGTGATCCACCTGCCTTGGCCTCCCAAAGTGCTGGGATTATAGGCGTGAGCCACCGCACTCAGCCTGATGTCTTCTTAGTGGCTTTTTGATTGCTGTTCCAGGGTCTTCCTCATCTTGGGTTTGCATCTGGGCACTGCACATTTACAATGTGCACAGACATTTTTCTGTGAAGAATTGAAGTCTAGGTCAAAGCTGGGAAGGAGCTTAGGAGCCTTTGGTTTAACCTTTCCTCCTCTAATAAGGAACCTGATATGTGGGTTGAAATCTAAGACCCATAGTCTTGAATTAGGCTGGAGTGTCTGAGACCAGCCTTTTAGAGTCAAGGGTGTTGTGTTTGGAGCCCTGCTGTGAAGTGTTCTTGTCACCTCAGAACTCTTCAGGAGGCAGGAGGGGAAGTCAGACTTGTTGCCAAAGGGGTTCTCTGTGCAGGGTTCTCAAACTTGTTATCAGGACTGGGTGGTAGAGTACAGTAAAGGGGTCGTCTCCTTCCCGTGGCCTTGTACATATCTGGGAGGTGTGAGAGTCAGGTGGCCCTGGTTTCTAAAGTTCTGTCCTCTGTCCACCACCAGGCCTGCCTGGGTCGCAGAAGAAACTCTAGTCAGTTGGAGCTGTGCCAAATCTGTCTCACTGCAGCAGGGTCTCCTGCGTGTGTGCTCTGTGCCCAGCTTGGGACATACTAGGTGCCATGTGAGCCGGAACCTCAGGGCCTCTGCTCAGCAAGGATTTTGACTGTTTCTGAAGCTGTACTGTTGTGATGCAGCCTCTGCCCTTCTGTCAAGACTCGGGGTGCTAGGTGGACCAAGGAGCTGACTGTGAAAGCCACGTTCCCTAATGTGTCCCCCATCACTGAAATGTCCTGGGGTGATCCAGAGAGAGTCTGATGAGTGAGAGCCAAAAACCTCTGCAGTATGTAGCCATTACTCTTAAAAGTGGCTTTTAAGAGATGGCTCTTAAAAGTGGCTTTTAAGAGATGGCTCTTAAAAGTGGCTTTTAAGAGATGGCTCTTAAAAGTGGCTTTTAAGAGATGGCTCTTAAAAGTGGCTTTTAAGAGATGGCTCTTAAAAGTGATTTTTGGCCCAGCACGGTGGCTTATGCCTGTAATCCCAGCACTTTGGGAAGCCGAGCTGGGCGGATTACATGAGGTCAGGAGTTGACCAGCCTGGCCAACATATAGTGAAACCCCATCTCTACTGAAAAATACAAAAATTAGCTGGGTGTGGTAGCGCACGCCTTGTAGTCCCAGCTACTTGGGAAGTTGATGCAGGAGAATTGCCTGAACCTGGGAGGCAGAGGTTGCAGTGAGCCAAGATCGCGGCACTGCACTCCAGCCTGGGTGACAGAGCAAGACTTCGTCTCTAAAAAAATAATAAAATAAAATAAAATATAAAATAAAATAATTGGCTGGGTACGGTGGCTCACACTTGTAATCCAAGCATTTTGGGAGGCCAAGGCAGGCTGATCGCTTGAGCTCAGGGGTTCAAGACTAGCCTAGGCAACAGGGCAAATCCCCATCTCTAAACTACCCAGGTGTGGTGGCACTCACCTATGGTCCCAGCTATTCAGGGGGCTGATGTGGGAGGATGGCTTGAGCCTGGGAGGCAGAGGTTGCAGTGAGCAAGGTCTCACCATTGCACTCCAGCTTGGGAGACAGAGTGAGACCCTGTCTCAAATAAAAACTAAAAATAGAAATTAAAATTTAAAAATTGTAAAAAGTAATTTGTGTTAGTTGTAGAAAATCTGGAAAAGCAAAGAGAAAAAGGAATCCAAGAGGACTGGACTGTGCTTGCAGCTCTCCACATGACTGCAGGGTTTCAGCAGACTTGAGCTCGGGTGGCAGGGCTGGGTGGACCCCCTTGCTCGGGTGGCAGCATGGACCCCCTGCCAGTTGCAGTGGATAGTGGGAGCTTCTGGGTGGATTTGTGAGTGTGGACACCTGTGGGCCTTTGCTGCCTGCTTCCAGGTGCGGTTGCTTCTTCTCTATCTTGTGTTCTGGTGGATCTCGACTCCACTTGTCCCAAGCAGTGCCTATTTGCTGCCCTCTTCTCTCTTGAGCTAGATAGGGCAGAATAGCTGTTCTCGTATCTCCACCTTGCATTGTGGTTTTGGCAGGCAACGGTAGGAACTGAGAAGTTACAGGCCTACTCATGGCCTCACTGCCACGAAGAGCTTGTCTGTTGCCTCTCTGTGCTTCCTGTCTCACCTCTCTGGCATGATATTTCTTCTCCACTTTGCTGCCATATAGAAGAAAGGAGTAAATCAGATGGCTTTACCTTACTTTCACCTGTGTCATAGCGTAAATAATTCCCTCTCCCCAGCTCCTGAAATATATCCTGCAGTTAGAAAAGAAGGCCCTGGTAGAGAAGTGTTGGGAGCTAAGCTGCTCTATCTATTCTAGTCACCTGCTCCGGGAGTAAAAGCCCTTGTTGCCGCCCTCCCTCCCAGGCTGACCCAGGCAGGTTGTATCTGTGAGTGTTTCTAGCATAGCCTGGCCCATTACCAACAAGGAAGCAAATATTCACCTCCTTTCTCCTTGGTAATCTCAAGTAAACAGGTGTTTGTTTTAGATGTCCTGAGATCCAGGCCTTCCAGAATGGCCTCATTTCCTTACCAGATCCTGATGCTGGAAGATCCTCCAGTGTATGAATGAATGGACAAAGTGGGGTTGTCCCATCATCCACCTTCAGCCTCCGGCACTGCGCTCAGGTGCTCGTTTGTCTGATCCTGTTGAATGGCTGCTTTGGGGGCTCTCCAGCCTCAAGGTAATAGCTGATAAAGCAGGCTCTGAGAGCACATGGGACATGCCAGTGGGCATGTGTTGAACTCAGTGGCAGAGGTGAGATTGGAGTCTAGGATTGTAAACTGTGTTTGCTCCTTGGAGCTGTGTTCTGAGATGTGTGTGCGTGGCATCAATGCCAGGGCTAGAGAGCACAGCTGGAGAATGGCTGCTGCTAACTCTGACTGAGCACTTTGGCTCCAGTATTTCCAAGTGGGTCTCAGAGAATTGACCTTTCCTTGGTGCCTGGTTGTGCTGGGCAGTGTCTTGGGCTTCTCTAGCTCCTCCCCCACCCAATAAATTAACTGTGTTCTAAAGAGCACTTGCCTGTCTCCACATCATCCCACTGCTCCTGTCCCACCCTTGTCATCTTCCATGGGAATGACTCTGGAAGTGTCCAGTTTTGGTTCTTCAATCCATTTTTCAAATATCAGCTGTTTGATCAGCTGTACCCTTTCTTTTTTTTAGAGACAGAGGTGGTCTTGTTATGTTGTCTAGGCTGGTCTTGCACTCCTGGCTTCCAATGATCTTCCCGCCTTGGCCTCCCAAGTAGCTGGGATTATAGGCTGAAGCCACCATCCCCAGCTTAGCCCCTTCTGTGGCTTCCCATTTACCTCTCATGAAGTTCAGACTCCTTAAGCTAGCATGCAGGCTGTGCATGCACAGCCCATTTCCAGATCCAGCTGTCTGTCTTTCTAGGTCTGCCCAGACTGTAACCCAGTCATACTAAACTTCTCTTAGTTCCCCAACCACGTGGCTGCTTTCTTGCCTCTATGCCTTTTCACATTCTGCTGTGTTTTTTTGTTTGTTTGTTTGTTTTTTGAGACGGAGTCTAGCTTTGTTGCCAGGCTGGAGTGCAATGGCGCAATCTCGGCTCACTGCATTCTCCGCCTCCCGGGTTCAAGTGATTGTCCTGCCTCAGCCTCACGAGTAGCTGGGACTACAGGCACCCGCCACCACGCCCGGCTAATTTTTTTATTTTTAGTAGAGATGGGGTTTCACTATGTTGGCCAGGATAGTCTGGATCTCTTGACCTCGTGATCCACCTGCCTTGGCCTCCCAAAGTGCTGGGATTACTGGCGTGAGCCACCGTGCCTGGCCCACATTCTGCTGTTTTTGAGTGGACCATGATCCTCTTTCTCCTGTCATTTACTTTACCAGGCCTTGGCTCAGCCTTCACTTCCTGAGGGAATTCCCCATTTTGAGTCAGCACACCTTGACTCTCTGGCTTGCCCTGACTTGACATTAGAACTGTTGGAGGGCAAGGATTGAGCCCAGGCCCCCACCCTTATGTCCCCAGCATCATACTGGGTACAGGGCATTTTTGTTGATGACATGAATGACTGGAAGAACCTCTATGAAAAGAAATTTATCACACCTGTTTTTACTGAATTACTCAACGTTAGCAAGGACCCAAGAGCTCCTAATAACTCAGCCATATTCAGGTGCCTGCAGAGATCAATAGAGGAAGGGTAGTGTCAGTGGCCTCCTATGGGGATTCTTCCTGTTCCATAGATGCAAAGATACTGCAGTATGTGTACAGGAGAATGAGTTTGAGGTTTTTGTTATGCCCTTTCCTTATTTATTTTTGTCTCATTCTTGGCAGCTCAAAGGGTACAAAGTGGTATCTCGCTGTGTTTTTTTTTTTTTTTCTTTGAGACAAGGTCTGGCTCTGTCACCCAGGCTGGAGTGCAGTAGTGCCATCTCGGCTCACTGCAACCTCCACCCACCCCAGGCTCAAGCCATCCTCCCACCTCAGCCTCCTGAGTAGCTGGGACTACAGGTGTGCACTACCATGTCTGGTTAATTTTTGTATTTTTGGTGGAAACAGGGTTTCACCATTTTGCCCAGGCTGATCTCGAACTCCTGGTCTCAAACAATCAGCCCTCCTTGGCCTCCCAAAGTGCTGGGATTACAGGCATGAGCCACTGCGCCCAGACTATTTTTATTTTATTTTTATTTTGAGACAGTGTCTCACTTTGTCACCCAGGCTCTGGAGTGCAATGGCGGGAGGCACTGCAGCCTCAACTTCCTGGGCCTCAAGCTGTGCTCCCATCTCAGCCTCTCAAGTAGCTGAGACTACAGAAAAGCACCACCACGCCCAGCTGATTTTTATATTTTTTGTAGAGATGGGGTTTTGCCATGTTGCTCAGGCTGGTCTTGAACTCCTGAGCTCAAGCAGTCCATCTGCCTCGGCCTCCCAAAGTGCTAGGATTATAGGCATGAGCCACTGTGCCTGCCCTCACTGTAGTTTTGATTTGCATTTCCGTAACGATAGTGATGGTGAGCATCTTTTCAGGTGCTTGCTGGCCACATGTACACCTTCTTTAGGGAAACATCTCAAGGCCTTTGCCACTCTCATTTTTTAGAGATGGGGTTTTGCTGTGTCGCCCAGGCTAGTCCCAAACTCCTGGGCTCAAGCGATCCTCCTGCCTCAGCCTCCCACATTGCTGGAACTACAGGTGCACATCACCATTCCTAGCTAAAAGTTTTAAAGTTTGATGAAGTTTACTTTATCTATGTTTTCTCTTGTTGCCTGTGCTTTTGTCCAAGAAATTATTGCCAAATCCAATGTCATGAAGCTTGCTATGTCTTTTCCTGAGAGTTGAAGTTTTAGCTCTTATGATTAGGTCTTTGATCCATTTTGAGTTGATTTTTATATATGGTGTAATATAAGCAAAAAACTTCTTTTTTTTTTTATTTTAGACAGAGTTTCGCTCTTGGTGCCTGGGCTGGAGTGCAGTGGCGCGATCTTGGCTTACTGCAACCTCCGCCTCCTGGGTTCAAGCGATTCTCCTGCTTCAGCCTCTCAAGTAGCTGTGATTACAGGCATGCGCCACTATGCCCAGCTAGTTTTGTATTTTTAGTAGCGACGGGGTTTCTCCACATAGGTCAGGCTGGTCTTGAACTCCCGACCTCAGGTGATCCACCCACTTTGGCCTCCTGAAGTGCTGGGATTACAGGCGTGAGCCACCGCACCTGGCCAAACTTTGTTCTTTTGTTTGTGATTATCCAGATGTCCCAGCGTTATTTGTTGAAAAAACTGTCATTTCCCCATCTAATGGTCTTAGCATCCTTGTTGAAATCAGTTGACTATACATGTGAGGGTTTATTTCTGGGATCTCTATTCTATTCCTTGGACTGTAGGTCTGTCTTTATGCGAGTCTTAAACTGATTTATTATTGTAGCTTTGTAGTAAGTTTTGAAATCAGAAAGTGTAAGCCCTCCAACTTTGTTCTTTTTAAGATTGTTTTGACTGTTTCTGTCCCTTGAGATTCCATATGGATTTTTCTATTTCTGTGGAAAACATCATTGGGATTTTGATAGGGATGGCCTTGAATCTGTATATCACTTTGGGTAGTATTGACATCTTAACAATAGTGAGTCTTCTAATCAGTGAACAGAGGATGTCTTTCCATTTATTTGTGTCTGTAATTTCCTTCATCAACATTTTATAGTTTTTAGTGTCTTTAGCCTCCTTGGTTAAGTTTTTTTACTTTTTTTTTCGTTTTGTTTTGAGATGGAGTCTCGCTTTGTCGCCCAGGCTGGAGTGCAGTGGCGCGATCTCGGCTCACTGCAAGCTCAGCCTCCTGGGTTCACGCCATTCTCCTGCCTCAGCCTCCCCCGTAGCTGGGACTACAGGCCCCCGCCACCATGCCCGGCTAAATTTTTGTATTTTTAGTAGAGACGGGGTTTTACCATGTTAGTCAGGATGGTCTCAATCTCCTGACCTTGTGATCTGCCCGCCTCAGCCTCCCAAAGTGCTGGGATTATAGGCGTGAGCCACCGCGCCCAGCCTACTTTATTTACTTTTAAGTATTTTTTTTCTTTTTTTTGGGTGGGGGACGGAGTTTCGCTCTTGTACCCCAGGCTAGAGTGCAATGCTGCGGTATTGGCTCACTGCAACTTCCACCTCCCGGGTTCCTGCAATTCTCCTGCCTCAGCCTCCCGAATAGCTGGGATTACAGGCATGCACCACCACGCCCGGCTAATTTTTGTATTTTTAGTAGAGATGGGTTTTCACCATGTTGGTCAGGCTGGTCTTGAACTCCTGACCTCGTGATCCACCTGCCTCAGCCTCCTAAAGTGCTAGGATTACAGGCGTGAGCCACCGTGCCCAGCTTAAGTATTTTATTCTTTTGATGCTATTGGAAATGGAATTGTTTTCTCAATTTTTTTTTGATTGTTCATTATAAGTGTGTAGCAATACAACTGAAAAGTGAGAAATAGAGTAACTTATTAGTTCTTTTTTTTTTTCTTTTTCTTTTTCTTTTTTTTTTTGAGACAAAGTCTTGCTCTGTCACCCAGGCTGGAGTGCAGTGGCTCGATCTCAGCTTATTGCCACTTCTGCCCCCAGGTTCATGTGATTCTCCTGCCTTGGCCTCCCAAGTAGCTGGGATTACAGGTGCCCACCACCACGCCCGGCTAATTTTTGTATTTTTAACAGAGACAGGGTTTCACCATGTTGGCCAGGCTGATCTTGAACTCCTGACCTCAGGTGATCTGCCTGTCTTAGCTCCCAAAGTGCTGGGATTACAGGCATGAGCCACCACACCTGGCCAATTCTTTTTTTTTTTTTTTTTTTTTTTTTGAGATGGAGTCCGTGTCTGTTGTCCGGGCTGGAGTGCAGTGGCCTGATCTCAGCTCAAAGCAACCTCTGTCTCCCAGGTTTAAGCGATTCTCCTGCCTCACCCTCCCAAGTAGCTGGGTTTACAGCCATGTTCCACCACACCCGGCTAATTTTTTTGTATTTTATTAGAGATTGGTTTTTACCATGTTGGTCAGGCTGGTCTTGAACCTCCTGACCTCAGGTGATCCGCCGACCTCAGCCTCCCAAAGTGCTGGGATTACAGGTGTGAGCTACCACACCCAGCCCTGCATCTGGCCAATTCTAATTTTTTTTTTTTTGAGATGGAGTCTTGCTCTGTCTCTCAGGCTGGAGTGCAGTGGTGTGATCTCGGCTCACTGCAAGCTCCGCCTCCCAGGTTCATGCCATTCTCCTGCCTCAGCCTCCTGAGTAGCTGGGACTACAGGCACCCACCACCATGCCTGGCTAATTTTTTGTATTTTTAGTAGAGACGGGGTTTCACCGTGTTGGCCAGGATGGTCTTGATCTCCTGACCTTGTGATCCGCTCGCCTGGGCCTCCCAAAGAGCTGGGATTACAGGTGTGAGCCACCGCGCCCGGCAAGTTTTTTGTTTTGTGCAATCTTTAGAGTTTCCCTTTCTTTTCTTTCCAGTTTTTTTTTTTTTTTTTTTTTTTAGACGGAGTCTCACTCTGTCACCCAGTGGCACAATCTTGCTTACTGCAGTCTTGATCTCCTGGGCTCAGGTGATCTTCCCACCTCAGTCTTCTAAGCAGCTGGAATTACAGGTGCACTTCACCATGCCCACCTAATTTTTTGTAGAGACAGGATATTGCCGTGTTGCCTAGGCTGGTCTCGAACTCTTGGGCTCAAGCGATCTTCCTGCTTCAGCCTCCCAAAGTTCTGGGATTACAGGCATGAGCCACCACACCTGGCAAGGTTTTCTACGTATGGGAACATGTCATCTGTGAACAGAGATAGTTTTCCTTTCCAATTTGGATGCCTTTCATTCCTTTTTCTTGTCTGATTGCATCATCTAGAACTCCCAATACTGTCTTGAATAGAAGTGGTGAAAGCAGGCATCTTAGATGAAAGGCTTTCAGTCTTCCACCATTGAGTATGATGTTAGCTGTGGGGTTTTTTTAAATTTATTTTTCGAAGCGGAGTCTCTCTTTGTCACCCAGACTGGAATGCAGTGGCCTGATCTTGGCTCACTGCAACCTCGGCCTCTAGGGTTCAAGCGATTCTCCTGCTTCAGCTCCCTGGTAGCTGGGATTACAGGCGTGTGCCACCACACCCTGCTAATTTTTGTATTTTTAGTAGAGACGGTGTTTCACCATGTTGGCCAGGCTGGTCTCGAACTCCTGACCTCAAGTGATCCACCCGCCTCAGCCTCCCAAGATGCTGGGATTACAGGTGTGAGCCACTGTGCCCAGCCAGGTTTTTCATATATGACCTTTGTTGTGTTAAGGTAGTTTCCTTTTATTCCTACTTTCTTGAGTGTTATTGACATGTAATTTAACATGCTATACAAGTCACCATTTAAAGTGTACAATTCGTGTTTTTTAGTGTATTCACAGGGTCTGCTTTGTTTCTCTCAGATTGGTTGGATGATAGTCTTTAAGTTTATGAAGAGTTTCTGGAAGATAGAAGAGTGCATCTTTTGGTAGCTTTAAAACACCATGCTTTTGGAAAAGACTTAATGTCACCCAGTATTTGAAGAGTGGGGGCTTATTCGCCTTGAACCCTGACTCAGCTGTGACCTCATTGGAATATGCAACCTGGGCTCCTGTGGGGCTGCTCCCTGTGTCATTGACACCTAGAGGTGGAATGGTGCCCAAATGTGGGTGTCAGCTTCCTCTGGCTGCTCTCCCCTTAGACAGTCCACTCAGATTCTCAAGTCGAGGCAGGGGTTTGTACAGAGGCTCCCGAGCCATCCACTAATAAACACCATCTTACCTGTGGAGCAGAGTCTGTAGGAAGGTGTTGAGGGCTAGCTGCTGGAGAAGGGAGAGGCGTCTCCTGTGGGGAGGCCTAAGCAAGTTGTGTTTTGAGCACAGGTGCTTTAGTGATTCCCCATTCCCATAGAATGTTGTGGAACCAGAGCCCTGTTGCAGCGACCAAGCATAACTCTTCTTGAGTGACCTTTGACCTCCCCGTTTGCACATGTGCTCCAAACATAAACCCTTACCTAGTGTCAGGAAGCCTATGTGCTGGGGATGGGATGACATGTGGTGTTGGGCATAGCCCCAGGCCCCTCTGAACAGGGCATGGTGAGTGGCTGTTGTCTAAATCAGGGAAAGCCCTGACTGTTGCACTTGTGCCTGTTGGACTGCTGACTGCAGGGCAGCTGGGGTCGTTTGCTGCTTGGTCAGCTGAGGTACTGAAGGAATGGAGACTGACTTTTGGCAGCCTCTGCCATGTAAAGTCAGGAAGCTGATTATTTGGGCTGCAGTTTTTCTGGAAAAATGTGCAAGTTTTAATCTAATGGGAATTCTGCCAGCAGGCTAAGACAGCTTCTGCTCCTGATGGTCCTTGAAGCTAGCCCCTCTGGCAGGAGGAGGCAGGCAGTTTGTGTGTTTCTGGGAATGACTGAGCAGTCCTGTCCAGCTACAGGCTATATTGGTTCATGTCTTTGACCTTTAAGGATCCAACTCTGTCTCAAATGCTGCTTAAAACAAAGCAGAAGACAAGTTCCCTTCGAACTATGAAACTCCCTCTTTGAAGTGCTGTTCCTTTTGCTTTGCTCCTTTCCCTTCTCTACCTTTTTCCCTAAGCCATGTGGGCCACGTTATCAGGGCCATATGCTGGGTTGTTTCCTTTCCTTGTTCCTGCCCAGCATGATTGGGATAGCTGATTTCAGAGGCAGGTGAGTAGGTCAGAGCCTTCCCTCCCTGCCTGACCCTTTATTTTGGTAGTAGAGGCTGCTCCCCCAAATATAGTGGTGCAGCAACCCAGAGAAAGGCAAAAGGGCATTTACTGCCAATAAAGGACTGGCAGGGGCAGTGTATTAGCCTTTTTTATATTACTATAAAGAAATACCTGAGACAGGGTAAAGAAAAGAAGGTTTATAAAGAAAAGAGGTTTAATTGGCTCACAATTCTACAGGCTTTACAGGAAGCATGGTGCCGGCAAAGGCCTGGAGAAGCTTACAGTCATAGTGGATGTTGACTAGGAGCCAGCATGTCACATGGCAACAACGGGAACAAGTTGGGGGGAGGTGCTATACTCTTTTAAACAACCAGATCTCGCAGGAACATAGAGCAAGAACTCGTTCATTACTGTGAGGACTGCCCCAAGACATTCATGAAGGATCTATCCCCATGATCTTAACACCTGCCACCAGGCCCCACCTCCAGCATTGGGTATTACATGTCTACATGAGATTTGGAGAGGACAAACATCGAAACCATATCATTCTACCCTGGCCCCCCAAATTTCATGTCTTTCTCACATTGCAGAATACAATCATCCCTTCCCACTAGTCCCCCAGAGTCTTAACTCATTCCAGCATTAACTTAAAAAGTCCCAAGTGCAAAGGTAAGATGGTATTTATTAGTAGATGGCCTGGGAGCCTCTGCCTCAACTTGAGAATCTGAGTGGATTGTCTAAGGGGAGAGCAGCCAGAGGAAGCTGACACCCACATTTGGGTGCCATTCTACCTCCAGGTGTCAATGACACAGGGAGCAGCCCCACAGGAGCCCAGGTTGCATACTCCAATGAGATCACAACTAAGTCAGGGTTCAAAGAGAATAAGCCCCACTCTTCAAAGAGTGGGAGGAGTGAGGGGGTCTCTGGGGGCCTCACACATCATTACTCCCAGCTTTGTGTGGTTTGGGAGGCCAATGTGAATGTATGCGGGGAAGGTAATGAATTTTGAGACCCAGAGAACAAGCTCGTTTGAGCAGTCTTGATTGATGATCCTATGTAGATCCAACTTGGCTTTACCATGTCCTGGTCTTTGGTGCAGACTGGGTTCTCCCTGTGGAACAATCGTGCATTGCTCTGTAAAGCACTACCTAGGATTGAGATGCTTTAGGCACATCTTAGGAATAGATTCTGTGCCTTAGCTACAGCCAGAATGCCAAAGGACTGGAAGCCATGAATTCATGACACTTTCCTCTGAAATTGAAGCCGGTGGTTCATAGTGACACAACACACGCAACTTTCTGTTTTCTCTAGCTGGGTGAGGCACTAAGATGCTTTCCATTAGCAAATCAAAATGTCAGGTTTCTCCAAGAACCATTAGTATGTTATAAGAGCCTCTACATTCATTGCTTTTCTCATTTTTCTGTCTTTTACCAATAAATGTTTGAGAAGGGAGACGCATGAGCATTTGCTAACCAAAAATTTTGTGTTTTTTTTTTTTTTTTTTTTGAAGTTACATGGGAATAGGACTCTCGGCTCAAGGCGTCAACATGAACAGACTTCCTGGTGAGTCACTGTTTAAGAGAACATTTGTTCTGCTCTCCTGATCCAATTGGGGTTGAGAGTCATGGTGGTAGCAGAGAGGCTGGGGAGGACTTTGTTTGCTAGCTGCCTACCTCAAGCCATGCTACTGGTTGGAGGATCCTGAAAGGTAGCCCTTGGGCCAGGATGGTGTGCATTTCCATTCCAAAAATTAATTGACAAGTGATTGTCATTAATGGAATTTGAACTGTTTGCCATCAAAGTCAACTGACCTGAGTTTGCTCCAGGTAGGGATACGCGTCAGTAGCCCTTGCTCCCATTGGCCTTGCTGAGCAGACTCAGGCATGTACTGGGAGGAAGACTGCTGCCAACCTTGGCTCCTTTGTTACTTCATCGTGTTAAAGATCAAAGTTTTTGGCCGGGCACAGCGGCTCACGCCTGTAATCCCACTTTGGGAGGCCGAGGTGGATGGATCACCTGAGGTCAGGAGTTCGAGACCAGCCTGGCCAACATGGTGAAACCCTGTCTCTACTAAAAATAAAAAATTAGTCGGGTGTGGTGGCACACACCTGTAGTCTCAGCTACTTGGGAGGCAGAGGCAGGAGAATCGCTTGAACCCGGGAGGTGGAGGTTGCAGTGAGCTGAGATTGCGCCACTGCACTCCAGCCTGAGCAACAGGGTGAGATTCCGTCTCAAAAAAAAAAATAAAATAAATAAAAAAGATCAAAGTTTTTAAGTGACCTCCCACGTGGAATGTGATTGAAGCAATTTCTTTTCTTTATTTTTTATTTATATATATATTTGAGACAGGGTCTCACTCTGTAACCCAGGCTGGAGTGCAGTGGCTCAGTCACAGTTTACTGCAGCCTCGACCTCCCAGACTCAGGTGATCCTCAGCCTTCCTAGTAGCTGGGACCACAGGAGCTCATCACCATGTCCAGCTAATTTTTTGTAATTTCTGTAGAGACAGAGTTCTGCCATTGCCCAGGCTGGTCTTGAACTCCTGGGCTCAAGCCATCAGCCTGCCTTGGCCTCCCTAAGTGTTGGGATAACAGGCGTGAGCCACTGCACCCAGCCTTATTTTTATCATCTATTATTTTTCTTTTGAGACAGGGTCTCGCTTTTCACCCAGGCTGGAGTGTAGTGGCGCGATCTTGGCACCACCTTCTCAACCTTCTGGTTGGCTCAACCTTCTGGGCTCAAGTTCTCCTCCCACCTCAGCCCCTCAAGTGGCTGGGATTATAGGCATGTGCTACCACACCTGGCTAATTTATAGGCATGTGCTACCACACCTGGCTAATTTCAGCTATTTTCTGCCCAGCAGCTCATACCTAGACCTGGACTGGCTGCAACTGGGGAGACAGAGCTTCTGCCGTGAACTGATGGGTTCCAGAAAATGGTCTTAAGTCCATTGGTCCCTTGAATCAGCAGAAGTGACATGATCCAGGCTTCCCTGACACGTCATGGGGTCAGGAAAAGTCCTTGTGTTTTTTTCTTGGCCTCCTGCTCTTTGTGCCTATGACACAGAGAAGGCAGCTGGCTTTCCCCAAACAGGGAGTTACACTCAGACCTTACGTCTTTTCTAATCAATGTTTAATGTGAATCACTGATTTTTTTCTAGTAGACTGATTTCTAATACTTTCAATCTAGGATGCTTAGGATTCAACTAATTGTCAGGAATCTTACTTTTTTCCCCCTTTGATTGATCTGAGTGAAAACTGGTTTTTCATTGTTAATCAGAACGTGTGTGGCAGTTTTCTTTGCATACTGTGTGGCTGTGTTCTTTGTTATATGAGCATCTGGCCTTGGCTAAGTAGTTGTAGCTGTAGTATCTGTAGCTCTACCTCTTAATGTACAGGAAAAATAATTTCCTGTCAAGTGCAAACTGATTCTTAATTTTGTTTGTTTGTTCTAGGTGTGCTCTTTCAACTTTTGCACTGAGTTGGTAGTGGAGAAAAGAGACTTTTATGAGCTTTTTTTTGTTTTGTTTTTGGAGACAAGGTCTCATTCTGCTGCCCAGGCTGGAGTGCAGTGGCATGATCATGGCTCACTGCAGTCTTGACCTTCCATGCTCAAGTGATTCTCCCACCTCATTCTCCCCTTTAGCTGGCACTACAGATACAAGCTACCATACCCAGCTAATTTTTCATTTTTTGTAGAGGCGGGGTCTCACCGCATTGCCCCAGCTGGTCTCAAGCTGCTGCGTTCAAGCAGTCCTTCTGCCTCAGTCTCCCAAAGTATTAGGATTACTGGCATGAGCCAGCCTGCCTGGTAAGGACTCTTTTTTTTTTTTTTTTTTTTTTTTTTTTTTTGAGACGGAGTCTTGCTCTTTCGCCCAGGCTGGAGTGCAGTGGCGAGATCTCGGCTCACTGCAAGCTCTGCCTCCTGGGTTGGTGCCGTTCTCCTGCCTCAGCCTCCGGAGTAGCTGGGATTACAGGTGCCTGCCACCACGCCCGGCTCATTTTTTTGTATTTTTAATAGAAACGGGGTTTCACCATGTTAGCCAGGCTGGTTTCGATCTCTTAACCTCGTGGTCCGCCTGACTTGGCCTCCCAAAGTGCTGGGATTACAGGCGTGAGCCACTGCGCCCAGCACTTTTTTTTTTTTTTTTTTTGAGACAGGGTCTTGCTTCGTTTCCCAGGGTGGAGTGCAGTGGCACAAACACTGCTCACTGCAGTCTTAACCTGCTGGGCTCAAGCGATCCTCCCATCTCAGCCTCCTAAGTAGCTGGGACTATAAGTACATGCCACCACGCCCAGCTAGTTTTTTTGTATTTTTAATAAAGACAGGGTTTCACCAGGTTGCCCAGACTCGTCTAGAACTCCTGAGCTCAAGCAGTCCACCCATCTCGGCCTCCCAAAGTGCTGAGATTACAGGCATGAGCCACTGCTCCTGGCCGGGGACTCTTTAGGTACCAATTTGGAATCATCTGTAGGATATATTGGGAAATTAAAAATATAAAGCATGGAAATATATGATGTGCTACCAAATGTGCAAAAAAAAGAGAAAACAAACATATCTGTATTTACTTGTATATGTATAGATCATCTTTGGAAAGCTACAGAAAAACTTGTAATATTTGCTGTTCCTTGGGAAGGGATGGGTGGCGGGAGCCAGGACTGAGAAAGAAAAATTTTCACTCACAAGCCTTTGGAATTTTCTTTCTTGTGAATATGTTATCTGTTTTAAAAATATAAATGTAATTAAAACAAAATAAACCAAAGCAAATGGCCCTGTATCAGGAAATCCTCATGTTTGTCTTTTAGGTAGTCTTAGGATGTGGTCTGTTACGCCATGTGTTGGACTTAGTATCCTTTGCTTCATATGTTCTTTTTTTATTTAAAGACAGGGTCTCACTTTGTTGCCCAGGCTGGAGTGCAGTGGTGCAAACATGGCTCACTGCAGCCTCAACCTTGCAGGCTGAAGCGATTCTCCTGCCTCAGCCCCCGAAGTAGCTGGGACTACCGGCACATGCCACCATGCTCAGCTAGTTTTTGTATTTTTATTTTTATTTTTATTTTTATTTTTATTTTTTTTGAGACAGAGTCTCACTCTGTCACCCAGGCTTTAGTGAACTGGCACGATCTCGGCTCACCGCAACCTCCACCTCCCGGGTTCAAGCTATTCTCGTGCCTCAGCCTCCCCAGTAGTTGGGATTACAGGCGCACACCACCACGCCTGGCTAATTTTTTGTATTTTTAGTAGAGATGGGGTTTCGCCATGTTGCCCAGGCTGGTCTTGAACTCCTGAGCTCAGTCAGTCTGCCTGCCTCAGCCTCCCAAAGTAGTAAGATTACAACGTGAGGCACCACGCCCGGCCGTTTTTGTATTTTTTGTAGAGACAGGGTTTTGCCATGTTGCCCAGGCTAGTCTTGAAGTGAGCTCAAGCAGTCCACTCATCTCGGCCTCCCAAAGTGCTGGGATTACAAGTATGAGTCATCATGCCTAGCCGTATGTTCTTTTTTCTTTAATAAAAACCTTTTTTTTTTTTTTTGAGACAAGGTCTTGCCCTGTTGCCCAGGCTGGGGTTCAGTGACATGATATGGTTCACTGCAACTTTGACCTCCCAGGCTTAAGTGATCCTCTCACCTTAGTCTCCTGAGTAGCTGGGACTACAGGTGCACACCACCATGCCTGGTTAATTTTTAAAATTTTCTTGTAGAGGCAGGGCGCGGTGGCTCATGCCTGTAATCCCATCACTTTGGGAGGCCAAGGCGGGTGGATCACAAGGTCAGGAGATCAAGACCATCCTGGCTAACACGGTGAAATCCCATCTCTACTAAAAATACAAAAAATTAGCCGGGCGCGGTGGTGGGCGCCTGTACTCCCAGCTACTCGAGAGGCTGAGGCAGGAGAATGGCGTGAACCTGGGAGACAGAGCTTGCAGTGAGCTGAGGTAGCGCCCTAGCACTCCAGCCTGGGTGAAAGAGCGAGACGCCGTCTCAAAAAAAAAAAAAATTGTAGAGACAAGGTCTCCCTGTGTTGCCCAGGCAGGTCTCTAACTCCTGGGCTCAAGCAATCCTCTCATCTAGGCCTCCTAAAGTACTGGGATTATAGGCGCGAGTTACAGTGCCTGGCTTTTTTTTTTTTTTTTTTTTTTTTTTGAAACAGGGTCTCGCTGTTGCCCAGCTTGGAGTATAGTGGAGTGGTCACGGCTCACTGCAGCCCTGAATTCATAGGCTCAAATGATCTTCCTGCCTCAGCCTCCCAAGTAGCTGGGACTACAGGTGTATACCACCATGCCTGCCTAGTAAAAACTGTTTTTGTGTCACCCATTGAGTTTGAGATCCATGGAGTGGAGTAGACGAGGTGAGAGGTGTTCAGAGTCTGCTGGGCTGATCTGAGTCTCTTTGAGATGGGACCATATGGAGCCAGCCTAGTCTGTTTCTCTTTTTCACAATATGAGACTTAACCTCTCTGGGCTGGTCTGAAGCCAGCTACTGGTCATGTCCTTTGACATTGCTAATACAAAGCTGTAGGAAAATCTATTTTCCTCATGGGTGCACTTCTCTTTGGCAAGGGAAAGGGGCCTAACTGTTCAGTGGATATTGCACTTGTCTTTGTTTCACTCTGCCTGCCAACTCCTCAGGGTTTTCCTTCCTGCCATATCTGATCATCTCCCTGATTGTCTTTAAGGTGGAAAGGAGGAATCAGATTGCATCTAGATACCACTTCTCCCTGGGAAGGATGGATGCCCCTGGCTTTTCCAGAATACAGGGCTAGCTGAATGTCCGGTCAGATCCAGTACAGGGCAGGTGGGAGGATGGAGTAAAGGGCACCCCTCTCAGGGGTGATAGTGGGCCTTTTTGTTAGTTTGTGTTCCTGTCAAGGAATACCTGAGGCTGGATCATTTATAAAGAAAAGAGTTTTATTTGGCTCATGATTCAGGGCTGTACATGCCTAGCTCCAGCATCTGCTTCTGGTGAGGGCCTATGGAAGCTTAAAATTATGGTGGAATGGAAGGGGAGCTGGTATATCACATGGCTAGAGAGAGCAGTGTGGGGGCGGGGGGTACCAGACTCCTTTTCAAACAACCAGATCTCATGTGAACTAATTACCGCTGGGAGGGCACCAAGCCATTCATGAGGAATGCTAGTGTAACCCAAACACCTCCCACCCACCAGGCTCCATTCCATCATTGAGAATCACATTTCAACAGGAGATTTGGAGGGGACAAACATCCAAACTGTATCAGCTTGCCGTTATTCATTGCAGTACTGGGTTTTGAAGTCGGAATCCCTTTTGGTGCTTTCCAGTTTCTGGGATCACTTTTTTATTTCTGGTGATGAGCATACATTTTGCAAAACCGAAAGCATCATCATTCATAAACAGAGATGAAGGTCCTGGTATTTTGGTGGGGAGGTGGGATGGAAGACGACAGCAGCTAAAGCCTTTCTGCCAGCCGCTGCTGATTTCCAAGAGGCTCTTCGTTGAGATGCAGGTCAATTGGATGGTTCAGATGTGTGGTTGGTAGGAGGCAGTAGTGGTGGTGGCCTAGGCTGGGTCCAGATTTTGAGACTTTGGTGTTTGTTTATTTATTTATTTATCTGAGACAGGGTCTTACTCTGTCTCCCAGACTAGTGCAGTGGCACAGTCACAGCTCACTGCAGCCTCAACCTCCTGGGCCGAGTGCTCCTTCCACCTCAGCCTCCCAAGTAGCTGGTACTACAGGCACATGCCACCATGTCTGACTTATTTATTTATTTATTATAATTTATTTATTTAGATGGAGTCTTGCTGTGTTCCCCAGGCTGGAATGCAGTGGCGCGATCTCGGCTCACTGCAAGCTCCGCCTCCTGGGTTCACGCCATTCTCCTGCCTCAGCCTCTCGAGTAGCTGAGACTACAGGCGCCCACCACCACACCTGGCTACTTTTTTGTATTTTTAGTAGAGATGGGGTCTCACCGTGTTAGCCAGGATGGTCTCGATCTCCTGACCTCGTGATCCGCCCACCTCAGCCTCTCAAAGTGCTGGGACTACAGGCGTGAGCCACTGCACCCAGCCCCGACTAATTTATTTATTTATTTTTTTGAGATGGAGTTTTGCTCTTGTTGCCCAAGCTGGAGTGCAATGGCACAATCTCGGCTCATCGGCAACCTTCGCCTCCCGGGTTCAAGCGATTCTCCTGCCTCAGCCTCCCGAGTGGCTGGGATTACAAGCACGCACCACCACGCCCAGCTAATTTTGTATTTTTAGTAAAGACAGGGTTTCTCCATGTTGGTCAGGCTGGTCTCGAACTCCCAGCCTCAGGTGATTCACCTGCCTTGGCCTCCTAAAGTGCTGGGATTACAGGTGTGAGCTACTGCACCTGGCTAATTTATTTTTTAATGTTTTTTTTTTTTTTTTTTTTTTTTTTTTTGAGATGGAGTCTTGCTCTGTCACCCAGGTTGGAGTGCAGTGGTGCAATCTTGGCTCAGTGCAACCTCCGCCTCCTGGGCAAGTGATTCTCCTGCCTCAGCCTCCCAAAGTGCTGGGTTTACAGGCATGAGCCACTATGCCCATCTAAGTTTGCTGT
Source organism: Homo sapiens (assembly GCF_000001405.40). Taxonomy (NCBI): domain Eukaryota; kingdom Metazoa; phylum Chordata; class Mammalia; order Primates; family Hominidae; genus Homo; species Homo sapiens. The sequence continues at coordinate 67,765,043 of NC_000016.10, read as the reverse complement.
TTTGACCGGTACTTACACATCTTTGTGCAAAGTTCTTGTTTTTGCTTCTCGTACTATTTATGAGGAGTGTTAATGTTTTAATATAGTTAAGATGTTCAAGTTTATAGCCGTTACATTTTATTGGACTAGACTGTTTTTGGATTTCATTAGCAACATGCCTGTTTCTTTGATGGCCTTATCAATCAGACTTTTATTAAATGTTCCAAAATGTTCTACTGGCATTTCAGATTGATAATGTGTTGCATAAAATCTATGGATTAGTATGGGAAACCTCAATCTTACTGAAAATTTAGTCTTCCGAACCAGAAATGACATATGTCTGTTTATTTTTACATTGCTTTATTTAATTTATAGACAGGATCTCACTCTGTCCCCCATGCTGGGGTACAGTGGCACGATCATAGCTCACTGTGACAGGATTGACAAGCCCTATGGGAGGTGATTCAGCTGGACTTGGTGTCTTCACAGTAGATTATTAGACTGCAAGCTACGAGGAGTGTGCCTCTAGAGTGTTCCTGATAATTTGTTTTAAGAATGCTTTTATTAATAAAATGGCCTGGCAATGGCCATTTTATTACTATTTTTTTCTCTGTTCTGGCTTCTCGGTACAATGGCCATTTTAGATACTGAGTCTCAGTGTTGTTAGGAGCAAGTGGGCAGGATGTGAGTTAAGCGGCCCTTATCTGAGTCAGCCCAAGAAAAGAGGTTAACTTAGAAATTCTACCCTTGGCCTGCCCAGCCGCTGCTGTCTTAGAAGTACTTGGTCTTTAGCCTTTTATGAGCCCTCGGAAGAGAGGCTTGGGACGAAGGAGAGGCCCAAGTGTGGAACTAAGCCCCTTTTCTTCTGGGACCTGATCTGGTTGAGTGTTTGAAACCAACAAGAACTGATGAGACTGGCCTGAGAGAGCCTCTGCCTCTTTCTCTCTGAAGTAAGTGTTTCTTGAATATAGAGGATAATCTGCATCTCCCTGATTTCCACCTGTACATTGGACTGCTCTTTTCTCTGTTCCTCTTGGGTCTAGTTCCTGATTAAAATATCCAGTACTTGGTTGGACGCAGTGGCTCATGCCTGTAATCCCAGCACTTTGGGCGGCCGAGGCAGGAGAATCATTTGAGGTCAGAAGTTCAAGACTAGCCTGGCCAACATGGTGAAACCCTGTCTCTTCTAAATGTACAAAAAAATTAGCCGGGCGTGGTGGCGTGCGCCTACAGTCCTAGCTACTCGGGAGGCTGAGGCAGGAGAATCGCTTGAACCCAGGAGGCGGAGGTTGCAGTGAGCCAAGATGGAGCCACTGCACTCCAGCCTGGGCAACAGAGTGAGACTCTGTCTCAAACAAACAAACAAATAATCAGATACCTGAGTGAAGTGGGTTATGGGGGTGGTAGGGACAGGACTCACCTTCCTTGAGGGACCCAGAAGACTTGTGAGGCCTATGAATGATGGCTGTGCTTTGCCAGACCCTGAGAAAGCAGGGAAGGGGCAGCTGGTGCCCTCAGCAGGAGTATTCAAGCCACTCCGCTCATTGCACCCTGCCCTTGAGCAGATCCCACTTCCAGAAACCTGAGTTCTTTGCTCCAGGTCCAACAGAGGTGAACCCACTTGCCCCAGACTGGGGTTATTTTCCTGCAAAAACCGGATCCTCGTGTGTTCCCCATCTCTGCTGACAGCCACTGTCCACCTTGGCCCCCAGGTGGGACTCCTCAGAGTAATCTCATGTCCTCCCTCTCCCTCAGCCGTGGTTCTGCTGCTCCACAGATATCTCTTTAATCTGGCTTCTGTCTCCGCCCCATTGCCATGGCCTCTCCACTGGCAGTTTCCATGATCTGCGCCACAGGCCTCTGCTCTCCTCTCTGTATGCACTGTGCCCCTTCCCTGCTTTGGGCCTCTGACTCCTCTGCCCAGTGGACAGTCTCCTGCTCAGCCTCATTTTCCTATACCTCTGCCCTCTGCACATGCCACACACCAGCATGGCTGTGTAGGGTGCCAAACATGCTGCTGACACTCCCTGCTCTGCCCCTTGGCAGATGTCCTTCTTGCCCTGGGACTGCCCTTCCTCCTTGATCCCCACTCAACCTTGTCTGACCCCTTCAGCCCTGACCATGTCTGGGATGACACTTGCCACCCTGCCTGGTGTGTGTCTTTCACATTTACCCAGAGTGTCCTCACTGGATTGTGAGCTCCTTGGGACTCCCCCATAGTGAGCACAGCACCTGGCATCATGCACTTGGGCTTTGGGATGAGTTGTTTCTGCATTTTGCTGTGCTTTGCCTAAGTGTGTTGGGCTTCAGTAAATTGCATCAGGCTCCATCAGCCTGCGGCCTGCCTAGAGCTTGAAGCTGTCATTTGGAGCTCAGCCTCACCCCACTGCCCTAATCATTATGGCACTGATTGTGTGTAGGGGCTCTGCTACCACTTTCTACCTGGAGGAGTAGTGACTGCTCCCTTTTCTGTATGTCAGGACTAAGTGTCATTGAATCCACTCCTGACTCACATTTGGTCATATGGGGAAATAGACATCAAGGGCTGTGGTCAGCTGGTGGAGCAGAGCATGGATTCTGGAGCTATACCACCTGCATTTGCATCCTGGCGGCTGTGTTACCTGGAGTGAGTTACTTTACTGCTCTGCCTCATTTTCCCCCTCTGTAAATGAAAGTGATACTAGTATCTAACTCATATATAGGATGGTTATGAGGATTGAGTTAATTCCTGTAACATGCTTAGACTAGTGCCTGACACAGAAAAGGGGTACATAAATATTAGTTATTCTTACTTTTTAGAGATTGGGATCTCACTCTGTTGCCCAGGCTGGAGTACAGTAGCATGATCATAGCTCCCTTGTAACCTCAGACTCCTGGGCTCAAGTGATTTTCTTGCCTCAGCTTCCCGAGTAGCTGGAACTACAGGCACACAACCACCACATCTGGCTAATTTTTGTTTGTTTGTTTTTTATTTAGAGATGGGGTCTTGCTATGTTGCCCAGGCTGATCTTGAACTCCTGGCCTCAAGCAGTCCTCCTCCTTTGGCCTCCCAAAATGTTGGGATTACAGGTGTGAGCCACTATGCTCAGCTGTATTAGCTATTCTTATTATTGGGAAAAGGTGTGTGTTTTTTTTTTCTACCTGAAGAAGGAAGTACCTATATATTTAAAGTTCTTTTATAAATGTTTATGTATGTCCGGGCACGGTGGCTTACGCCTATAACTCCAGCACTTTGAGAGGCCGAGGCGGGCAGATCACTTGAGGTCAGGAGTTCGAGACCAGTCTGGCCAATGTGGTAAAACCCCGTCTCTACCAAAGATATAAAAAATTAGCTGGATGTGGTGGTATGCGCCTGTAGTCCCAGCTACTCAGGAGGCTGAGGCAGGAGAATTGCTTGAACCCAGGACGTGGAGGTTGCAGTGAGCCAAGATCGTGCCACTGCACTCCAGCCTGGGTGACAAAGTGAGACTCTGTCTCAAAAAAAATAAAAAATAAAAAATATATAAATGTTTATGTGTTAGAGTGGAGTTAGGTATCATTGAAACTACCTTTTCTCTCAAGTGCTTGGTCTTCTGTGTTTGAATAGGCGTGTTTAGTACGGTAGCTGTAGTCAAATTATAGAAAAAGATGGCACAGCAATCAAAGTCAAGATGTTGATGTTTTGAGTGTTTTCTTGTAGGTTGCACTGGCTCAGCAAGGACATCTTTGCCAGTAGAGCTGTTAGACGCAGAGGGCAGACACCCTGGGGTCTTGCTTGGAACCTGGGGCAGATGATAACAGAAAGTCCCTCTCCAGTGAGGCTGTGGTGCTCAGACTTTCCTGGGAGCCTATGGGCATGTCTTAGTTTGCATGGTCAGAGGTTTCTGCTGGAAGATGTGGAAGTTTTGATGTTTATCTTTTGCAAGGTGTTTTTTGGCCTTCTTAGGTGTGAAACCAAGGAACGGGTGTGGCCCCAAAATAAAAATGTCAGAACTCTTGGCTAAATGACTCGGAAGCAGGGCAGGTGAATCCAACTGCAGCCCCACCCTGGTGTCGGTGAGCTGGCAGGGAAGGGCAGAGGCCAGGGTACTGGACTGGGGAAGCAAGAAGACGAAGTCAGGGTTGTTGATGGAGAGAGTGGGGTTTGGGCGTCTCCCAGGCTTGGCACTTTAAGGGGGTGGGAGAAAGACAAATCTTGCTTCTGTGTCTTGTGCCTCAGCCAGAGCCAGGGAGACTCAGGCTGTGTTGATAGGAGGCCCAGCTGCATCAGAGCTGGGTAGTTGATAATTTCCTCCTTGCCATTTCTGTAGTGCAGGCAGCTGTTCGCTCGGTGTGACATACATTACCGTAGTTACTACAATGCCTCAAAGCAGCATCAGGCCCGTTGAAGCATACTTTCCTTGACTGTAACTGTTGGAAAAGGAATAGCTGGAAGAACTACAGCAGGGATTGGGGATAGGGGACATACCTCCTGAAACATGTGGTGCCTGGCAACCAGGCCCTGGCCTTTGTGGGAGGAGAGGTAGGGGCTGTCTGCTTTGCTTCCACAGGATGGTCCTGATCAAGTGAGCATCTTTCCTTCCCCTAGAGCTTACCTTACCAGGCTTGCTCTGAGTGAGCTGTTAGAGGCATAGGCCCAACAGGAAGCTGCTTCTGCTGGGTAGGACACGTTCTGCAAACAGCTGATATTTCACATCTGCGTGTGCCATGGAAGAGGAACCACTGATAGCAGAGATCAGGGCAGAACACCAGGGGTCTGTGCCAGGTTCACAAGGGCAGAGGCTAGTCCCTGCCTGAGTGGCAAGCAATGAAAAGAAATAACAAGGTGTTTGATATCGTTCCTCCCTGTCCTCCTAAGAGTACAGCACATCCAGTGAAAGATGTCTCTGTTTTGAGCAAATACCAGTAGCAGGTGGCTTTGTGCGGTTGCTGTCTTAGAGATTATTGGCATGTAGATGGGTTTCTTTTTTCTTTTTTTTTTTTTTTGAGACGGAGTCTCGCTCTGTCACCTAGGCTGGAGTGCAGTGGCATGATCTTGGCTCAGTGCAAGCTCTGCCTCCTGGGTTCACGCCATTCCCCTGCTTCAGCGTCCCGAGTAGCTGGGACTACAGGCGCCTGCCACCACACCCAGCTAATTTTTTGTATTTTTAGTAGAGATGGGGTTTCACTGTGTTAGCCAGGGTGGTCTCGATCTCCTGACCTCGTGATCCGCCCACCTCAGCCTCCCAAAGTGCTGGGATTACAGGCGTGAGCCACCTTGCCCGGCCCTGACGTAGGTGAGTTTCTAGTAGTCTGGAAATGCTGTTTGTCTATACCTGCCAAATAGGCACCACTTCTTTCCTGTTCCATATAGCCTGGGACCCATGTTACAGCTGACAGTCCCTGCAGTGTCCACCATTAACACCACCTCTCTCTGGAGCATCTTTCACCTTGGGATCTACAGTACTTCACAGGGGTCTGCTGTGGGGCAGCCAGGTCCCTCTGTGAGGGAAGCCATGCTTCTTCCGAGCTGGGTGAGTTGAGCCATCAGGGCCCACTATGCTTCTGGGTGTCACTCCTTCTGGGAACAAGCCTCTGCTCCCCTGGCATGATTGGGCACTCTGTCAGCCGGTGCCTGACTGAGGCTGGTAGGGGGAAGAAACCAACTGATTGTCACCCTGTAGTTCAAGCCTATAGGGTGCCTCCAGGCAGCCCTGCCTGGAAAAGGGCTCATGACACAGGAGGGTCTCTGAATTAGCTGGAGCAGCTGTTCAGCACCAGGGCTGTGGGAAGATAGGTTGGGTTTGTGTACCTGGTGCTGCCTTGCCCCTCTCTGCCTTTCTCATTCTGTTGTTTCTCGTTCCGAGAGACCCCTGGCACATGGCCTAGATGGGAGTGAAGGAGTAGACGTCCCAGGCCTTGTAGTTCTGAGCAGCAACAGGTTTTCCAGGGCCGTCCAGAACAGAGGGTGGTTTGGTATTTGGGCCCCAGAGGTACTTAGCTGGTGATTCAAGCGGTGGCTAATGGTGTAAGTGCTGCAGGACGCTGTGGTCCATGCTGAGAAGCTTGTTTCAGATAATTTGCTCTCTGCTTCCCTGCCACTCCTCCCTGGGCTGGCAGCACCCTCGGCCCTATGGCCAGCAAGTGCGTGTTCCTTTTCTGTGGGCCTCCTCCCTGACCCACAGGAGACCTGTATCACCCCGGCACACCAGGGCTGCTCAGCAGCCTTTTCAAGCGAGGCAGCTCAGCCAGACCTAAAAAGTCTTATTCTGGGCATGGGATTCCTCCTCTATACTGTCCTGTTTTCGTCTTCCAAATACTAGCCCCCAGCCTCTCTCACAGAAGTAAACATTCTAAGACTGGATTTTTCAGGGCAAGTTAAGTCCTTTGATAGAAAAGGTTTCATCGACAGCAGAGGGCCAGTTCTGAAACCTGAGTTTGTCAGTGTCTGAAAACAGAGATTCTCAATTGTACTGGGTGAGGCTGAGGCCACATTAGGGTGAAGCAGAGCGGAGACCAGTTCCCATTCAGTCCCCTGCCTTCCTAGTGCCAGCAGAGGATCTGTATCCCGAGACCCTGGGAATGTGGGGATGCCACTCCGGGAGCTCCTTTCGAGAAGGGGTTGGCCGTCGCTCAGGACCCAACGATGTACGCAGAGCCACAGGCATATGTTACCATAGGTCACCCATCCAATGACTTTCCCAGGAGGCTCAAAAGGAGCTCGGGGAAACAAGCAAAAGCTAAACCCAGCCCTAGAAGAGAGACACCTAGCCTGGCAAGCTGATGTTGCACCTCAGTTTTGCAGGATACTGCAACACCTTTCCTAGTTCAGTATGGGTTACAGAGCCAGCTTGTCCTGTCGGGACAAGGTGTTGGCAGGTAGTGCTGCCAGATGGACCAGATGCCATCTGAGCCATGTCCTATCCAGACCCAGCTAGACCCAGCCTGGCCCCCCTGGGCCGTTCCTGGCCATCAGGAATCTACTTCTTCTGAGTGGGGAGGGTGTGATCTGTGCAAGGCCCCTTTTTCTGCAGGTGCTAGCTGTATTGTTCCTTGCCCTGCCCATGACTTCAAGCTGACACCTGGGTCCTATCTCAGTGGAGGGCCTAGGTGCCCATGGGAAGGCATGCCCCACTTGGTGTCAGCCCCTGGTATCATCATCTACCTGTAGAGGTAGCCTTTTTCTCCTGCCCCCTTTACCATGGCTTCCATGCTGAGCTACCATGAAGAGAAGACCCTGCACCCAGGGCACTGCCAGACCTTCCTACCTGCAGTGCCAGAGGCATCACCTTATGGTTGCATTGGTCCTGTTCCTTGGTTCTAAAAGCTCAGGGGAACAGCCATGGGAGTGCTGTGACAGCGGTGTTCTCTGATGCCACCCCACAGCATTTGCTGAATGAAAAAAAATCTCTTTTGCTTTCCCATTATCCATTGTTGAGCTGCTCCAGGCCGTGGGTCCTGCCAGATTTTTTAAGATAGTTGAGGTTATGGGGACAGCATCTGTCTGCTGGATTTCTGGAGAGTGATGGCTCTGTGTGAGTGACCACCCTTGTGGAGCAGCCCTGCCATGATGTCCCGCAATGTACCTGGACACGGCCCCATGCTCAGGAAGCACTCTGGCCAAGCCAGCGCAGCACTCATCCCTCCACAGCCAGCCTCAAGAGTGACATTCTGAGAGCCACTGGGCATGGCTGTTGAACCCTGCCTGGCGCTGCAAGGGTTAGATTGCTTCCCCAGGAGGCCAGAAACAAGAATGGAGCAGGTCTGGGGCTGCCGTCGGTGGCCATTCATTAGGAGAGGGGCTAGTCACCAGCTCCACCCCTACCCGCTCCCTTTGGGCAGAAGGGAGCAGAACATGTGAAGTGCCCAGACTCTACTGCAGAGCCAGGGTTTAAGATGGTGAGGAAAGGGAATCTCCCTGGTGAGACTGGAGTGCAATGGCGCCATCTTGGCTCACCGCAACCTCTGCCTCCCAGGTTCAAGCGATTCTCCTGCCTCAGCCTCCCAAATAGCTGGGATTACAGGCACGCGCCACCACGCCCGGCCAATTTTTAAAATATTTTTAGTTAAGACGGGGTTTCTCTATGTTGGTCAGGGTGGTCTCGAACTCCCGACCTCAGGTGATCCGCCCACCTCGGCCTCCCAAAGTGCTGGGATAACAGGCGTGAGCCACTGCGCCTGGCACACATTCTCTTTTAATCTTCCTGCCATCCCCGAGAGAGAGGTTCAGCCAAGGGAACTTGGGGGCTAAGAAGTGACAGAATTGGGATTCGAGCTCGAGTCTTTCTGACCCACAGTGAGTGATGACTGGGACCCATTTGTTGGGAAGAGATGACTGGCTTGGTGATCAGTGCTCAGGCTAGCTTTTTGGGGTGTTTTTTGTTTTGTTTTTTGTTTTTTTTCTGAGACAGAGTCTCACTCTTTCGCCCAGCCTGGGGTGCAGTGGTGCAATTTTGGCTTACTGCAACCTCTGCCTCCCGGCATCAAGCGATTCTCCTGACTCAGCCTCCCAAGTAGCTGGGATTACAGGCACCCACCACTATACCTGGCTAATTGTTACATTTTTAGTAGAGACGAGGTTTCACCATTTTGGCCAGGCTGGTCTTGAACGCCCGCCTCAGCGTCCCAAAGTGCTGGGATTACAGGCGTGAGTCACCGCGCCTGGCCTCAGGTTATCTTTGTGAGGGAGACGTAGCTGGCCCCTGTGTCCTGGTCAGCCGTGGGCCAGGACCAGAACCTGGTGGTCAGGCACAGCCCTAGCCCCTTGCAGGGTTCCAGACTAACTTGCGGCTTCTGAGGAAATCTTTCCATTCAGCAGTAGGAGTGTTCTCCATTCCTCACTGCCTGGGACTGAGGCCTTGGATCTGCCCTGGCAGATGGTAGTGGCATGGGTGGGCTGCTGGAACGGTCACGCTGGAGTCCCTGGCACCCTACAGGAGTCTTCCATCTCTAGGGCACTGTCCAGGGATGTTACCTGGGAGTGCCAAGGTGATAAATGATTTCTGCAGCCACCCTGGCATTTCTGTGACTGTGACTTTCTGTCTGAGTGACAATGCAGGGGGAAGTGGGTGGTGCCAGAGCATCTGCACTGGCCACCTGGGGCCTCCTGCCTGCTGGTTCAAATGTGGCTTGGTTTCTCCTTGCATCACTGGCATTTCATAGTACCTGACATGGCCGGGCATAGACTTTTGTGTATGGGTGCCAGGCTAACTGCCCATCACTTCTCTCTGGGCAAGTGACAAGGCTTATTCTCTTTGGAGACAGAAGAATGGTTAGTTGGGTGGTCCTCTCTGTCAGAGTGTTGTCCCCATCATGTGGCCTCAGGCATCCTTCTGACCCAGAGCCAGCCGGATGTATCTCCCTGCAGGGCCTGACCCAAGCAGCCATGTCCACTTGTCCTTTTTTTTTTTTTTTTTTTTTTTTGAGGCAGAGTCTCATTCTGTCGCCTGGGCTGGAGTGCAGTGGCGCGATCTTAGCTCACTGCAACCTCCGCCTCCCAGGTTCAAGCAATTCTCCTGCCTCAGCCTTCCGAGCAGCTGGGATTACAGGCATGTACCACAATGCCCGGCTAATTTTTGTATGTTTAGTAGAGAAGGGGTTTCGCCATCTTGGCCAGGCTGGTCTTGAACTCCTGACCTCAGGTGATCCACCCACCTCGGCCTCCCAAAGTGCTGGGATTACAGGTGTGAGCCACCGTGCCCAGCCCACTTGTTCTTTTCTGGCCCTCACATCCCAGTCCCCTCTGAGACAGCCATCTCTGGCCTCATAGTGCAGGTCACAACTCTCACTTCTAGGCACATCTCCATCCTCTCTCTAGACCCACCTAGGGAGGGGTGCATGTTTAGAAAGTTGCTGACTTTGGCTTCAGGGTGGGAGTGGGAAAAGGGTTGTCCAGTTCTGAAGCAGAAGTTGGTGGGGCTGGAGGGGCTGCTCACCCAGGCATAATTGCTGGACCCCCCCTTAATGGGAAGGGCAGCACCCTAGGCATGGTGCTTGGTGGTTGGGTCGGGAAGGAGGAGGTGGCTTCACCATCACAAGTACCTGCTTGGTGCTCCCCTGGGTGTCCCTCAGAGGAGGGGAGAAGTGTTATTTACATGACCACAGGCCTCCAGTCAGCCTCTTAGTGCCTCAGTTTCCTCTGTCCTCTGATGGGATTTATACCTGCAAGTGGGTTGGAGTCTTAGAATGTTTCCTACAAGTAGACATCCAGGGCCCTTTGACAACCATGCCTACTCCCTCTTCTCTCATTTTGTAGAGAAGGGAACCAGGGTCCGAGGTCTGAGGATGAGTGACTGGCCAGGGCCTATCACGGGAAGAACAGTGCTGTGGCCAGAACCAGAGAGCAGAAGCACTTCAGCCCCACTGGCTTTCCTGGCACCCAGGGCTACAGTCTCTTTCTAACAGAGGCCAGTCTGCCTGTGTGAGGATCCTAGCCTGAGGCTGACAACAGACTCACTGCAAAATATGGGGCCGGGGCTAAGCCCTGGCCTTCTGGTTTCCAGTTTCTCAAGACGGCAGTGTAGTGCCAGTTCCTCTCCACTGTACAACTTCTCAAGGCCTGGGGAGCAGGTTCACAAGGGGTGGATGACTGAATCCATCATCTCCTCAACTCCTTTGGGCTTCTGGTGCCTTTGGTGCATGTTTGTCCTGTCCTTTGTAGCCCTTAGCTAGCCTGAATCTTTCTCACAAAGGAAAAACAGAAAACCATTGTATGTATCAGGACAACACAGGAGGAAAATCCTCCAGTGACTTCACTCAAAGTTTTCTGTCCACACCACTGTTTAATGAGTGTTCCCCATCACGGACTTTCTACATCTGAGAAGGAGCCACGAAGTCCCTGGACCTGCCACCATCTTACCTGCCTTGTTCAGCCGCTGGCTACTTGGATGTCTAATAAGACATCTCAAGCTTAGCACTTCCGAAGGGCCTGTTCCTTCCACCCATCTTCCTTGTCTCTTTTTTTTTTTTTTTTTTGAGAAGGACTCTTGCTCTGTCGCCCAGGCTGGAGTGCAGTGGTGCGATCTCTGCTCACTGCAAGCTCCGCCTCCCGGTTCACGCCATTCTCCTGCCTCAGCCTCCTGAGTAACTGGGACTACAGGTGCCCGCCACCACGCTGGCTAATTTTTTGTATTTTTTAGTAGAGACGGGGTTTCACCATGTTAGCCAGGATGGTCTCGATCTCCTGACCTCATGATCCGCCTGCCTCAGCCTCCCAAAGTGCTGGGATCACAGGCATGAGCCACCGCGACCAGCCTCCTTTTCTCTTGATAAATGGTGCCACCATGTACTTGTTTGCTCAGGCCAGAAACCTGGATGCCATCCTTTTTTCCTCTCACATTAGCTGCACCCACACCTGGCGAGTCCTGCCCACTCTGCTCTGAGTCTTTCCTAAGTCTCGCTCAGCTCCAGCCCCACTGGATGCTTTTCTGTTTCTCAGACATGCTGAGTTCATACCCTTTACCCCGAAGGTTTTTTCTTCTGTTCCTCTTGTCCAGCAGACCTCTGCTCAGGAGTCACCCTCTCAGCAAGAACTCAATTGACTACCCCATTCCAGTCAGTCCTCATCCCCCCTCCCATTGCTAGCCCATCATCTGGCTTTGCATTTTCTTTTCTTTTATAAATAGAATCTTTATTGCCCAGGCTGGAGTGCAATAGCACGATTATAGCTCACTGCCACCTCAAACTCCTGGGTTCAAGGGATCCTCCCTCCTCAGCAGTACTACAGGTGCGCACCACAGCGCCTGGCTAATTTTTTGTATTTTTTGTAGAGGTGGGGTGTCACCATGTTGTCCAGGATGGTCTCAAACTCCTGGGCTCAAGCGATCCACTTGCCTTGGCCTCCCGAAGTGCTGGGATTGCAGGCATAAGCCGCTGCACACAGCCTTTTTTTTTTTTTTTTTTAAGATGAGATTTCTCTCTGTTTCCCAGGCTAGAGTGCAGTGGCATGATCCAATCTTCCCAACTTAGCCTCCTGTGTAGCTGGGACCACAAGTACACACCGCCACACCCAGCTAGTTTTTGTATTTTTTTGTAGGTATGGGGTCTCACCATGTTGCCCAGGCTGGTCTCGAACACCTGGACTGAAGCAATCCTCCTGCCTTGGCCTCTCAAAATGCTGGGATTATAGGCATGAGCCACTGCACCCAGCCCAGCCTTGTTTTCTTTAGAGCATACTTGATCTACCAGGTATTTCTTGTTTTCCTATTTGTTTATTTACATTTTCCCTGTCTTTATTCCTTTCACACTTCCTACTCCCACTTTGCAAACTCCCTGGGGCAGGCCTTTGTTAGTTATTTGGTGGCAAGCAGATAGTGCTTGTCCTTTCCAGAGGATGTGAAGGCAACACGGTGGCCTTAAACCATGCTGCTGCAGCAGCCAGTGATACTAAATGAGGTATGCAACATTCTGTTTTCAACCTCCAACTGCCTTTTGCACACATCCTTGTGTAAATATATATATATATAAGGTATATACCTTATATATACACACAGACACTTATTGTGTCTGGAAAAAAATATTGATAGCTTCAGTTGAAGATATATTACAGCTCTGTAATGGCAGACCCCTTACCAGAATAGGTTCAGATTTCCTGTTGCTACTGTAACAATGTTGGCTTGAAATAATCATTTTACAGTTCTGGAGAACAGAAATTCTAAAATCCAGATATTGGCAGGGCTGCGTTCTTTCTGGAGGCCCTAGGGGAGAATTCATTCCTTGCCTTTTCTAGCTTCTAGCGGCCTCCTGTGTTCCTTGACTCATGGCTGCATCCTCCATCTTCAAAGCCAGCAGTGAGGCATCTTCCATTTCATAAAGAACCCTGTGATTACATTGGCCCACCTGGATAATCCACTGTCATCCCCTACTTCAAGGGCTTTAACTTAATCACTTCTGCAAAATCCTTTTTACCATGAAAGGTGACATAGTCACAGGTTCTGGGGATTAGACCATGGACATCTTTGGGGTGGGGGTCTTATCCGGCCTGTAACAGGTACTGTGTATTTTTCCCCTCTGGGAAAATCTGTAAAAATTGATAAATCATTTGGGAATTGGAAAAGCAGAAAACTTATCTCTTTTCTAGCCAAACTGAGGTGATGGTGAATCCTGAATTGATTCTTTTTTTTTTTTAATTGAGCTCTTTGGTTTTTGTTTTAATTTAAAATCCATATTTATAGCCAGAGTTAAAAATTTTTAAATTCTTTCTTTTTTTTTTCTTTTTGAGACGGAGTGAAGTGGCGCGATTTCAGCTCACTGCAATCTCCACCTCCCAGGTTCAAGCGATTCTCCTGCCTCAGCCTCCTGAGTAGCTGGGATTACAGGAGCACGCCACCACGCCCAGCTAATTTTTGTATTTTTAGTAGAGATGAGGTTTCTCCATGTTGGCCAGGCTGGTCTCAAACTCCTGACCTCAGGTGGTCTGCCCATCTCAGCCTCCCAAAGTACTGGGATTATAGGCGTGAGCCACTGAGCCTGGCCTTTTTTTTTGAGACAACATCTTGCTCTGTTGCCCAGGCTTGAGTGCATTGGCACAATCTCAGGTCACTCCAATCTCCGCCTCCCCAGTTCAAGTGATTCTCATGCTTCAGCCTCCCAAGTAGCTAGGACTATAGGCATGTGCTACCACACCCAGCTAAGTTTTCTATTTTTAAGTGGAGATGGGATTTCACCATGTTGGCCAGGCTGGTTTCAAACTCCTGGCCACAAGTGATCCTCCCACCTCATCCTCCCAAGTGCTTGGGATTACAGGCAAAATCTAAAAATTCTGTGCTCGTTTTGTCAAAATAGTTATATAGTTTATTTTTAAAGAAAAGTGTTTAAAATACTTATTTTAATTTTAGGTCTTTGAAAATTTAAGCATCTGTTGTTTTCATAGTGGATATTGAACTCCCATACACTGAGACAAAAATATCTCCCAAATATCCTTGAATCACTGACTAAGTAGGTTCTTCCTGGTGATTTCATGAGCTTTCATAAATCAAATGACCAAATTGTTGTTAGGTTTTCTAGAGTATCTACTGTTCTAACCTGAGAAAGTGAAAAAAGGGGCTGGGCGTGGTGGCTCACGCCTGTAATCCCAGCACTTTGGGAGGCCGAGGCGGGCAGATCACGAGATCAGGAGATCGAGACCATCCTGGCTAACACAGTGAAACCCCGTCTCTACTAAAAATACAAAAAATTAGCCAGGCGTGGTGGCGGGTGCCTGTAGTCCCAGCTACTTGGGTGGCTAAGGCAGGAGAATGGCGTGAACCTGGGAGGCGGAGCTTGCAGTGAGCCGAGATTGCGCCGCTGCACTCCAGCCTGGGCAACAGAGTGAGACTACGTCTCAAAAAAAAAAAAAAAAAAAAAAAGAAAGTGAAAAAAGGAAACCTTCCAGCTTATGTCTTATACCTCCTGGACAGTAAAATTTGCATAAAAATCTGTCATACAGGATCATCCTTGTGTGAGAAAGAGGCAGGCTGACAGCTGGGGCTGGTCACTGGTGGCACATAAACACACATATGTGCTTGTGCACACACCTGTACCACTTGTCAGACTCCTGACATGCTGGGCACTGGAGGAACTTTCCTGAGATCATTTGGCCCCTGTACCAAGGAGCTCATGATCTTGGGGGAGGGGGCATGGACAGTCCCGGGAACAGTGACTGGTGATTGAAGAGGTTTGGTAGGCACCAGGCAGTGGACCAGGGATATGGGCAGTGTGCAAGGGGAGAACCAAAAGATGTTATGAAAGACTCCAGGAGGCAGGAATTTGAACTGGATCATGATGCACTGGCAAGAGGGGAGGACAGAGTGGATACCACTAGTTCTTGGGCATAGTTCTAAGAGGACCTGGAGGAGCAGCAAGCAGCCTTCCTGAAAGACTATTTGGGGAGGGTGGAATGGGCAGTGGCTTTGCTGGATGGGGTGTGCCCCCATGGCCACATAAGCAGTGGACTTGGCTTTAGGGGGCTGTGCAGGTCAAGGAGCATTGAGGAGAGCCCCACCTTACCTCCTGGCATCCCAGACCCCTGGCAACATCTGTTGTGCTGTGCCAAACACACAGGGTTATGGGTGCCCTCCTAACAGGTTGCCACATTGTTGTCAGTTACTGCCTTGCAGTGGGAAATCCCTGTGCTCTATCTGAGGGATGAGGGGCAGGGGTAGGAGGAGGGCTATTGTGGCTGGTGTGGCCCATGGTTGTGGATCCTGTCAGGGCAAGCTGGTGGGCATGCCTGGGGCCACCACAGTCTGAGCTAGACCTGGAGGGATGATTTTCACTTTGCTCCTCACTGCTGTCCAGCTGGCCACCCTCATCTATAGCCTGCTATAGACCAGGGGAACAGCCGCTGCCATCAGGAGCCATAGTGTCTCCCGAGTTGATGCCTGAGAAAAGGCCTTGACTGTGACGGCCTCATGAGCCTGCCTCTGGTGGGGAATGGGCATTGTTCTGTCCCAAAAGAGCTATTTCTCTGAGGTCAAATGATTTGCATACCCACTAGCAAACAGAAAGGCCTCTCCCACTGCTGGGCCTGGTGAGCTTAGGAGCTGAGTTGATGCTCAGAGCAGCAACATGTTCCCTGAGCCAGGCAGTTCCAATGTCTTTGGGGAATTCAGAAGGTGAGAATAGAGCCTGGATCCAGGTAGAGGCTTTGGCCCTCCTAAAGCCAGTCTCAAGCAGCTCTCACACTGGTTTCCTGGTGATGGCGGTGGGGAGATGCAGGAGGCACCAGCAGGGCTGAGGGCCTCCACCAGTTTCTGAGAGCCGTTCAGTCTTGGCCTGTTTCCCGCTGTGGGTGCTGGAGAATCTTTGTTTAAATAGAGGCTTCCTGGATAAAAAGATGTGAAAGCTCAGGGTACACTAGGCTTGGGATGGGTGCTGTGACCAAGGGGACAACTTCCTTTGTGCTCGCTGATTTAAATGCTGAGTTTAGGCTCCAGGGTCTGGGCTGTGTCACCTCTCCAGTCACACTCTCTGCCTCTCTTGTCAGCCCTTGGCCCTGTTATCCTTCTTTTCTCATTCCCACACCTTTGCTTGCTGCCTGGCCACACCCTGTGCCCTCGCCTATTCACGTACACAACATGTGCTGTGAATGTTTGAGCCTTGCCCTGCTTTCTGGCTACTCAGATCCTCTACTCAGGAGAGAGCCTCTACCCATGCCACTTGGGAGGAGAGGGATGTGCTTAAGCATGTTCCTATGGTATGCTGCTTAGGCCCCAAGGAGGAAGCAGGCAGACACTGGGGAAGCTACCTGGAGGGGTGCCTGGGGAGTAGACCTGCCTGTCAGCCCATCACCTCCCCAGCCTGTGCAGGTCCTGGGCTTGTCATGGCTCTGTGGGTTCCATTTCTACTCCTTAGCCAGGCAGTCGAACCCTTCTGCAGCTCCACCACTCCTGCCCCACCTGTACTCATGCCTTTGCCTGCACATCCTCCTTCCTTTTTCACTCCCCTCTCCCCTTTTCTAACACCTTGGTGCAGAGGTGGGAGAATTGCTTGAGGCCAGGAGTTTGAGACCAGCCTGGGCAACATAGAAAGACCCTATCTGTACAAATAATAGTAATATATATATTTTTTCCTTCCTGAGTACCATGCACTTTGTTTTTTTTTTTAGACGGAGTTTCGCTCTTGTTGCCCAGGCTGGAGTGCAGTGGCGTGATCTTGGCTCTCTGCAACCTCCGCCTTTCTGGGTTTAAGCGATTCTCCTGCCTCAGCCTCCTGAGTGGTTGGGATTACAGGCGCCCGCCACCACGCCCGGCTAATTTTTTTTGTATTTTTGGTAGAGACAGGGTTTCACCATGTTGGCTAGGCTGGTCTTAAACTCCTGGGCTCAAGCAGTCCTCCTGCCTCGGCCTCCCAAAGTGCTGGGATTATAGGCCTGAGCCACTGCATCCGGCCAGAATAATTAGTATTGTTAAGCTACCTATTCTCTCCAAATTGATCTAGAGAGTCAACACAGTCCCAGTCAACGATCACAGCCCACCTTCGAAAGGCATTATTAAGAAAATGAGGGCCGGGCGCAGTGGCTCACGCCTGTAATCCCAGCCCTTTGGGAGGCTGAGGTGGGTGGATCGTGAGGTCAGGAGATCAAGACCATCCTGGCTAACATGGTGAAACCCCGTCTCTACTAAAAAATACAAAAACAAAATTAGCCAGGCATGGTGGCGGGCGCCTGTAGTCCCAGCTACTCGGGAGACTGACGTGGGAGAATGGCGTGAACCTGGGAGGCGGAGCTTGCCGTGAGCCGAGATCATGCAACTGCACTCCAGCCTGGGCGACAGAGTGAGACTCCGTCTTAAAAAAAAAAAAAAAAAAAAAGAAAAGAAAATGAGGCCAAGCGCCATGGCTCATGCCTATAATCCCAACACTTTGGGAGGCCGAGGCGGGTGGATCATTTGAGGTCAGGAGTTCGAGACCAGCCTGGCCAACATGGTGAAACCCCGACTCTGCTAAAAATACAAAAATTAGCCTGCTGGTAGTGGCGCGTGCCTGTAATCCCAGCTACTCGGAAGTCTGAGGTGGGAGAATCCCTTGAGCCTGGAAGGTGGAGATTGTGGTGAGCTGAGATTGGGCCACTGCATTCCAGTCTGGACGAGAGAGTGTGAGACCCTTTCTCACCAAACAAACAAACAAACAAACAAAAATGATGATAAACCATAGACTGGAAGAAATACTCACAAAACATAAAAGGACTTGTATCTAAACTACATCAAGAACCTTTACAGTGCAATACGATAAACAAGTGCAATACAATAAACGACCCAATAAAAAATGAGTTAAAAATTTGAAAAAACAGTTGAATAGTTTTCCAACAAATAGGTGGCAAATGAGTACATGAAAAGATACTCAGTATATTTTGTCATAGGGAAAATGTATATTAAAACCACAATGATATTAAAACCATTATATATACACTAAAAGGCCAAAATTAAAAAAAATAAACTGAGAATAGTAAATACTGAAGAAGATATGGAACTCATACATTGCTGGTTGGAATGCAAAATAGCACAGCCACTTTGGAAAACAGTTTGACAGTTTGTTATCAAATTAAACATACACTTATCTTATAACCCAGTAATACCACTTGTAAGTATTTACCCAAGAGAAATGAAAACATATGTCTGTGCAAATACCTTAAAGCAAATATTTGTTGGCTTTATTCATAATAGCTAAAAATTATAACAACTCAAATGTCATCAACTGGTGTATGAACAGATAGAAAAACTGGGGTGTATCCATAACATGGAGTACTACTCAGCAATAAAAAGGAATGGAACACTGCTTCTCCTAACAACATGGATGGATCGCAGATGCATTGTGCTAAGTCTAAGAAGCCAGGCAAGACACCTCATGTTCTATGATTCCATTTATGTGAAATTCTGGAAAAGGCAAAACCATAGGAACACATCAGATTAGTGTTGCCGGGGACTGGGAATGGATGGAACAAATTGACTCCCAAGAGGCCTGAGGGAACTTTTTTTGGAGGAGAAAGGGTCTCACTTTGTTGCCCAGGCTGAAGTACACTGGCATGATCATAGCTCACTGCAGCCTTGAACTCCTGGGCTTAAATAATCCTCCTGCCTCAGCCTCCTAAGTAGCTGGGACTATAGGCAGGCGCCACCACACTTGGCTAATTTATTATTATTATTATTTTTGAGACGGAGTCTTGCTGTGTCGCCCAGGCTGGAGTTCAGTGGCGCGATCTCGGCTCACTGCAAGCTCTGCCTCCCAGGTTCATGCCATTCTCCTGCCTCAGCCTCCTGAGTAGCTGGGACTACAGGCATCCACCACCATGCCTGGCTAATTTTTTGTATTTTTGGTAGAGATGGGGTTTCACCGTGTTAGCCAGGATGGTCTTGATCTCCTGACCTCATGATCCGCTCGCCTCGTCCTCCCAAAGTGCTGGGATTACAGGTGCGAGCCACCATGCCCAGCCACACCTGGCTCATTTTTAAAATTTCTTTATTTTTTATTTTTTTGAGACAGAGTTTCGCTCTTGTTGCCCAGGCTGGAGTGCAATGGCGCGATCTCGGCTCACTGCAACCTCCGCCTCCTGGGTTCACGTGATTCTCCTGCCTCAGCCTCCTGAGTAGCTGGGATTATAGGCATGCACCACCATGCCCGGCTAATTTTGTATTTTTAGTAGAGACGGGATTTCTCCATGTTGGTCAGGCTTGTCTTGAACTCCCGACCTCAGTTGATCCACCCACTGCGGCCTCCCAAAGTGCTGGGATTATAGACGTGAGCCACCGCACCTGGACAGTTTTTTAAATTTTTTATAGAGATGAGGTCCCACTATGTTGTCCCAGGCTGATCTTGACCTCCTGACCTCAAGTGATCCTCCCACCTTAGCCTCCCAAAGTGTTAGGATTACAAGCATGAGCCACCATGCTCAGCTTTAGAGTGATGGAAATGTTCTGTGTGTTGATCGTGGTGGTGGTAATGCAACTGTATACATTTGTTAAAACTCATTTGAAGTGTACAGTTTAAAAGGGAGAATCGGCCAGGTACGGTGGCTCACGCCTGTAATCTTAACATTTTGGGATGCCGAGGCTGGAGGATCACCTGAGGTCAGGAGTTCAAGACCAGCCTGGCCAACATGTTGAAACCCCGTCTCTACTAAAAATACAAAAATTAGCTGGGCATGGTGGCGCACACCTGTAATCCCAGTTACTCCAGAGGCTGAGGCAAGAGAATCACTTGAACCTGGGAGGCAGAGGTTGCAGTGAGCCAAGATCACACTACTGCACTCCAGCCTGGGTGACAGAGGGAGACTCTGTCTCAAAAAAAATAGATAAATAAAAATAAAAGAGAGAATCTTACTATATGTAAACTAATCCTCAATATAAAATACATTTTAGGCCAGGCACGGTGGCTCACACCTGTAATCCCAGGACTTTGGGAGGCCAAGGCAGGCGGATCATGAGGTCAGGAGATCGAGACCATCCTGGCTAACACGGTGAAACCCCCTCTCTACTAAAAATACAAAAAAATTAGCTGGGCATCGGCTGGGCACGGTGGCTCACTCCTGTAATGCCAGCACTTTGGGAGGCTGAGGCGGGCGGATCACGAGGTCAGGAGATTGAGACCATCCTGGCTAACATGGTGAAACACCGTCTCTACTAAAAATACAAAAAAAAAAAAATTAGCCGGGCGTTGTGGCAGGCGCCTGTAGTCCCAGCTACTCTGGAGGCTGAGGCAGGAGAATGGCGTGAACCCGGGAGGCGGGGCTTGCAGTGAGCTGAGATCACACCATTGCACTCCAGCATGGATGACAGCGAGACTCCGTCTCAAAACAAACAAACAAAAAAAACATTTTAAACAACCTGCCAGATACACTTCCAAGGTTACTTCCAGCTCCCACTCCTTCACAAGGCTTCCCTTGACCACCTCCTTGTTGTACCACCCTCTGGTATGTTCCTTCCGGGTCACTGATGGTTTTGGTTCCTGTTAACCGCAGCATGGGATCATTCCTCTGTGGGGCTACATCAGCTACTTTGGCAGTCACCTGCTGGACTCACAGCCAGACTCTGTCTATTGGTGGCTCTGCTAGAAGCCAAGAGTGCTGACAGAGGTGGGGCAGGCTGAGGAGAGGCTGAGAGACCTGGGTGGGCTTCTGTGACTTGTCTTGTTCCTCCCTCAAGTACCTACTCAGTTATTGCTGCTCTCTTCCCCCACAGGTTGGGACAAACATTCCTATGGTTACCATGGTGATGATGGGCATTCGTTCTGCTCCTCGGGGACTGGCCAGCCCTATGGTCCCACATTCACCACAGGAGACGTGATCGGCTGCTGTGTCAACCTCATCAATGGCACCTGCTTCTACACCAAGAATGGCCACAGCCTTGGTGTGTGCATAAGGGACCTTGGAGGCTCTGCTCTGTGGAGCCACTTTGGTTGGTGAGAGGCTCAGGGGCAAGTGCTCAAGGCAGTGTCGCCTCTGCTGAGCTCTGGGGTACCGCACCATTTCCAGGCATTGGAGCCCTTTCAGGTGAATAGAGGGTAGCAGGGGCACGCCTTTGTTCATCCAGCCAGTCAGCTGCGTTTATCCAGCCCAGGGAGGATGCTGAGAGTACAGCAGTATCCTGGTCGTGATCTTGGCTTTGGTGGCACTTGTTGGAGCAAGGTTTGGCGTTGGATGAGAAGTTTGGGGAACCCTTGCATAGGTTGCGTGGTGGTGGTTTGCGTGCCTGTGACCTGGCCCAGACTTTGGTGCTGGTTGCTGTGGAGCAGCAGTGAGGGTGGCACTAGTCCAGGAGGTAAACAGACAGGTGGGAGTCAGATAGGGCCAGACCTCTGGTCTGTTCTTGGTGAATGAGCAGCAGCCGGGGCAGTTACATTGAAAAAGGCTTCTGGTGAAACCATGAAGGATGGACCAGAGTAAAGACCAGGGGAAGAGGCAGATGGCCTGAGGTAAGGCAGTGGGGATGGGTGCAGGACAAAGGCCCAGATGTGGCCCTGCAGGGCTTGGTGACAGATGGGGTGCACTTGCAAGAAGGAAAGGTGAGAAAATGGCTGGATTAGTACTGTTGTTAACCAGGAGAAGAAACCCAGGAGAAATAGCAATCAGTGGAAGAGGATGGGGCCCGTGGGATCCCTGGAAGGAGCGTTCCTGTACATGCGTAGACATTTAGGATTAGGGCTTGAGAGGAAGAGACTTTGGCTATTCTGATGCCGTGCCTACCAGGTGCTAACTGGTATTTGGCCACATTGGCCCTGAGGTGGTGACTAACAGCCTGGTCTGCCTGCCTGGGTTTGCAGAAGTCCCCGATCTACACACCCTAGTTCTCCAGAATGGAATGGTATAGTGAGGAGAGGACTGGCAGAACTCTACCAGCCCAGCTGCCAGCAGCTCTGCCAGGAAAGGGAGTTGGGCATTTTGCTTGGAACCCAACTCCTAGAAGTCCCATTTCCCTTGCCTTGAGGGTCAGTAAAAAGGTGGCTGCAACTCTCCACATCCCCTCTATGACTTCTCCAGGAGATGAGCACAGCTAGTATCAGGGGACCTGAGTGGGAATTGGAGTGCTGATGGCTGGGGCTGCATGCCTAGGAGCCAGCATTCCTGCAACTGGATGCCCCAGCCAAGAGTTGGCAGGAAAGCCTTGGTAGCTAGGCAGCCGAGAACATAGCACGGACACTGCTAAGCTGACCTAGGTGCACATCAGAGAAACCCTCCTCTGAAATTGATGACCACCTGGCTGCAGTTGCTAGTGACCAGATGGTGAGGAGCTAGTGGATAGAGGGTGGGCCAGGGCCTCAAGACAGCTCTTCACTCTCCACTCTGCACTCTGATTCCGCTATTTCTTGGCTCTGGGTTCTGCTGTCAAAGTCCCAGGGGCCACTATTGTGGGCTCTCACCCTGTATCCAAGCCCCACTTCACCTGCCCCCTTGTATAGCTGCCTTCCTCACATCCCTCCAGCTTGCCCACATTTTGCTCACGGATGGGGGCAGACTCTACTGTTCCCTCTGCACCTGCATCTCTCTCCTTCAGGCCTTTCATGTACACCGGGACCACCAAAGGGCCATGAACTCTTTGTCAGTCAAGTCCCAAGGTCCCATAGAGAGCAGATGGCCACTTTAATGTCACCTCAAGCCCTTAGGCTGTTTTTAGACATCCATCTCCTTAGTGGATGCTTTTTATAGACCCCCATCCAAGACCTCACACATCTTGTAATTAAATTTCATCTGGTAGTATTTTGACTTTTTTTCCAGCCTGTCAACACCTTCTGTGTTCTTACTTGTTGTATCTCAAATATTTGATACCCTTTTCAGTGTTGTATTAATCTAAAATTTGTTGTTTGTGTTTATGTTTTCATGAAGTTACTGTTAAAAAATATAGGAAGAAGAGAAGGTTAAGATTTGAGCCCTTCAGTGTATAGTTGAGCTTGTCCTGGAAGACATCAGCCATTTAAGAATCACTAAGTTGGCCGAGCGCGGTGGCTCACGCCTGTATTCCCAGCACTTTGGGAGGCCGAGGTGGGCAGATTGCTTGAGCCCAGGAGTTCGAGATGAGCCTGGGCAAGTGGCGAGACCCCGTCCCTATATTAAAAAAAAAAAAAAAGAATCACTTAGTTCCTGAAGCTCATATTTTTCCATTTTTTCCACATGGATATTATTGAGACCTTACTGAAAACGGGATATGGCCTGTCCCCTGCATTTTTAGATTACAAAATTTAACGGAAAAGCAGTGAAGTTGGAGTGACAGAATGCATGGTGAATCTTCTACTGTCTCTGTTTCCTTTTCCCAAGCCATCTTATCAATAATGTGCTTCAGAATCGATCCCTTCCCCACTTTACAGCAGCGGAATGATGTCTTCTGCCTCTGGCCTCCCTGCTCCTTTCCTCTGTCAACAGCCCTTGCACTATGTGCCATTGGTCAGTTGTCTGCATAATTCTTAGTCATGTGCCATCTCTCTTGCTGGAATCTGAGGGCCAGGTTTGCAACTGTTTCTCTAGTCTTGTGACAACAAATACTTGGTAGAAGGATGAAGGAATGAGTGAACGGAGATACTGACTGATGTCTCATTTGCAAGTGGTCCATGTGCTCACAGTCATTTCCACACAACTCTGTGCTTTCCCACAAGGTCTTTATGTTCTCAGCCTCAGTGGTCCCTGACCTGTGTCTGTTTGGCTCTGGGTACTCCTTATCAGCAAGTTCAGCTATCCCGTTTGCATCCTGGATCTTTGCCTGAACCTTCTTCCCGTGGGCCAACTCAGATCTTGCCATCAAAATGATGTTGCAGGCTGGAGGAGCAGTGTTGCCCTTGTCCAGTGCAGTAGTGGGTGGAGTAGCGTCTTTCCTCATTCTCCTGGAAGCACCTCAAGGCCTTATCCTTCCTGGGTGCCATTGTGAGGCAGAGTTGGGCAAGCCTGGGTAGGTCATCCCCTGACCAAAAGTGTGGCAGTTGCCTCACCCTGTGGCATTACCACAGCTGACTTATACCTAGACCTTAGGGTTCATGAAGTAGCTTTCACAGAATGTCTCATTTTCTCCCTTTTTCCTTGAAGTCGAGATATCGATATTATCTCTTTTTTTCAGATGAGCTCAGAGAGGTTGGGTTACTTGCCAAAGGTCACACTATATATAATTTACGGAGCTTGGACTCCCTTTTTCCAGGCTTCTTGGGGACTCCTCCATGAGCCCTGGAGTAAGCAATATCCTGGCCATGCTGAGATCCATGAGGGCAGCTCCGGGGCAGGCCTGGAGGGTGGACATTGGGGTCTTCTCCTGGGTACAGAGAGATTTCCAGATTCAGTCCTGCCAGCATGCCAGAGTCATGCCGACTGTGCATGTGGGGCCCAAAAGTGGCTTCAGACAGGCAGACCATGCGGCTTATGAGCGTCCCTCAGTGAGAAGCAAACAAAATAGCCGAACAAAGAATATAAACCATCTCTCTGCATCTTGGTTTTTTCATATGTGAACTAGTGTCAGAGGTAGTATACATCTTCCAAGGTTGTTCT
This sequence comes from Homo sapiens, assembly GCF_000001405.40. Classification (NCBI taxonomy): domain Eukaryota; kingdom Metazoa; phylum Chordata; class Mammalia; order Primates; family Hominidae; genus Homo; species Homo sapiens. Next base: position 67,740,673 of record NC_000016.10, on the reverse strand, counting down.
GAGGATTGAATAGTGCCTTATAAGACACTCAGTCCAGTGCCCAGCATAGAGGAAGCATGTGGTATGTGCTGGCTGGCATGATTCCGGCCAGGTTTCTGGGAGACCTGTTGTCAGACCCAAAATAGAATAGACCCTGTTCTATTTTGCAGGGCTTCAGTTTCTTTTCTGGGCAGGGGTTGGATAGCAGACTGGAGATCTCTAAGGAATCAGCAGTTTGAAAACCTCAAAGGCCAAAAGCTCAGGAGCTTCTGGGAGATATAAGACTTTATCTGCCGGGCATGATGGCTCACGACTGTAATCCCAGCACTTTGGGAGGCTGAGACAGGCAGATCATGAGGTCAGGAGATCGAGACCATCTGGCTAACACGGTGAAACCCCGTCTCCACTAAAAATACAAAAAAAAATTAGCTGGGCATGATGGCGGGCACTTGTAGTCCCAGCTACTTGGGAGGCTGAGGCGGGAGAATGGCGTGAACCCGGGAGGCGGAGCTTGCAGTGAGCTGAGATCACACCACTGCATTCCAGCCTAGGGGACAGAGCAAGACTCCGTCTCAGGGAAAAAAAAAAAAAAAAAAGTGTGAACCTGGGAGGCGGAGCTTGCAGTGAGCCGAGATCACGCCACTGCACTCCAGCCTGGGCGACAGAACTAGACTCCGTCTCAAAAAAAAAAAAGACTTTATCTAAAAAATGAGAGGGCTTTGAGTCCTTGGAGAGCCTCCACTGGTCCTGAGTCATTTGTCATTTCTCAGTTTGAAGAACATGGGTGCTCTGGTAGCCTGCTTATATAGTTGTGGTCCCACTCCCCTCTACCCTCACTTCCAATTCAGAGCTGAGGTCCCTAGAAATGCAGCCACTTCTCTTGGCAGGAGGGTTTTTGACAGGCTGTTTTTTGTTTTTGTTTTTTTGGGACAGGGTCTTGCTCTGGCACCCAAGCTGGAACCCAGTGGCACAATCATACTAGCTCACTGCAGCCTCAACCTGCAGGGCTCAAGTGGTCCTCCTGCCTCAGCCTCCCAAGTCGCTGGGACCACAGCTAATTTTATATATTTTGTAGAGACGGAGCCTCGCTATGTTGCCCATGCTGGTCTTGAACTTCTGTTCTCAAGAGATCCTTCCACACAGGCCATTGTTAACCTGAACTTTGCCAGCTTGGAACCTCTGAGGACTCTGACTGCGTATGGACTGGAGATAGGCAGCTGCCACCCTCCCTGTTTCCACTTCTCTGTCAGCTTGGGGATGACATTGAAGCATTGGACTAGGAACAAATCCAGCCCCACCACCTTTGCTAGCTTTATGACTACTGGCAAATTGTCGAACCTCTGAGGCTTATTTTTCTCCTTTGTAAAATGCAATAAGCCTGCTTCCCAGAGTTGGTGTGAGGATCAGATGAAGTAATGGATGGAAAAGGGGCGAGGTGCGGTAGCTCACACCTGTAATCCCAGCACTTTGGGAGGCCGAGGTGGGCAGATCACTTGAGGTCAGGAGTTCAAGACCAGCCTGGCCAACATGGTGAAACCCTGTCTCTACCAAAAATACAAAAATATATATTAGCCGGGCATGGTGGTATGTGCCTGTAGTCCCAGCTACTCGGGAGGCTGAGGCAGGAGAATTGCTTGAACTCGGGAAGCAGAGGTTGAAGTGAGCCAAGATTGTGCTACTGCACTCCAGCCTGGGCGACAGAGTGAGGCCCTTCTCCAAAAAAGGATCTGGCATGCACAATAAGTTTCCATAAATATGTGTTAAATCAAGAGAAGTATCAGGTCTGAAGGGCCGCAGGGGATAGATCTTTTGGATTTAGTTCCCCTTAGCAGGCTTTCTTTGCGGGTGGAGGAGCTATGCACCTGCCTAAGCATCTGATTTCACTTCTGGCCAGGCCGCCAGTGAAGAGAAGGCCATGGTCTAATTAAAACTACCTAGCCCGGGGCCGGGCTCAGTGGCTCACGCCTGTAATCCCAGCACTTTGGGAAGCTGAGGTGGGCAGACCACAAGGTCAGGAGATCGAGACCATCCTGGCTAACATGGTGAAACCCCGTCTCTACTAAAAATAGAAAAAATTGGCCTGGCGTGGTGGTGGGCGCCTGTATTCCCAGCTACTCGGGAGGCTGAGGTAGGAGAATGGCGTGAACCGGGGAGGCAGAGCTTGCAGTGAGCCGAGATCGCACCACTGCACTCCAGCCTGGGCGACAGAGTGAGACTGCATCTCAAAAAACAAAAACAAAAACAAAAAAACCTTCCCAGCTGGACACAGTAGCTCATGCCTGTAATCCTAGCACTTTGGGAGGCTGAGGCGGGCAGATCACTTGAGGTCAGGGGTTCAAGACCAGCCTGGCCAACATGGTGAAACCCTGTCTCTACTAAAAATACAAAAATTAGCCAGGCGTGGTGGTGGGCACCTGTAATCTCAGCTACTGGGGAGGCTGAGGCCAGAGAATTGCTTGAACCAGGAGGCAGAGGTTGCAGTGAGCCAAGATCGTACCACTGCACTCCAGCCTGGGCTACGGAGGGAGACTCTGTCTCAAAACAACAACAACAAACCAAAAAAAACAACTACCCGGCCCTAGCACTGGCTCCACCATGGGGTGCAGAGGCAGAGTAGCCCCAGGGGCTGGCCCTGATGACTGTTCCTTTCCCCCCACAGGTATAGCCTTCACAGACCTCCCGGTGAGTACTACTATTGAGTCTTCCCCTCCTGGGTTTCTGGGGGCTGACTGGGATGGGGCACGGTGGTACCTGCAAGTGCAGGGTGTGGAGTCTGGTTCTTTCCCCAACCAGGGATGTGTGCCATGCTGTCAGCTTGAGGGTACCAGGAGGGGCACTTGCTGGCCTTCCTCTCTCTCCAGCAGTAAGGTCTGGTCTTCCTACGACTCTTAGCAGGTGACAGTAATTTGTGGCACTTCCAAAGGCAGCTGTGGGGCTGGGGCGGGTAGGGTGGTGGAATGAAGATAGCTCCATGGCTCAACTGGTCTAAACCAGCTGTGTGTCAGCTGGGGTGCAGAGTGTAGGGAATTGTTCCTGAACTGTGAGGGAACCTAGTCCTTGTACATACCCATCAGAGATCCCTGAGGAAAGTTAGTGCCCTAGGGGAACTCATCTGCTACTATCTAGGGCACCCCCAAGCCAGAGAGGTGAGCTTTGTGGGGTCTTCTCTTCTTAGAAAAGGATGGAGTTTTCTGGCCGGGTGCGGTGGCTCACACCTGTAATCCCAGCACTTTGGGAGGCCGAGGTGGGCAAATCACGAGGTCAGGAGATCAAGATCGTCCTGGCTAACAGGGTGAAACCCTGTCTCTACTAAAAATACAAAAAAAGTTAGCCGGGCCTGGTTGCAGGCGCCTGTAGTCCCAGCTCCTCGGGAGGCTGAGGCAGGAGAATGGCCTGAACCCGGGAGGCAGAGTTTGCAGTGAGCTGAGATCGCACCACTGCACTTCAGCCTGGGCGACAGAGCGAGCCTCCGTCTCAAAAAAAAAAAAAAAAAAAAAAAAAAGAAAAGGATGGAGTTTTCTGCTTGCTTAGTTCAAAAAAAAAAAAAAACAGAAAAGGATGGAGTTTTCTGCTTGCTTAGTTCAGGGCATATCCTCACCTCCAGCCATCCCGCACCTGTACTCCAGTCTCTATTATGAGTCATCACAGGCCTAATCACATGCAGGGCCTCCACCCAGGATGCTGGGAGCCTGGCCTGGCTCTGTGTGTTCTGGTTAGGTTCTGGAAGGAAGGAAGGTTTGCTGACTCTGGTGGCTGCTTTGGGATCCCAAACACCCCAGTGATGCCCCAGGAAATGCCTTTGTGATCTTATGGGCCTCTGAAGCCCAGACCATAGCACCCAGGGTCCTGTTAAAACCTCCAGTCCATGGCTCAGAATCCTTCCCTCTTACCTGGAAGCCCCAGAGAGGGGCTGTGGTCCTAGGCAAAGAGAACAGAATCAGGTGGAGAATGCTGACCCTGGCTAGGGAAGGGTCTAGTTATGGGGACGTGACATGAAATGACCAGGCATGAGCATGGCCAGTATGCAGCCACATGCAAGAAGGTATGGGGGAAAGACATGGTAGGCAGTGACGGTCAGGAAGGCTTGCTGGAGGAGGCGGGCCTTGCCTGTGGTGGAGGATGGTAGGGGAAAGAAAGGAAGCGAGAGGTCCTCTGTGTGCAGAGCCCATGGTGGGCTGAAGCCAGCATACAGGAAAAGGTCCCATACCTTGTGCAGGTACAAAAATGCATGGTTGGCCAGGCGCGCTGGCTCACGCTTGTGATCCTAGCACTTTGGGAGGCTGAGGTGGGCAGATCACCTGAGGTTGGGAGTTCAAGACCAGCCTGACCAACATGGAGAAACCCCATCTCTGCTAAAAATACAAAATTAGCCGGGCGTGGTGGCGCATGCCTGTAATCCCAGCTACTCAGGAGGCTGAGGCAAGAGAATTGCTTGAACCCAGGAGGTAGAAGTTGCGGTGAGCTGAAATCGCGCCATTGCACTCCAGCCTGGGCAACAAGAGCGAAACTCCGTCTCAAAAAAAAAAAAGTGCATGATACTCAGGAAGGAACATGGCCTGAGCACGGAGGTGAAGGGTGGACTGAGGGCCCTGGGAAGACCATCTGCAGTGACAGTGGGGAGGAGGCTAGCGAGGCTCTGGACAGTTGCAGTGGGGAGCCACAGGAACCACCAAGTGAGGGAGGGACCGAACAAAAGCCAGTCATGGTAGAGGCTAGGTGGAAAGCAGGGAGCCTCACACCCTACTGGCCAGAAGATCCTCTTAGCGAGCCTCTAACAGGAAGGGTAGCTTCTCTTCACCCTTTGCCAGCACCAGGGGTCTAGACCACCGGTTCCCTTTTGCCATGTTCCCCTCCTCCCTCCTTTCCTGCGTCATCCCATCTCTGCCTACCCCCCATGTATCTATCTTTTGGTTTGTTTTTTTTTTTTCTTTCTGAGACAGGGACTCACTCTTGTCACCAAGGCTGGGTTGCAGTGGCAGAATCACAGCTTACTGCAGCCTCAATTTCCTGGACTCAAGCCATCTTCCCACCTCAGCCTCCCGAGTAGCTGGGACCACAGGTGCATACCACCACACCTGGCTAATTTTTATCTTTTTATTTTTTGTAGAGACAGGGTCTCACTTTGTTGCCCAGACTGGTCTTGAAAACCTGGGCTCAAGCGATCCTCCTAAATTGGCCTCCCAAAGTGCTGGGATTACAGGCATGAGCCACTGTGCCCAGCCTCATGTGTCTTATTTTTTTTGAGACAGAGAGATCCTTGGCCCTGGATCTTTCCAAGAGGAGCCATGACCCACTATTGCAGCAGACCTTCATGGGCACGTCTGAAGGGTCGTGGAGCCCAGCCCATTTCTGTATGCTTTGGCTGAGTTCCAGAAAGGGCTCTTGGGCCTTGAGGACACAATGGCCTCTGATACAGGGCAGGACACTCTCCATGATGTGCCTTGCTTGCTTTTCTTTTGCTTTCTCCCCTCAAGCTTTGGGGCATAATGTCTCTGCTAGGGAGGTGGACAGAGGTGGCTCCGCCCTGCCTCCTCCAGCCTTGCTGCAACTCTCCCAGCCCAAGCATGGGCCAGCAGCAGCCATGGAGGTGAGGTGAGGCCTTAGAACCCCACTGCCCTCAGGGCCTGACTGACATTTCATTCTCCTCCTCAGGCCAACCTCTACCCCACCGTAGGCCTGCAGACACCTGGGGAGATTGTGGACGCCAACTTTGGGCAGCAGCCCTTCCTGTTTGACATTGAGGACTACATGCGGGAGTGGCGTGCCAAGGTCCAGGGCACGGTCCACTGCTTCCCCATCAGTGCCCGGCTTGGCGAGTGGCAGGCAGTGCTGCAGAAGTGAGTGCCCTGCTCCTGCCCTTACCCACTCCCACCCCACCCCAGCCCACTTCACTCTAGGCCCCTGTAGGGCTACAAGCTGTTCTTACAAATTCCAGCGGGTGGATCCTTTCTGGGAAGCATTCCCAGGGCCATTCAGCCTGCAGCTCTCCTGCTTCTCTGTCGTCGGATGGACAGCTCCCACCGAGTTCTCCGGGCTGCTCCTAATTAAACCTTTGCCTCTCAGCCATATTGGAGGCTCCTGTATATAAGATCACCAGCAGGGCTGTTTTCCTTCCCCAGGTCATTTTGCAGAGGATTTTGCAGAGGATGCCCTGTGGTCTCTTCCTCTGTGGACCCTTTTTCTACCATAGGGAGTATCCATGGTGCTGTGACTCTGGCCTGAGGCCACCTCACAGGGCCCAGCATCCAACTGAGTCTCATTCGTCTATAGCGGTGGTGGAGGGAAGGGAGTTCTCCCTAGGACCAGCTGAGCTAGCTCCTTGGCTGATTAATTCCCAGACTGTCCTGGAAGCCAGTGTCGCTGAACTCCCAAGGGAGGCCAGCTTTGGGTTTCTCTTCCACTTGCCATCTGCAAGCCTGAGTGAGGCAGTGACCAGTATCCACTCTGCCAGGAGGTGGGTGTTAGCTTGGCTCTCAAGGATGGGCAGATGGGCATGGGGAAGGGCTGGGCTTCCACTGCCTGTGGTCATTGCCCTGCAAAGGCACCAGGGTGCTAGGATTCCTGGGGTGGGGTTGGGGTACACACTGAGTTCTTTGTGCAGCCTTTGTCCCTTGAGGCAGGCCCCAAGGATGGGCTGAGGCAGGGGCTAGGTGGCCAGACCTTCCCCAGGAAAAACAGCATTGCTGCCTCTTGTTCACAGCCCCCCAGAGCAGATGACAAGGACTTCCTTGGATGGCCAGGACAGCGCCACTCCCAGAGCAGGCTTGGTGGGATTGCCAAGAAGAGGGGTGAAGATGCCAAGTCTGTGTAGGGGAGGAACTGATACTCTCAGTTTTCAGGGCCTAGGCTCAGCACATGGATGTGTTTTTGTTTTGGGGTTTTTAAAAAAATACTGAGATGGGGTCGCACTTTGTTGCCCAGGTTGGACTCCTGGGCTCAAGTGATCCTCCCACCTCAGCCTCCTGAGTAGCTGGCATCACAGGCATGTGCTACCATGTCCAGCATAGCACATAGGTGTTTTTGTTTACATGTGTGTATCCATGTGCTTGTATGTGTTCATATGTAGCATTTGCCAAGACCTGCATATAATTTGTGTACTGTGGTTTTACATAACTTCATTTAATGAATATTGATAATGGCTATGTTATCACAGAGACAAATTTGTCACAAGCCTTTTGGCTGGCTTCCTCTAGTGGAAGGTCAGGTAATTCCTTCTCTTTTACTTGTGTAGGTAACCCTCTTGTAGATAAAGACTTTTTCATATTTACCCTTGTGTTTATAATAATAATATGGTGTAATAATAATAATTATACTTACTTTACTTTTTTCTGAGTCAGGAGTTTACTCTATTGCCCAGGCGGAGTGCAGTGACACAGTCATGGCTCACTGCAGCATGGACCTCCTGAGCTCAAGCAATTCTTCTACCTCAGTCTCCTGAGTAGCTGGGACTGTAGGCATGCACCACCACACCTGGCTAATTTTTTGTATTTTTTGTGGGGACAGGGTTTCGCCATGTTGCCCAGGTTGGTCTCAAACTTCTGGGCTCAAGTGATTTTCCTGCCTCGGCCTCCCAAAGTGTTGAGATTACAGGCATGAGCCACCACACGCAGCCAATAATTTTTTTTTTTTTTTTTTTTTTTTGAGATGGAGTCTCGCTTTGTCGCCCAGGCTGTAGTGCAGTGGCGCAATCTCGGCTCACTGCAAGCTCCGCCTCCTGGGTTCAAGCCATTCTCCTGCCTCAGCCTCCTGAGTAGCTGGGACTACAGGTGCCCGCCACTACGCCCGGGCGTAATTTTTTTTTGTATTTTTTTAGTAGAGATGGCATTCCACCGCATTAGCCAGGATGGTCTTGATCTCCTGACCTTGTGATCCGCCCGCCTCAGCCTCCCAAAGTGCTGGGATTACAGGCATGAGCCACCACGCCTGGCCATATTTTTAAAGTAGAGATGAGATCTTGCAATGTTGGCCAGGCTGGTCTTGAACTCCTGGCCTCAAGTGATCCTCCCGCCTTGTCCTCCCAAAGTTCTGGGATGACAGTCATGAGCCATCACGCCCAGCTGATAATTATTATTTATACTATAATATTATGTAATATATCATTTCATAATAAGAAGTCTTATTTATGGACTTCTTCCTGCCAGGTACTTTATGTGTATTATCTCATTTACCCCTTAAAGCTTGAGGGAACACACACCCAAACTTCTGTGCCTTCCACCTGACAACCCTTCAGACATTTGTGTTTAGAGTTACAGTAATGACATCAGACACATGTACACACCAAGGTATTCACTCCTGTACACATCAGATTTGAGGGTTCAGCCTCTGCTTTATATGTGTACACACATGTGCCACTGTTCAGCCAGCTTCTGCTGGGGTTAAATGGCTACAGGGAGTCAGACTTCTCCAGACCATTTCCCAATGACTGTGTTCCCATTGGCCCTGCTGCTGCCTATCTCTGCCTGGCAAAATCAGCCTGATTGCTTGGCTTCTTGGGCCCCTGATTTGTGGTGTATCATGGTGTAACTCTGGGTTGTGAGTTAGCTTCCCATCACTCACTCACTAGAGCTGGAACTGCTGAGGGCAGGTTCACCTGGAGGGCTGAAATGCTTCTCTCAGGTACATGGCACAGCCTGCAGAGGGGCTCCTGTGTCTGTAGAAGGTGTGCATGTGGCATGCATCCTGTCTGGAAATCTGCCAGATTACCTGGCTAGCTGCAGTTTCGGGAAGCTATCAGTGAGACTATTGGCCTCTTAGGCTTGCTGCATTTCCCAAAGAGGCAGCCACCTGTGAGGAGTGTGCCTGTGTGTGTACTTCTGTTATCATACTCGCTTACTTGTGGGCAGCATGTCTCAGATAAACTGCAGCCACTCCTCTGAACTGTGGGCACAGATGTGGTGACCAGCCCCTCCGAAGCCTGACTTCATGACCGTGGGGCACCATGGGGGAAGTTTTCATTTTGTTTCAGCCCCTTTATTCTCATTCTGTGGAGGTTACACCTCCAGGACGTGTTTAGGGAGACCTCTGGGGGAGGTAATCTGTCCTGAGTCCATTGGGTAGTCAGTGAGAAGTGCAGTTCTTGAGTGTCACCTGAAGCTCTTCCTTTCTTCTAGCATGGTTTCATCTTACCTCGTGCATCATGGGTATTGTGCCACAGCCACGGCTTTTGCTCGAATGACTGAAACCCCGATTCAGGAAGAACAGGCGTCCATAAAGAACAGACAAAGTAAGGTTTATTCTACTTTCCCCTTTCCCTTCCTCACCTGTCCCTAACTCTGCTCTCTGGCTCATGTCAACCCTGGTTAACCTGTCAGGAGTCCATTCAGCTCTGGTCCTCATGACCAGCTTGCAGCTCGAGGCCATGTTCCTGTCCCACCTTCAAGATGGCACTGCCCAGATGGACAGTTGGCAGGATGGAGACGTCTCAGGGCAGCCTCCCTAATGCACATTCTGAAGGCTGGGCGCAGGCCAGGCCCTGGCATGGCTGGTTCCATTCCTCCATTTCCTCCCTGCTTGTTTCCTTCCCCCTGAATCCTGGATTCCTCTCAACCTCCTGTTCATGGTCTTCCAGGAAGGCTGTTTGCCTGCCTTAGTAGTTCTGCTTATTCCTAGCCAGAGAGGGGACTGAAGTGGTCAGATAGGGCAAAGCCAGTGCTCAATGGCTGCTGTGGGGGCACTACCCTCTGCTCCCCACCACTGGTCCTGCCCTTTGCAGACAACCTAAAGTCCTCCCTTGGCCAGAGCTCTCCCAGTGTTGATGCTGGCCTGGATGCTGTGTGTCTGGAGGCTCTTTCACGGAAGGAGGGGTGTTGGAAAAGAGGAAAAGGAGCCCAGTGAGGAGCTAGAAGGAGAAAAGGAGAATGAGGGCAAGTGGGTGTGGATATGCGTGTCTGTGAGTGCCTGCCTACCCCTCTCCAAGCCTGCTGTCTCTTCTGTATGTGCACGTGTCTGTCTCCCAGAGAAGCTGTGCTCAGCCAGACAGACGGAAAGGGATCCCAGACTTGGGATCTATGAATGAGAGCCTCAGACTCTGAAGTTGCTCCCAGCGAGATGCACCAGGCCCCACGGCAAGAGCGAAAAGGCAGCAGCAAGATGCTGATGGCGTGAGAGGTGTCAACATCAGAGGTGCCAGCATGAGGAGGATGGCCTCCTCTCCCAGCAGGGGGCATGCTGCAGCCCCTGAAGACCACCAGCCAGAGCCCTGGTCAGAAACCAGTGTGATTCCATTGCCATTCCCCTGTGAGGCCTGGAAGGAGAGGAGTCTGTCTGAAGAGGAGCCACTCAGGCCGCCAAGCTGCCTGGGTGCCCATCCCCAGATCATGTTGCCCCAGCTGGGGCCCTACCCTGCCCCCAGGTCCCTGGCACCATGTGCCCCGCAGGAGCAGACCTCCACATTTACCCTCCTGCCTTTGGGCTGAGAGTCTCCCCTCCATCTTCCCCATATTCTTGAGGACTCTCTGACACTTGGCAGAAACCAGGATCTGTTGGGCTGGGCAGTCAGGTTCTTTCTCCAGCCTCCTCTCCTGTGAGCATTTCAAGCTGGCGAGGCACTCTGAGCCGGACCCTACCCTGAGGCTGGCAGCATCCCAGGTGTGTGGCTGTGGGAGAGGCCTGTAGCCCTCGCTCACTGCTGTGTTCTTGCACCCTGCAGAGATCCAGAAGCTGGTGCTGGAGGGCCGTGTGGGCGAGGCCATCGAGACCACCCAGCGCTTCTACCCAGGGCTGCTGGAGCACAACCCCAACCTCCTCTTCATGCTCAAGTAAGTCTTGGGCACCCCCAGCTCCCCCAGAGTCCAGCCCCTCTCAGCTGGTGGTGGGAACGTCAACCTGGACCACAACCAGAGCATTATTGCTCCGCTCCCTCCACAGGTGCCGGCAGTTTGTGGAGATGGTGAATGGGACGGACAGTGAGGTCCGAAGTTTGAGCTCCCGAAGCCCCAAGTCCCAGGACAGCTACCCTGGCTCCCCCAGCCTCAGTCCCCGACATGGCCCCAGTAGTTCCCACATGCACAACACAGGTCAGCCACTCTCCAGAGGGCTCTGGGAAGAACTGGTGTGGAGGAGAGAGGCCACTCCACATACCCTTTCCTGGGCTGGGCTCAGGGCTCACTGCTGGATTTGGGAGAAGGGAAATGGGACCACTGTGGTTGTTCTTGGGGCTTCATTTCATGGGAAGCTGCCCCTCCTCTTCTGACTGTCACCCTGGCTTCTAGGAGCAGACAGTCCCAGCTGTAGCAATGGCGTCGCGTCCACCAAGAGCAAACAGAACCACAGTAAATACCCTGCACCCAGCTCCTCATCCTCGTCCTCCTCCTCCTCCTCGTCCTCTTCCCCATCCTCCGTCAATTACTCCGAGTCCAACTCAACAGACTCCACCAAGTCCCAGCACCACAGCAGTACCAGTAACCAGGAGACCAGGTGCCTGCCTTGCTCTGCTTCCTCCTCTGCCTTCTGCCTTATGCCAGCTGGGCCCATTGCAGTCTGTCCTTTGAGCGCCCTGCCCTTCACCCCCAGCCTCCATCTCAGGTCTGTGCCTGGAGTCCTAATTTTTGGCCCACCGGGCCAGACATCAGCTCTGGCTTCTGGCCCTCCCCACGATTTAGCTGCACTTTCTTTGGCCTTGGCTTTCTCCAGAGGCTCCAATGATGCCAGGCTGAGGATGTGGTCTCCTCCAAAGAGGCCGGGCCTGTGAGAACCCTCAGGGTCCATCATGAGGGAGCTTTCCCTGGCTCTGGCTTGTAGACAGCCAGGTTGGGCAGGCAGGGGAAGCTAAGCCGCAGGCTAGAGCTCTAGGTGGCTCTCAGCATCCCCAGGTACACCTCAAGGCTGACCTGAGTTTGGCTTCCAACCAAGGCCACAGAGCTGCCCATGGGGGCCATGGGGCCCAGTCATTAGGTTGGGGGATATGTAGAAGAGGTGTGTGAACTCAGAGGAGGGCCAGGGAGGGGAGAATCACAGAGGCAGCACTGGGGCAAGGGTGGGAATCAGGTGACAGGCCTCTGAGGATAGCTGGTGTCACAGTAGGGGCCAAGTGCTGAAGACTTGGAAGCCTGAGCTGTCCTTTCATGTTCCTGGGGGTCCTCGGTTCACCCACAGCAACCCATGGCTACAGCTTGAAAGGAGGCCCAACCAGGCTGCTCCAACCACACCCCCTGGGCCAACTCCCACCTCAACCCCTCCCCACAGCGACAGTGAGATGGAGATGGAGGCAGAGCACTACCCCAACGGTGTGCTAGGAAGCATGTCCACACGCATTGTTAATGGTGCCTACAAGCATGAGGACCTGCAGACGGATGAGTCCAGCATGGGTGAGAGCCACGGCCCGGTGTGCTATTCTTTGAGGGCAGTGTGCAGTCTGGGTGCCCTCTTCCCCTGGGAGGGGCTGGGGTAGGCAGGCTTTGGCATCTTGAGAAGCTTCAGCCAGACCTGGTCCACAGCCTCCTTAGCCGATTGTGAATGGGTCCTTGAGGTGGCTCCAAATGTACGAAGGCCCTGGCCTGTGCCAAGACCACCTATGTTTGAGGCTGGAGGGTGTTCGAGAGCATGGGCACCCTAATGAGCACCCTGCGTCTGTGCAGGCTGGGAAGAGGGACAACTTCCAAGTCCTCCCTAAATCCTAGACTGTGCGCCAGGTGAATGAAGAGAAGAACGCCTTGACTGTAGCTGCCTCACCTGTTCCTCCCAGCCCTGCCTGCCTCTGGCAGAAGCTGCAGCCCACCCGGGGTCCTTCCTGCCCCACCCTAGTCCTGCCCTTCCCTCTTCACCCCTCCTAACACGTTCTCCACTGGGTTCTGGATGCAGATGACAGGCATCCTCGGCGGCAGCTCTGCGGGGGCAACCAGGCTGCCACAGAAAGGATCATTCTGTTTGGCCGCGAGTTGCAGGCATTGAGTGAGCAGTTGGGCCGGGAGTACGGCAAGAATTTGGCCCACACAGAGATGCTGCAGGTACAGGATGAGCCGGGCCTCATGCAGAGCAGGCCCCATTTGGTGTTGGGGGCAGGGTGGCTCTGGGAGAGTCCAGGGGGCAGCAGGAAAGAGTGGGCTCCAGCCAGGTCTGCAGAGGGAAGTGGGGCATCTGGGCCCACTGGACATGTGCCCTCCACACCTAGGCTCTGGGGAGAGTACAGCCCTGCCCGACCCTACACCCCACATTCCAGGCTGGGCATCATGCAGGGCCCTGTCTCCCTCTGGAGCCACGGGTAGCAGGGTGAGCTATGGTGTGTGCCACAGTCCTCTCAAGAATGCCCTGTCCTGTAGGATGCCTTCAGCCTGCTGGCATACTCAGACCCCTGGAGCTGCCCAGTTGGCCAGCAGCTTGACCCCATCCAGAGGGAACCTGTGTGTGCTGCCCTCAACAGCGCCATTTTAGGTGAGTGAATCTATTTATTATTATTATTAGAGACAGAGTCTGCTCTGTAGCCCAAGCTGGAGTGCAGTGGCACAATCTTGGCTCACAGCAATCTCCACCTCTGCCTCCTGGGTTTAAGCAATTTTCGTGCCTCAGCCTCCTGAGTAGCTGGGACTAAGGTGCGTGCCACCACGCCTGGCTAGTTGTTGTATTTTTAGTAGAGACGGGTTTTGCCATGTTGGCCAGGTTGGTCTCGAACTCCTGGCCTCAGGTGATCTGCCCGCCTTAGCCTCCCAAAGTGCTGGGATTACAGGTGTGAGCCACCATGCCTGGCCTAGGTGAGTGGATCTAACAAAAACAGAAGCTAGCCCATAGCTACCTGGGTGGTTCCCAACCCCCACCCCAATTGGCCCCAGAAAGAGCTGATGTTTATCCACACTGGGGCAGCAAGCTCTGTACAGGCCCTCTCTGGTGACTCATAGGACTCCTGGGCTCCCATGGTTGAACCTAAACCTTGACCTCTGTCTGCCCAGCTGAGTTCATGATGGGTCCTAGGCCATGGCAGTAGGCCCAGGCCAGCCCAGCGCTCTACATGGGGCTAAGGTCCTCAGGTTCCTGGCATGACTTCAGGGCCATGGCCTGGTGGCTGGGACACACTTACACAGAGGTACTGAACACTCTGTTCCAAGAGAATCTGTCCACTGCCCCCTCCTTCCACCCCCAAGGGAACTTTGACCTGGGCCCAAGCCCTGGGCAGGCCAGTGACCAGGCCTTGTCTTTCCTCCACAGAGTCCCAGAACCTGCCAAAGCAGCCCCCTCTGATGCTCGCCCTGGGCCAGGCATCTGAGTGTCTCCGGCTCATGGCCCGAGCAGGCCTGGGTTCTTGCTCCTTTGCCAGAGTTGATGACTACTTGCACTAGCTGACTGTGCTGGCTGGCTCTGGCTGGCCCTCCACTGGCCCCAGGGCTGGAGCTGCCCTGCCCTCCATAGGCAACTGGTGCAGGGACTGGGAAACCATAGACAGAGTCCACTCCTCCTGCCTGGCCTTTCCCCCTCTCCCTTTCCTTCCTTCCTTCCTTTCTCTGCCCACCACCCCGCTCAGTCTCTCTCTCTCTCCCCTTCACGTGCAGCGGCCTGTAACACAGTATTGGCTGGTTACTCTCATGTAGCGCCTTCTATTTTGAAAGGGGGGTTTTGTTTTGAGGAGGGGTTGGGGTTTTTAAATTTTTTTCTCCTGACTGAGCCACCAGTATTTATCTCTGGAGAGTTTGTGCTGAGCTGGTTTCTGCTAATTTAGTGATGAAGCCTATCCAAGTTGGTGATAGCTTATTATTTTCATAAGTAAAAAACAAATGAGATTATATATATATATATAAAAATATATATATTAAAAAAAAAGACAGTATTTATCGTAGCATTAGTGGTCCAGCACCTCTTGGGTGAGGCTGTCCAGGCACCATGTTTTCTTTGAGTCCAACTCATTAAAAAAGAAGAATCTCTGTCACCTCAGCCAAGTGATTTATTTTTTGCTCCCCCTTTTTTGAGTCACAGGCCGAGCTGCAGCCTAGGAAACCCAAATAGGGTTTGGTGGGCCACTTAGTGGGCATGGTTACATTGGTTTATAGCATCCCAAGAACTGTAGATCCCTAGGCCCCTGAGAGCTGGACAGAGCAGAGAACTACAGGGCCAAGGGTCCAGAGAAGTGATAACTTGGCCCAGGGCCACACAGCAGAGGTAGAGGGTCCTTGGCCAGCACACTATCTACCACTCTACCCCACCTCCCACTGCCTGCCTTGCTCCCCTTTCCTCCCTTTTCAATACCCTATCTTCCCTTGTTGTTAAGATGGCCAAATAATACATTTACTCTAAATTGATTGCCTGGAAACTACCTGCCTTCGTCCTGAGAGCTTCTGTGTGTCAGGCTGCTGGAAAGAAGACTCCATTCCCAGGACAGAGGCCCTTGAGTACAGGGGCTGCTTTCTTCCTGCCTAGATCTTCACCATCTCTGCACAGCTCTGAGAGAATGGATGCTTTCTGTTGAGAAACCAGTACCTTGTGGAGGCAGGTTCTTGGGCTGCTACTCCAGGGAGTGGATGGAATCCTTGGTCCCCTAGGCCAGACTTCACTGCCACTGTGCCAGACAGCTCCCTGCAGCTGGGCCCTAGCCACTCTTAGGAAAGACTATTGGGAGTATTTGCTGGCCAGAGAATGGGACTCTATCAGCTTTACACATGTCCCACCAGCTGTTTCAGATAGATCCTTACAGCTGGCAGAGTAAAAGTGGTCCCGCTACCATTGGGGAATCAGGAAAGGAAAGACTGAGATGGTTGCCAGGACTTGGGGTGGCCCACCTGTGGAGAGGACTGGCTGCCCTGGAGGAGGAAAGGGAGGAAGTCTACACAGAGGAGCACCAGGACGGCTGGAATTTCCATATGTGCTTCACATTGTGAGGGGAGTGCACAAGCCGCCCATGCAAAGAGTAGGGTCAGCCATGGCAAGGCCGGAAGTTGAACTTTCAGTCCCTGCCTGAATCTGGGCTTTGCAAGCTCCTGCTCCATATTGGTGGACATGGGAATGGTTGGTGTGGCCTGAGATACCCATTGCTCACCAGGCCTCACTGGGCCCACAGCTGGGCAACAAGAAAAATGTTTGAATTGGACCAACTGCTGGTGATGGGGCCAGG
This sequence comes from Homo sapiens, assembly GCF_000001405.40. Classification (NCBI taxonomy): domain Eukaryota; kingdom Metazoa; phylum Chordata; class Mammalia; order Primates; family Hominidae; genus Homo; species Homo sapiens. The sequence continues at coordinate 67,724,664 of NC_000016.10, read as the reverse complement.
GCCCTGGGCCCTGTGCTGTCAGAATTCTGCCTTGGGAAATGATCCTATAGCTGCTGCTTTTTCTTGGTCCTTGGGGCTGGCAGACCCATAGACCATGGCCTGTTAGGAGGCGTCCTGTCTGTAAAGGAAATTCATCTCTTGTGACAGCCTGGGGCTACCTAGCTCCCAAACCCAGAAGTTGGAGACATCAGGCTGTTTAAATGATCATAGCCTAGCAGGATTGGATTAAAACCACAGGCTTTTGCAGCTGGAATGGGGTTCAGTGAACATCTCCCCCATTCCTCTCTTGCTACAAATAAGGAAACAGGCCCAGGAGATTAAGTGACTTGGCTAAAGTCACATAGCAAATTAGTAGCAGAGCCGGGACTATCCCTTATCCCTGTGGGTTGGGCAACACTATTTAGTCCTGAAACCGAATGGCAGATAAACCCCATGAGGGGTCAGGCTGATGTGCCCTCCAGCAGTATCTGAGAAGCTGCTACCTTCAGGGGTGTGTCAGGGATGAGGACGGGTGCCTGAGCTTAGGTTGTGGAGTGGCTGAGAGGGCCCAGGAGGGCTCGGGACAGCTGTGTGCTGCATGGGGTTGGGTGTCTGCCTGGCTCGCACTTGGTACCCATGGCCACCTCCCCATTTTCTGTGCCTTATCTCACTGTTTCAGCTGAGTCCAAGTTGTTTACTCTGTTCCTCTCCAGAGGGGCTCTCTGTCCCAGTTGGGCAGCTCACCTTTGGGACATAAGCCTTTGCCCCACAAGCTGTGGAGAGGGCCAAAACCAAGCTGCTTGAGCCCACTCTCTTGCTGAGAGTCCAGGCCTGCCTGCCTGCCAGCCAGAGGTGCCCCTTATGCACATCCAGTCCTACCAGCCTGCTTCCAGGAGCCTAGAGTGGGAAAGGCACCTGGGGGAGCCCTGGTGAAGGGCTGGACCTGACCCATGGAGGCAGGAGGAAGACCTGGCTTTCTTGGTTTGTCCGGCCCTGGGGAGCAGCCTTCCCTACTCACTTTCCCCTTGCGGCACCAAATGGTCACTCCTTCCAGAGCAAAAACTGGCACTCATAGCAAGCCAGAACCCCCATCCCCATCCTCATGGGTCTGTGGCTGGGTGCAGGCCATCAAAATGGACACCACGAGACAGAAGTGGGGACTGCCTGGCCACCTAGCGCCTTCCCACTCCTTAAGCAAGCACAAAGAAGATGAGGCAGAGAATTGTCAGAGCTGAAAGTTCCTTTGGTTGCTCACAACTCAGGTATGCACCCATGTGGCAGCCAGGCAGCGGAGCCCTACTAGACTGCCAGTCTCATGCACCCAGACCTGTGGCCAGATTGTGGCCTCTGGCTGCCTCAGGCATTTTCCTCTTTGCATTGGGTTTTCCTGCATTAGTAACTACAGCTGCAACAGACATCCTCCACATTGTGCACACTGGTTTTGCCTTTGTCCTCAAGAGTTGATACTTGGCATTAGCATGAAACTTGTGGGTGTGGGAGGATGGAGAGAGAACTCTAACACAAAACATCTTATTAAAATTGTACTTGAGAGACAAAAAAAAAACTCTGTTGTATTTTGACAGAATTATTTTTATTAAAATACACATCCATGAGCAGTCATGTGTGTCTGGTCTCTGTTTTGAGTCTTACTGAGGTTGGCACCCCTTCTGTGACACATCCTGTCCTAAAGGATTTGGGCCCTTCCCAGCCTCTCAAGTGCCCAGGCCCTCAGGTGCCTTCTTCAAGGACCTTTGAAACTGTGTATTTGTAAGACCCCAAAGAGGACAGGTACTTAAACCTCAGTTCTCTCTTGAAACGGCTTTCTTCTTATACAAGGAAAAAGTAGCAAATTCAACTAAAGAGCCTGGGCACAGTGGCTCACGCCTATAATCTCAGCACGTTGGGAGGCTGAGGCAGGTGGATCCCTTGAGCTCAGGAGTTCGAGAACAGCCTGGGCAACATGGCAAAACCCCATCTCTACAAAAAATACAAAAATTAGCTGGGCATGGGGGCGCATTCCTGTGGTCCCAGCTATTCAGGAGGCTGAGGTGGGAGGATCACTCGAGCCCAGGAGGTCAAGGCTGCAGTGAGTTGAGATCATACCACTGCACTCCGGTCTGGGTGACAGAGTGAGACCCTGTCTCAAAAAAAAAAAAAAAAAAAATTCAACTAAATAAAGGTGGGCCACAGGAACTTTTCCCCACAAAAATAAGGTATTAAGAATACATTTCAGAGCCAGGTGCAGTGGCTCACCCTGTAATCCCAGCACTTTGGGAGGCCAAGGCAGGCAGATCACCTGAGGTCAGGAGTTTGAGACCAGCCTAGCCAACATGGTGAAACCCCGTCTCTACTAAAAGTACAAAAATTAGCCAGGCGTGGTGGCGGGCGCCTGTAATCCCAGCTACTAGGGAGGCTGAGGCAGGAGAATCGCTTGAACCTGGGAGGCAGAGATTTCAGTGAGCCAAGATCACACCATTGCACTCCAACCTGGGTGACGAGTGAAACTCCATCTCAAAAACAACAACAACAACAACAAAAACATTCCAGGGCCAGGTGCATTGGCTCACGCCTGTAATCCCAGCACTTTGGGAGGCCAAGGCAAGAGGATCGCTTGACCCCAGGAATTCGAGGCCAATCTGGGCAACATAGACCCTGCCTCTACAAAAAATAGAAAAAATTAGCTGGACATGTTGGTGTCTGCCTGTGGTTCCAGCTTCTCAGGAGGCTGAGGCTGGAGGATTGCTTGAGCCTGGGTGGTTGAGGTTGCAGTGAGCCATGATTGCGCCACTGCACTCCAGCCTGGATGACAGAGCAAGGCCCTGCCTAAAAAAATAAAAAATAAAATTCCAAATATGCTCGCCTCAAATACTGCACAGTCAGAAAGTTTTCTGGGGGTACCTCTTTTGAGAGTTTGTTTTTGGGTTTTTTTTTTTTTTTTTTTTTTTTGAGACAAAGTCTTGCTCTCTCTCCCAGGCTGGAGTGCAGTAGCATGATTATGGCTCACTGCTACCTCAACCTCCCAGGCTCAAGTGATCCTCCCACCTCAGCCTCCCAAGTTGCTAAAACTACAGGTATGTGTCACCATGCCTGGCTAAGTTTTGTATATTTTATAGAGAAGTTTCACCATGTTGGCCAGGCTGGTCTCGAACTCCTGGTCTCAAGCAATCCTCCTGCCTTGGCCTCCCAAAGTACTAGGATTACAGGCGTGAGCCACGGCACCCAGCCTGACGGGTATTGAAATTAGCTTCCTGTCTCTTGCCTGAGGAGCAAGAGCTTGTTTCAAAATCCTCGCACCGTTTACTGTGTTAACATGGAAAGTTAACCTCTTTCTCCGAGACTGTTTCCCCATCCTTAAAACATGGTAAATCCTTCTGCCCCGTGGAGGTAGAGGATTATGGCAGATATACAGCAGTGTTTGGCACACAGGGATACACACAGTACACATGAGCATCCTTCCTCCATGAGGATGCCCAGTGGTGTGACTGGCCCACTCCTGCCTGCCCTGTCCCCGAGGCACCAGGGTTTTATGCAGAGGAGGGATACGGTAGATCATGCTGGTGTCCACCTGAAGGTGGTACTGGAGACAAATTGGAGCAAAAGAACCCAGGTAGGAGGCTGCAAAGAGGGCAGGTTTGAGAAAGATTTAGGAGAGAATTGGAGGTACAAGATGAATAACTGAATGTGAGGGAAATAGGAGAAGCAAGAGACAAGGCAAATGCAGACTTTGGTTGGGGGTGATGGGATGGATAATAGTACCACAAAATAACACAGAACAGAAGGGGGCAGGCAGTGGCTAAAAGTCACTGGAATTGGGAGGTTTGCCAGTAAATTAGGGGAGGTTTGCCAGTAAAAAAGTCACTGGAATTGGGAGGTGGTCCAGTAAATTAGGAAAACTGTCTTATGGATGTTCACAGTGATCGCCACCAGCTAATTAAAAGCTCAATCCTGTGTTAAAATGTGTTGCTTAACCCTGCACTTTCCAAACTTAAGTTACTACAGACTGTGTCACTCAGCAGAATCTTACAGGACTATTACTCTATAGAATGCTCTTAGGGAAGAGGTAGCATAAAGGGGAAAATATGGGTTTTAGATTAAGCATAAAGTCCTGGTTCTATATAAGTAAAGCCAGAGTAGGCTCATTTCCCCCTAGACTAGTGGTTCTCAACTGGGAATGATTTTGCTCCCAGGGAGACACTTGGCAATGTCTGGAGATATTTTTGGTAGTCACAACTGGGCTTGGGGTGCTACTGGCATCTACTGGGTAGAGCCAGGGATGCTGCCAAACATCCTACAATGCAGACAGCTCCCCCCACCCCTGCCCAACAAAGAATTATCAGGTCCAAAATGTCAATAGTGCCACTGTTGAGAAATCCTACTCAAGAAGAGTGGAACTCCGAACAATGACTAAGAAACAGATCAAACAGGCACATTTTGACTCTGCCTTCCTTCTGCCTGGCTCTAGAGGATCCAGGAGAGAAAGGATAAAATCCCATCAGAAGAGGGGGGGTTTAGGGGTTACAACTTCTCATCACTTTGGAAGCCTTCCATGCTCCTCACAGAGGTGGTAGGAGTCCTGTCTCCGCTCAAAGCAGGGATAGCTCTGCTGCTAGTTAGCATATCTCAGTAGGAACTGCCTCACGCTTAGGTCAGCTGACATATTCTGTCACCACAGGCTGCTCTGGAATGATGGCTGGGAGATCATCCTAATGCCAGCTGAGTGGGGATCTTGATACTCAGCAGGAGGGTCAGACAAGCAGGGACGGGGGCTCCCCATGCAGATACAAACCCCAATCACATTTCCTACACAGGCAGTTTTATTCTAAGGTCTAACGGCTTCCTTACTCTAGCGGATAGTTTGCTATTTGGTGGGGCATAGGCTTCAGTAAAGAGGCCAAGGGGACTGAGGTTACAGTCTTGAAGAGCACTGATATTTAAGGAACAATCAAAAAACATCCAGAGGAAGAGGAGCCCAGACAGGCACCTGAGAAAACGGAAAAACGAGTCACTGGGGGTCAGGGAGCCAGGAAGTCCGACGAGTTCGAGAGAACTGGCCTTCTGCAGATATGTCCTTGTCCAACACGAAACCGTCTTTCATTCCAGGACAACTGAGGCTACCCACAGCTACCAAAACCTGGTCCCTGACGCCGGTCAGCGGACCGGAGAGAAGCCAAGCTTAGGAAACTGCCGCCTCCGCCGCCGGAAATGAATAACCTGAGCCTCCTAGCCAGGCTGCTTAAGCTCCGCCCCCAAAAAGCGAGCATGCGCAGCTCCCGGCTACGGCCCCTCCCAGCGCAGGCCCATCCCCGTTATGGAGCATGCGCAGTCCTCCTGCCGTCCCGCCCCTCCCTTTCCAGAGCCCCCAGTTCCTTAGAAACCAGGCGGCGCGTTCCCGGTGGCGGCGCCCTGGACTCCCGGGCCCGCGCATCCCCGCCAGCCTTCCTTAAGGCGGATGGGTGGCCCCCGAGACCCCGTCGGACCCATGGTTTCCAGTGCAGCGCGGAGTGGGCGATGCCAGCGTGCCAGGTGAGAGGCGGCCACCGGTGGCGGGTGAGGGCGAAAGAGGGCATGGCGCGGCCGGGAGCGGGCGCCGACAGGGCCTTCTCCGCGGCCCGGCGCCGGAGGTTGGAGGCGTGGACCCGCAGAGCCGGGGTTGGAGGGGGCTTGTTCCAACTGCCTGCAGGCGCGTGGAGTGGAGGGTCGCCTTGGGATTCGCCCTTTCCACCGCAGAAATAGGACCCGCAGGCTTGGTGGTAGAATTATAGGATTTGGGATCCTGGAAGAACCTGAGACATAACCCATCCTTTTACCAGATGCAAAAACCTAGTCTCCCCCGCCCTGTGCCGAGCGGACCACCTGACTGTGTGAGGATGGACGCTTTGTGGATGAGGATGTGTGAGGTGTAGAAGCTCAGACAAAGGGCTCGTGGGGTAGCTGGTTCGTCCCCTTTCAGAATGAGATGGGACTTTTGGGGATAAATCTTTAAGAAACGGGTGTTCAGTTGACAGGTGGAAGAAGGGACACCCCAGAAGGTGCGAGTGGCTCTGCCAGCTCCCATGTGCCCTATGGCCACGTCTCAATGGCCCTGGCCTACCTTTGTATTTGTAGCTCTGGAAGGAAGCAGATGGACTTGAGACAAAAGGTGAAGTGAGGTCTTCCCATCAAGGCCCTATCACACTTAAAAGGTGAGGGAGGAAGAGTGGACAGGGACATGAGGGCTTGGGAATGGTTGTGTGAAGAGTTTACCCTCCAGACTACAGCACGATCTAAAGAACAAGGCAGGATAGAAGAGTTGAAAGCTGTATTGGATAGGCATCAGGGAAGCTTATTTAACTGTCTTATTTATGTTCATTGTTCCCATAATGTTATCCTGAGGGCAAGAAAGTGGATGTCCTTTTAAATGTCCAGAAAGAACTAGGGCAGGGCACCACCTTTGTGATCTGTGGGGCCCAAAAGCCTCTAAAGGAATAGCCCTTAGTGTGTGGCCCTTAAGTTGAAGGGAACAGCATTTAATTTAGAAAAGGAAGGCACTTAAATTTATTGTGATATGGAGCAATATAGAGAAGATGGTTGTTTTTGAGTCGGGGAAGCTAGATTCATTCTTGATAAGGAAACTTATTTCCTTCTGGAAAGCTACACTAGAGAACAAAAGAGTTTTAAGGCCATCCATTTTACAGGAAACGTGAAAAAATTAACTGCTTTGGGATTGGGAGTTTAGAGAACCTGCCTGGACCAAGAGAGGAAATTTTCAACAGACGGTTCTGTTGGTCGAATCCTTATTTCACAGATAAAGATTCTGTTGTGAGAGGTTATCTCTTACCACCTGGTTTTCCCACTTTGCCATGGAATAATCATTGGTCTGGGTCTAATTCTCTATCTATCTATCTATCTATCTATCGAGACGGAGTCTCACTCTGTCACCCAGACTGGAGTGCAGTGGTGCGATCTCGGCTCACTGCAATCTCCGCCTCCCAGGTTCAAGCGATTCTCTGGCCTCAACCTCCTGAGTAGCTGGGACTACAGGCATGTACCACCACGCCCAGCTAATTTTTGTATGTTTAGTAGAGAAGGGGTTTCACCATGTTGGCCAGGCTGGTCTTGAACTCCTGACCTCAGATGATCTGCCTGCCTTGGCCTCCCAAAGTGCTGGGATAACAGGTGTGAGCCACCACACCCAGCCCTCATTATTATTTTTATTTGCTAGGGCAATTGCTATCTGATTTCTATAGTAATACTAGAACACATTGGTAGTAGAACTAGCAATTTTTTAGAAAGCCTCCTCTGACCCAAAACTTAAAAATTAGAACTATGTGATTTTTAAAAGATGGTCCCTGATTCTAATCATCAAAGTCAGTTTGTCCCTAGCTTGATAAAAACTAATTTTCTATTTACATTTGACTTTGCAGCAGGTTTTTCCCCTTGCCCTTATAAGAAGATACATTGGAAGTATAATAATGTTAACAGGTGAAATCAGTTTAAAGAAGAAAGCTTTGGGCCGGGCGCAGTAGCTCATGCCTGTAATCCTAGCACTTTGAGAGACCAAGGTGGGTGGATCACCTGAGGTCAGGAGTTTGAGACCAGCCTCACCAACATAATGAAACCCCGTCTCTACTAAAAATACAAAATTATCGGGGCATGGTGGTGCACGCCTGTAATCCCAGCTACTTGGGAGGCTGAGGCAGGAGAATCGCTTGAACCTGGGAGGCAAAATTTGCAGTGAGTCGAGATCGCGCCATTGCACTCCAGCCTGGACAAGAGCTAAACTCTGTTTCAAAAAACAAAAAAAGAAGAAGAAAACTTTGTCTTGGCTTCATAATTCAGCATCATACCATAACTATGGGTATTGTGACTGTGCTTTTTACCAACTTTTCTTGCACCTGTGGGGTTATTTTGTATAAATACCTCAGGAGTTATAATGGGGCATTATCAAAAGCAAATGTAACCTCTGGGGAAAATCAGTACTGTTAACCAAATTCTGTCAGAAAGGCTTCATGAAAATCATTGTGTTCTGTGCAGAAACCTTCATTACTTTCACGTTGACCCAGAGGAAGGTAAGACAAGTAGGCCAAAATCAAGTCAAGGTAAAATGGAAGGGAGCAGTTGCCACCTGTGGAACTGGATGGACTGTGGGAGGGTGTTTTGAACGTGGGCACAAATACTTTGAATGAGCTTTTGGAGAGGGTACTGCTTAAATACGGCTGTGGTGTGACCTGTGGATTTGTGTGAGTTTTCTGAACTCCAATCAGAAAAACACTTGTTTTCAGAGAAAGGTAGACTTACAGAGGACTCTCAAAAGTCCTGGTTGCTATGACAGTGAAACCTTTGACAAATAATTACTTAACTTCTATGCCATTTTCTGGAGCAGCTGAGGGCAGTTATCATATCTGGCCTGTAATAAAGTAATCAACAGTGTTTGACAGGCCAACCATGAGGAAACCCTACCAGATAAACCAGCAATGCTAATAGAAGCTACTTTCACTGAACTGATTTTCTAGTTTTCCCATAAGAGGAGAAATGGAATGGGGATGCAATGTCATCTGATGTTAGAAGTTGAAATGCAGAGGTCGGTGTTCAGAAAACACAGGATCAGAGAGACCACTAACTTAGAAATAGGAAAAGTGCCTTTCTGATGCCTGAAAAGTCACTCATGCATATTTATTTTTAAATGTTTATTCATTTTTGAGACAGGGTCTTGCTCTGTCACCAAGCCTGGAGTACAGTGGCGTGATCACAGCTCACTGCAGCCTCTGACTCCTGGGCTCAAGTGATCCTCCCACCTCAGCCTCCTGAGTAGCTGGGACCACAGGTGCATGCCACCATAGACAGCTAATAAAACAAGTTTTTTTTTTTTTTGTAGAGATGGGGGTCTCTATAACAGGGGGTCCAATTCTAGAACAAATCCACAATTGGAATTAGAGTACATCTAGGAAAGAATGGAATTGGAGATTTTGCTATTTTTGAGAACTTATATACAGTATAGTAATGGAACATTATCTTTCTTGCATTCAAAAGTAGTAGATTTATATTAGCAAACTTAAAAGCAAACTGAAATTTGGAGTCTAAAAGTCCTTATTACTTGAAAATTTAAATGGCAGGTGTTTTAAAAAGTGAGAATGAAAGACACTTGAAAAGCTTGGGTTCATGAAAGTTAGAATGGTAGGAGATACTGAGAAAAACATGAAAGCAGGAAGAATTCCCTACACTCTAACACCTCCTTATAAATTAGACATTGGGTTGGGAATGAGCTCACTGAAGTACCTTGTCTTCAAAGACAAAAAAAAATTTTCTCTCATGGTGATGTGAATAAACACTTAGAAAATATGGATTAGAGCCAGGCGCGGTGGCTCATGCCTGTAATCCCAGCACTCTGGGAGGCTGAGGCAGGTGGATCGCCTGAGGTCAGGAGTTGGAGACCAGCCTGGCCGACATAGTGAAACCCCGTCTGTACTAAAAATACAAAAAATTAGCTGGGTGTGATGGCGGGTCCCTGTAATCCTAGCTACTAGGGAGGCTGAGGCGGGAGAATTGCTTGAACTCGGGAGGCAGAGGTTGCAGTAAGCCAAGATCGTGCCATTGCACTCTAGCCTGGGCAACAAGAGCGAAAGTACGTCTCAAAAAAAAAAAGAAAGAAAATATGGATTAAACATTAAGAAGGAAGAATCGAATATTTCCATGTTACTTAGTACCCTTGAACCCTGTCCTTAAGCACTTGTTTGCTAGCTCCTGCTCTTAGAAAGGAATTGCAAGTAGTGTTTTTGTCCAAGGTACTGTCATTTCTCAAGGTAGCCAGTGATAAAATGTATATACTCTTTGGGACCCTGGATAGTCCTGAAATTCGTGGGAACATAGCTCACTCTCTCTGCCACCTTTCTAAGTCATTCCCAAGAGCTTCTGTAAAGATTTCTATCAGTCCTCTATAATCAAGGATTTGGAATGAAGACTGTGAAAAATGGGAACTGAGTACTTAGTGTGGTCTTCCTTTCTGGCCTGGGATAACTGTGCTACTCTCAAATTGTCAGCTCTCAATTTCTCATGAGAATAGATAACCCCAAAATAGAACCCAAAACACTTCTACTTGGCTTTGAGATTTTACTGTATCACTTTATAACCTCAAAATCTTTATTATTTACTTTCATAATTGTATTTTACTTAGGATGATAACCTTAGGCAAATCGTGTAATTTCTGGATCGTAATTTTTTTTTTTTTTTTTTTTTGAGACAGTGTTTCTATCTCCCAGGCTGGAGTGTAGTGGCACAATCCCGGCTCACTGCAATGTCCACTTCTGGGTTCAAGCGATTCTTGTGCCTCAGCCTCCCGAGTAGCTGGGATTACAGGTGTGCGCCTTCATGCCTGGCTAATTTTTGTATTTTTAGTAGAGATGGGGTTTCGTCATGTTGGCCAGGCTGGTCTTGAACTCCTGGCCTCAGTGATCGGCTCACCTCAGCCTCCCAAAGTGCTGGGATTACAGTTGGGAGTGACCCTGCCTGGCCTCTGGACCATAATTTCTTAACCTGTATAACAGGAAGCAAAATGAAAATGTCATAAATGTGTAACACTAGAGAATGAAAAGCTAGTTCATACGGTCAGTGGCTGTGATATTGTGAAATACATATTTGGTCTTCTGTCTCTGTTTCCTGGCATGCAATTTCAATAGGTTGGTGCAAAAGCAATTGCAGATTTTGCCGCAAAGTAATGGCAAAAACCGCAGTTGCTTTTGCACCAACCAAATCCCTGGAATCTCCTGAGTGATGGTTTTTTGTATGCTAATGAGTTAACTGGTGGCTGGCAGCTCCTGGGTAGTTTCAGGCTGGGGACTGGTCATAGGAAACATCAAAGCATGATTAGAGGGTTGTGACTTTCAGCCCCACTCTGCAACCTCTGGGGAGGAGAGTGGGACTGAAGGTTAAGTTGATCGTCAATGGCCAGTGGTTTAATCAATCATGCCTAGTTAATGAAGCCTCCATAAACACAGGGAGGGCATGAAAGCTCCAAGCCCCTTCCCCCATACCTTGCCCTATGCACCTTCTTCATCTCTATCCTTTGTAATATTCTTTATAATAAACCAGTAAATATAAGTAAGTGTTTCCCAGAGTTCTGTGAGCTGCTCTAGCAAATTAGTTGATCTGAAGGAGGGAGTCATAGGATCTCCAGTCTGTAGCCCATCAGGCAGAGGCACAGTTGAAACAACCTGGGGCTTTTGATGGCATTGGAAGTCGGGAAGGGGAAGTCTGTGGGACTGAGCCCTCTACCTGGGGGATCTGATGCGATTCTCCAGGTAGATATCGTCAGAATTGAATTGAAGGACACCAGCAGGTGTTGACTGCAGAATTGCTTGCTTGCTTGGTGTGTGGGGAGAAACCCCCACACATTTGGTCTTCTGTGTTGATTATTGTGGTGTGAAAGCAGAGGAAAAACAATTTGAATTTGTCTTTCCACTTTCACAATGACATACCTGTTATGTAACCCATAAAACTATTTATGATAACATGAAAGATGCTTATGTCTGGCCAGTGTGGCGGCTCACGCCTGTAATCCCAGTACTTTCGGAGGCCGAGGTGGGCGGATCACTTGAGGCCAGGAGTTCAAGACCAGCCTGACCAAGATGGCGAAACCCTGTCTCTATAAAAAATAAAAAAAATTAGCTGGGTGTGGTGGTGCATGCCTGTAGTCCCAGCTACTCAGGAGGCTGAGGCAGGAAAATCACTTGAACTTGAGCGCCCAGCAGAGGCGCTCCTCACATCCCAGACAGGGCGGCGGGGCAGAGGTGCTCCCCACATCTCAGACGATGGGCGGCCGGGCAGAGACGCTCCTCACTTCCTAGATGGGATGGCGGCGGGGAAGAGGCGCTCCTCGCTTCCCAGATGGGATGGCGGCCGGGCAGAGACGCTCCTCACTTTCCAGACTGGGCAGCCAGGCAGAGGGGCTCCTCACATCCCAGACGATGGGTGGCCAAGCAGAGACGCTCCTCACTTCCCAGACGGGGTGGCGGCCGGGCAGAGGCTGCAATCTCGGCTCTCCGGGAGGCCAAGGCAGGCGGCTGGGAGGTGGTTGCAGCGAGCCGAGATCACGCCACTGCACTCCAGCCTGGGCACCATTGAGCACTGAGTGAACGAGACTCCATCTGCAATCCCGGCACCTCGGGAGGCCGAGGCTGGCGGATCACTCGCGGCTAGGAGCTGGAGACCAGCCCGGCCAACACAGCGAAACCCCGTCTCCACCAAAAAAAAAACGAAAACCAGTCAGGCGTGGCGGTGCGCGCCTGCAATCGCAGGCACTCGGCAGGCTGAGGCAGGAGAATCAGGCAGGGAGGTTGCAGTGAGCCGAGATGGCAGCAGTACCGTCCAGCCTTGGCTCGGCATCAGAGGGAGACCGTGGAGGGAGAGGGAGAGGGGGAGGGGGAGGGGGAGGGGGAGAGGGAGAGGGAGAGGGAGCTCTTTATTACATTTTTAAACATTGCAAGAGCCTACTGATGGTTTTGGTGAGCTCAGTATATATGGTTTTCTATAGTATGGTTTTGATGGGCTCAGTATATATGTCTTAGTTTATTGACTGTGCAGGAACTAGGTCTGAAATCTTTCATTCTTTCAGCAAATATTTAGCACCAACTACATGTCAGACCTTGTTTTAGGCACTAGGGATATAGCAATGAACAAAACAGACAAAAAATTTGTTGTCTTCAAGGAGGATACATTCTAGCAGGGATGGTGGGGAGAGACAAACAATGGAAGAATACACCTGTTTCTGAAAAGCCAACATGGAAGTAGAGACCTGAAGGAAACGTGAGAGAGAGAGAGAAAGCCACGTGGATGTCTGCACAATAGAGGTTCTTGGATGCAGGGTATATTTTGAAGGTAGAGAGCCAGCAAGACTTGTTAATGGATCAGATGTGAAGTGTGAGAGAAAAAGAAGACTCAAGGATAACTCCAAGGTTTTAACTTGAGCATTTGAAAAGTTTGTGTTACCAGTTTCTGAGATGAAGGCATTGTGGGAAGAGTATGTTTGGTGGGGAGAAACATCAGGAGTTTAGTTCTGGACATTTTAAGTGTGAGATGCCTATTAAACATCCAAGTAGAGATGTTAATAGGCGGTTGTTTGCACCCGTCTGGAGCTTAAAGAGGACCTGGCTGATAACTTTGGGAGTCATCAGGGAATAGATAACATTTAAAAGCCATGACACTGAATGGAACCACCAAGGGAGTGAGTATAGATAGAAAAGAGAAATAGACTGGGGACTGAGCCATGGTTACTACAGTCACCATCAGGAGAAATGAGCAGAAGGAACCGAGAAGTGGTCAGAGAGGTAAGAGGAAAATCAGAAGAAATTTGTGTTGTGGAAGTCGGGTGAAGAGTGTTTCAAGGAGGTTGGAACCTGCCATGTCAGATGCTGCTGATAGGTCAAAGTGGGATGAAGGTGAGAATTGACCACTGGATTTAATTGTATTTGACAAAGATGAGATAGCTGAAGCTTGGTTATTTGTAGTATGATTTACAACCAATAATCCAGGGTTTTCAGCCATGATGCCTGAACACAGAGCATCATGAGAGAGTTGCATAATTGCAGTTTGAAGTTCTGAACATTGTACTTTTCCTTCCTACCTCTTTTGGAGTCTTCATTCTGAAGAAATGCTTTTGGGTCTGGTTACTGCTCTGGGGAAGGGGAGTGTCTGTTAATCACAAATTGGGTTTTTAATGACATTGGGCTGCTGTGCCTTTTACTGCACAACCAATGTCAATGTTTGGGTTTTTTTCATGGTGATGAAGACTTTATTCAGGACCATGGCGGCAGGTATAGGTACCTCTGCAATGAGTCTTGCAGTTGGGGAGAGAGACTGAGCTCAACTCTGAATAGAGCACAGCAAGTGGGGATTGATAGTCAAGGAGCAGGGTAGGGGTCAGTGGATAGAAAATGACTCACAATGTCAGTGTTTTTATCGTAATTGAGCCTCAGAGTGTGAAACCTTTCTCACGTGGAACTCAAAGTGCATTATAAATCTGTCATTGAACACTTTTAAAAATAAGGCTAACTGGCCGGGCGCGGTGGCTTATGCCTGTAATCCCAGCACTTTGGGAGGCTGAGGTGGGTGGATCACGAGGTCAGGAGATCGAGACCATCCTGGCTAACACGGTGAAACCCCGTCTCTACTAAAAAACAAAAAATTAGCCGGGCATGGTAGCAGGCGCCTGTAGTCCAGCTACTCGGGAGGCTGAGGCAGGAGAATGGCGTGAACCCGGGAGGCGGAGCTTGCGGTGAGCTGAGATCGCACCACTGCACTTCTCCACTTCGTCTCAAAAAACAAAGGCTAACTTTGGGAGGCCAAGGCGGGCAGATCACTTGAGGTGAGGAGTTTGAGACCAGCCCGGCCAACATGGTGAAACCCGGTTTCTACTAAAAATACAGGGCTGGCGTGGTGGCTCATGCCTATAATCCCAGCACTTTGGGAGGCCTAGGCAGGAGGATCATTTGAGCCCAGGAGTTCGAGGCTACAGTAAGCTATGATCGCCCCACTGCACTCCGGCCTGACCAACAGAGCAAGACCCTGTCTCTAAAAAAATAATAAATAAAAATACAAAAAAAATTAGCTGGGTGTCGTGGCTCACAGTTGTATCCCAGGTACTCGGGAGGCTGAGGCAGGAGAATCATTTGCACCCAGGAAACAGAGGTTGTGGTGAGCCAAGAGTGCACCACTGCACTCCAGCCTGGGTGACAGAGTGACACTCTGTCCCCAAAAAATAAAAAATAGATAAACATAAGGCTAATTTGGCTGGGCACGGTGGCTCACGCCCGTAATCCCAACACTTTGGGAGGCTGAGACGGGCGGATCACTTGAGGACAAGAGTTGAATACCAGCCTCAAGACCAGCCTGGGCAATATGGGAAACCCCGTCTCTACCAAAAATACAAAAAAAATAGCTGGGTGTGGTGGCATGTGCCTGTGGTCCTAGCTACTCAGGGGGCTGAAGTGGGAGGAATGCTTGAACCCAGGAGGCAGAGGTTGCAGTGAGCTGAGATCATGCCACTGCACTCCAGCCTGGTGACAGAGTGAGACTCCATTATAATAATAATAAGGCTAATTTATATCCTGCTGAGTCTCTCATAGCACCATTCTTTTCCTTTATAGCATTTAATCTCAAATCATAATTACATATTTATGTGATTATTTGATTATCTTATCTCTCCTCCTAGACTGTACACTCTTTGCAAGCAGAAACTATATCTGTTTGGCTTACTGAAGTATCCTGCACTTTGCTGAGGCCTGGCTCATAGTCTGTGCTTAATAAGTATTTATTAATCAATCTACATAAATTACAGGTGTCATTTTATACACAAGCACCTAAAACACCTAATCAGCCTAGCTAATGTCCCAATCTTTTTTTTTTTTTTCTTTTGAGATAGGCTCTGTTGCCCAGGCTGGAGTACAGTGGTGCAATCACAGCCCACTGCAGCCTTGACCTACTGGGCTCAAGAGATCCTCCCACCCCAGTCTCCTCTCCTGAGTAGCTGGGACTACAGGTTTGTGCCACCATGCCTAGCTAATTTTTGTATTTTTTGTGGAGAAGGAGTTTTGCCATGTTGCCCAGGCTGGTCTCAAACTCTTGGGCTCAAGTGATCCACTTGCCTCGGCCTCCCAAAGTCCTGGGATTACAGGTGTGAGCCACTGCTCTCAGCCCTACAGTTTGTTTTAAGTTAGGTTGAGGATCTGTCTCACTTCATAACTAGGGCCGTGACCCTCACCTCTGGCCCCAGTGCTTTATATTAGGATGAAATTACTGAAAAGAATTCACAGAAAAATCAAATTATCAAATGAGTCTTATTTGCATTTCAAATAAAGGGAATTCTACAGTATGGGTCTTGACACTGGCCTTTTGGAATGTGCCTGAGGGGACAGAGGTGTGCATCAAGTCTGTGGAGGTGCCTCTCAGGATGCAGTGCTCTGGAAGGTGTGGGGCTGGATCTGGGGCTAGTCTCATGGTGAGTGGCCCTTGAGGCACAGTGGAGGCTGACACTAAGTGAGGGCTTGCCACTCTTTCAGTGCCAAGTCTTATTGCCCAACCTGTATAGCTACAACTGCAAACTGATACATACCAATGCTCTATGAATAGCCATCATTAAATTTGCTTGCCAGAAATGATACGGGAGAACCCCTTTTGAACCCTCCCTTCCTCAGTATGAGTTGTTCATGAGTGGTGAGGACTTCCTAACATCTGGAGCTCAGCCACTCACCCAGTGTGACACACTGCCCAGGGAAAAGTGCCATCTTCAGATACGCTCAGCAAGTGCTGGGATTCACCAGCCTACTGGGCCTTAGCTTGAAGTTTCTTTCTCAGAAAACTTATTCTCTTGGCCCCAGCCTGTACCGATGATGTCCCCAAAAGTAAGCTTACAGGTTTTTTTGTTTTGTTTTAAAGGAAAGAGACTTCTAATTCACACATATCCATTTAGTTTGATTACAGAACTGAATTTGCAAGGTGTGAACAGGTTGTTCTATGTCCTTGGGCACAACTACTTAAGGTGATTAAAAATTAAGGTATAATTTACATACAATTAAAAACACAGATCTTAAATATTCAATTTGATGAGTTTTGACAGTTGTACCACCATGTAACCCAAGCACCAAACAAGATACAGAACATTTCCATCACTCTAGAATGTAGCCTTGTGCCTCTTTCTGTTCGATTCCCTCCGCCTCAGCCACCACCGCCACTGCCGCCTTCTGACTAGTGTTGCTATAAATAAGGCTGGCTTATTCCTGAATTTCAAAAAAGTGGAATTCTACAGTATGGGTCTTCTGTGTGTGGGCCTGCCATCTTTCACTCTACATAATGTTTTTAAGATTCATACAGGCTAGGCGAGGTGGTTCATTGTAATCCCAGCACTTTAGAAGACTGAGGCAGGGGGATCACTTGAGGCCAGCAGGTTGAGACCAGCCTGGGCAACACAGTGAGACTCACATCTCTACAAAAAAATTAATAAAATTTTTAAAAAGAAAAAAATTCATTAATAGTTAATTCCTTTTTACTGTTTTACTGTATTCCATTGTGTGACATCATAATTTATGATGTGAACATTTGTTTCTAGTGTGGGGCCATTATGAATAAGGCTGCTGTGAACATTTGTATAATTTTTTTTGTGGACTTATGTTTTTATTTTCTTAGATAAATATCTATAAGTGGAGTTGCTGTGATTGGGTTGATATATGTTTAACTATAAGAAACTGTCAATTTTCCAAAGTGGTTGTACTGTTTTACATTCCCACCAAGAATGTATGGGAGTTCCATTTGCCGCATATCCTCTCCAAACTTCAGGATTGTAAGTCTTTTTTTTTTTTTTTTGAAATGGAGTTTCACTCTGTGGCCCAGGCTGGAGTGCAATGGCGCGATCTTCACTCCCTGCAACCTCCGCCTCCTGGGTTCAAGCAATTCTCCTGCCTTAGCCTCCTGAGTAGCTGGGATTACAGGCATGCACCACCACACCAGGCTATTTTTGTATTTTCAGTAGACATGGGGTTTCACCATGTTGGCCAGGATGGTCTTGAACTCCTGACCTCAGGTGATCCACCCATCTTGGCTTCCCACAGTGCTGGGATTACAGGCGTGAGCCACTGCGCCCGGACATTTTTTTTTTTTTTTTTGAGATGGAGTCTCGCTCTGTTGCCCAGGCTGGAGTGCAGTGGTGCGATCTCGGCTCACTGCAAGCTCCACCTCCTGGGTTTACACCATTCTCCTTCCTCAGCCTCCCGAGTAGCTGGGACTACAGGTGCCCACCACCATACCTGGCTAATTTTTTTGCATTTTTGGTAGAGATGGGGTTTCACCATGTGTTAGCCAAGATGGTCTCAATCTCCTGACCTCATCATCTGCTGATTTGTTGGAGTTCTGCAGACAAGTCCTTTGTTACATATATATTCAGCTCATATTTTTTCCCAACCTGTGGCTTGCATTTTCATTTTTTTAATGATGTATTTTAATGAGCAGAAATTATTTTAAATTTTGAAATCCAGTTTTCAATGAGTTAGTGCTTTTTGTGTCCTGTCCAAGAAATCCTTACCCCATGATTTCAAAAAGTACTCTCTGATGTATTTTTCTAGAAGCTTTATGGTTCTGGCTTCTACATTTAGGTCTTTGATCTGTCTTGAATTAATTTTTGCATATAACAGTGAGAGAGAGGGGTTAAGGTTGTTTGCCATATGGATATCCAATT
Source organism: Homo sapiens (assembly GCF_000001405.40). Taxonomy (NCBI): domain Eukaryota; kingdom Metazoa; phylum Chordata; class Mammalia; order Primates; family Hominidae; genus Homo; species Homo sapiens. The sequence continues at coordinate 67,706,489 of NC_000016.10, read as the reverse complement.
GTTCCAACATCATTTCTTAAGAAGAATTTTTTTCCCCATTGAATTGATTTAATGCTTTGGCTGAAAATCAGTTTACCGCATTTGTGTGACTTGCAGGGTAAAGATAGTATTACAAGGCTGTAACTTTGTCTATAGAAATCTCTAATGGCTCTTTTTAAAAGCCCAGCACTGAGAAATAAAAAGCATATTTTGTAATTTAAAAAAGTATGGTCAGGCCAGGCGCAGTGGCTCACACCTGTAATCCCAGCACTTTGGGAGGCCGAGGCAGGCAGATCTCACAAGGTTAGGAGTTCAAGACCAGCCTGGCCGATGTGGTGAAACCCCATCTCTACAAAAAATATGAAAATTAGCTGGGCGTGGTGGCACGCGTCTGTAATCCCAGCTACTCAGGAGGCAGAAGAATTGCTTGAACCCCGGAGGCGGAGGTTGCAGTGAGCTGAGATTGCACTACTGCACTCCAGCCTGGGTGACAGAGCAAGACTCCGTCTCCAAAAAAAAAAAAAAAAAAAAAATCACAGGGAAAACCATAACAGGCACTTTTTTTTTTTTAAAGATAGAGTTTCACTCTGTTGCCCAGCCTGGAGTGCAGTGGCGTGATCTCGGCTCACTGCAACCTCCGCCTCCCAGGTTCAAGTGATTCTCGTGCCTCAGCCTCCTGAGTAGCTGGGACTACAGGCATCTGCCACCGTGCCCAGCTAATTTTTTGTATTTTTAGTAGAGACGGAGTATCACGATGTTGGCCAGGCTGGTCTCGCACTCCTGACCTCAAGTGATCCGCCCGCCTTGGCCTCCCAAAGTGCTGGGATTACAGGTGTGAGCCACCACACCCAGCCTATTACAGGTACATTTTTTAAAAGCTTGGATGGAACCACCCAGGCTCCATTCATCTATAAATTTCTGAAGAGCTAGCTCACTGCTGCTAATAGGATCGGGGAGACACAATCCCAGAACAAGTAATGACACTTGAAAAAACCTGTAGGTAGGCTGGGCACAGTGGCTCACGCCTGTGTTCTCAGCACTTTGCGGGGCTGAGATGGGTGGATAACTTGAGGCCAGGAGTTCAAGACCAGCGTGGCCAACTTGGCAAAACCCTGTCTCTACTGAAAATACAAAAATTAGCTGGGCATGGTGGCACATGCCTGTAATCTCAGCTACTTGGGAGGCTGAGGCAGGGGAATTGCTTGAACCTGGGAGGCGAAGGTTGCAGTGAGCTGAGATCATGCCACTGCACTCCAGCCTGTGCAACAAAGTGGGATTGTGTCTAAAAAAAGAAAAGAAAAAACTGGCAGGTGATCAAAAGTATTCTTGAAGATATACTGAGAGGTATTTAGGATGAATAATGGATACCATGGCAGGGAAAACAACTATTCAACTCCTATATTTCTCTTTCATCAGAGACCCAGCTGGAAGGACCATGTGCAGGGAAGGTAGCATACCCAGTGCCCAGTGGGTTTGTTTCCTCTGATCAATTTGAATTACATCCCACGGGTCTCAGAAAAGTAGCAGCTGACCATGATATACTCCATAAACTACTGTCAATAAGCCTTGAGGCATTGTGGAGCAGAGGCAGGTGCCAGATGATAAGCGATACACAATGTCTGTGATGTTTGAGCCTGATGCTGGTGATTCCTCAGAACTATGCAAGAACATCTCATCAAACAAATGATCCCTGAGCACCTAGAAAGAGAACTGGAGAACACTGCAAGGTGTGTGGATTTATAAAGGACATCATCATCTAACATTTATTAAGGCCTAACTCTGCGTCAGGTGCCTATACACATCTGGTTGTTGGCCTTGTGGATATTATGGTCAGTTCTGACTGTGTGTGCACTTGGCAACAATTTGGTTTTTTTAGTATGCTTGCTGGATTATTAGTAACCTTGAGGGGAGTGCCAAATATAAATATCATTTATTTAAATGTGAGCTGTGGGGGTTTTTTGTAGTTTCTCATCCCATTGGGCAAAAAGAGAAATTAGAGCTAGTATACTTCTGTGAAATTGTAATTACTGTACTTGAAATCACTAATCCAAAAAACGATGGCAGCCTCAGTTTCCTCATCTGTAAAATGAAGATAATAATAATGGCACCTGCCTCTGGAAGTTATAATTGTTAAATCAGATGATGCCTGTAAAGCACGGGGCACGTAATGTTTACTCAAAAAGAGATGTTGTTACGCTGATCTCATTTTCAGCTGACACAAAGCTGGTAGGGACAGTGAGTAAATATCCAAAATTATCTCAGCTGGTAAACAGTCACCCAAATTAAACTAAATGAAATTTATTAGAGTGAAAATTTAAAGTACTGAACTCGGGGTCAAAAAACTATAATTTGTACTCCCAAGTTCATAGCAGCATTATGGACATAGTAAAATGTAGAAGCAACCCGAGCATTCACTGACAGATAAATGGATAAGCAAAATGTGGTATCTACACACGACGGAATATTATTCAGCCTTTATAAAAGGAAGGAAAATCTGACACATGCTACAACATGGATGAACCTTGAGGACATTACGCTGAGTGAAATCAGCCAGACATAGAAGCACACATACTGTATGATTCCACTTATGTGAGGTACCTAGGGCAGTCAGATTCAGAGACAGAAAGTAGAATGGTGGTTGCCAGGGGCTGGGCACATGGGTAATGGGGAGTTATGTCGTCTCTTCCAGGAAGTCTTTCCTGCCTGTACACTGCCTCTAGCCCCTGTAGTTAATGGTGCTCTTCTCTGCAACAGAGGCAAGTTTCTGTTGCTCTGCCTGTCTACCATATGACAGATTTGCTCAAGTGCCTGTCTGATCTGTGGAGTTCTTTGAGGGTACAGGTAACATCTGATTCATCTTTTCAGTGTCAAAATCTGCAAGAAATTGTGTTTTATCCTCAAGTCACCTCCTGGTGGTAATTCCAGACAGAAAGGGGCAGGGGTGACAGTTCCTGCCAGTTGAGATTGCCTCCTTTAAAGAACATTTCCAGACATTCTGCCAAACTATACCTTCTATATTTATCTCATTTGACACACCTCTTTACAAGGAATGCTAGGAAATACAGGGTTTTTTTTTCCTTTTTGTTTTGTTTTGTTTTGTTTTGTTTGAGACAGAGTTTTGCTCTTGTTGCCCAGGCTAGAGTGCAAAGGCGCTATCTCGGCTCACCACAATCTCCACTTCCTGGGTTCAAGCGATTCTCCTGCCTCAGCCTCCCAAGTGGCTGGGATTACAGGCATGCGCCACCATGCCCAGCTAATTTTGTATTTTTAGTAGAGATGGGGTTTCACCATGTTGGTCAGGCTGGTCTGGAACTCCCAACCTCAGGTGATCCGCCCGCCTCAGCCTCCCAAAGTGCTAGGATTACAGGCATGAGCCACCGTGGCTGGCCAGGAAATACAGGTTTTAACTCTGCACTTTAAAACCCCAACGTTATAAAGACTTGTCAGGAAAGAAGAATTCTTAGGCACCTTCTGCTGAGGGTCTAACCACTATACAAGCTGCCTAATGAGTGAGTGACCTCTAAAGTTATCCATTGACTCCAAAATTCCCAGAATCTGATTTCTCACACACAGTGAGGTGGGTGATTCTTTTTTTACTGTAATCCTGGCTACTGGCCGGGCGCAGTGTCTTACTCCTGTAATCCCAGCACTTTGGGAGGCCGAGGCAGGCAGATCATGTGAGGTCAGGAGTTCAATACTAGCCTGGCCAACATGGTGAAACCCCATCTCTACTAAAAAATACAAAAATTAGCCAGGCACGGCACATGCCTATGATCCCAGCTACTCGGGAGGTTGAGGCAGGAGAATCACTTGAACCCAGGAGGCAGAGGTTGTAGTGAGCTCAGATTGTGCCACTGTGCTCCAGACTGGGCAACAGAGCGAGACTCCATCTCAAAAAAAAAAAAAAAAAAAAAAAAATCCTGGCTACCTTCATGACAATACTGCGTCAGTTGGAGTTCCTGGGCCTTATAACAGAGCGTAGGGCAGGGGTCAGCAAATCTTTTCTGTAAAGGGCCAAATTGTAAATTTTTTTTTTTTTAAGACAGAGTCACTCTGTTGCCCAGGCTGGAGTGCAGTGACATGATCTCTGTTCACTGCAACCTCTGCCTCCCAGGTTCAAGTGATTCTTCTGCCTCTGCCTCCTGAGTAGCTAGGATTACAGGCGCACACCCTGAAGCCTGGCTAATTTGTGTATTTTTAGCAGAGACAGTGTTTCACATGTTGGTCTCAAACTCCTAGCCTCAAGCAATCCGCCTGCCTCAGCCTCTCAAACTGCTGGGATTATAGGTGTGAGCTACTGTACCGGCCTCCAAATTTTAAGTATTTTAAGCTGTGTGGGCCGTATGGCTTCTGTTGTACCTATTCTGCTGTTGGTGGTACAAAAGCAACCATAAATAAAGGAGTAGGTAAACAAATGGGTATGACTGTGTTCTGTCATACCCATAGAACTATTTACAAAAACAATTACCAGATTGGATTTCTCCCACCCCTGTGATAGGCAGTGGGTCGTGGCCTCTAGTTTGGCAGAAGCTGGGGTTCTACAGACTAGATACACAGAAGGTAAGATGATGTTCAGGCAGTCTGGGAAAAAACAATTCACAAATCTCAGCCTCCACACCAAAGTCTCAACAGTCGGGCCTTTTGGGTTCCATGTTTCTCTTAAGGACACTGCAGTTTCTCAGTCACTTAGGCTTAAAACTTCAGGGTCTTTTTTTTTTTTTTTTTAAGTGGGGTCAGTCACATTGATTGAAGTATAATTTACAGAACAGTGAAGTTTATCCTTTTTCTGTATATTCTGTGCTATCAGTTTTGACAAATGCTGTCATGTAATTGCCACCCTAGACAAGATACAGAACAGTTTCATCACCCCACAAAAATTCCCCTGTGCCCCTTTGTTGTCTACACTTAGCCCCAGTTCCAACCCTTGACAACCACTGATCTACTCTTTGTCCCTATAGTTTTGCTTTTCCATTATGGCATTTAAATGGGATCACACAGTATGGTGCCTTTAAGTAGGGCATCTTTCAGTTAGCAGAATGCATTTGAGATTTGTTCATTGTGGCATATATCCGTAGTATGTTCTTTCTATTGCTGAATAGTATCCATTGGCGTTGATATACTACTGTTTATCTGTTTACCTATTGAAGGATATTTGTGTTGATTACAAGATGTGGCAATTATGAATAAAGCTGCTGTAGACATTCACATATAGGTTTTTGTGTGAATATAAGTTTTCATTTCTCTTGGTAAGTACTAAACCTAGAAGTAGGATTGCTAGGTTGTGTGATAGGTATCTATTTAGCTTTATAAGATGGCAAACTTTTCCAAAGTGGCTATATTATTTTACATTTTCGCCAATAATGAATAGTTGCTTCCTACCCTTGCCAGTATTTGATATCAGGTTTTCTGAATTTCAGACATTGTAATGTGTATTTAATAAGTTTTAATTTGTATTTCTTTTTTTTTTTTTTTTTGAGACAGAGTCTCACTCTGTCACCCAGGCTGGAGAGCAGTGGCACAATCTCGGCTCACTACAACCTCCGCCTCCTGGGTTCAAGCGATTCTCCTGCCTCAGCCTCCTGAGTAGCTGGGATTACAGGCGTGCACCACCATGCCTGGCTAATTTTTTTTTTTTTTTCTAGTAGGAACGGGGTTTCACCATGTTGGCCAGGCTGGTCTCAAACTCCTGATCTCGGGTGATCCGCCCGCCTCGGCCTCCCAAAGTGCTGGGATTACAGGCATGAGCCACTGAACCCAGCCTTAATTTGTTTTTTGTTTGTTTGTTTGTTTTGTTTTTTTGAGATGGAGTCTTGCTCTGTCACCCAGGCTGGAGTGCAGTGGCACAATCTCAGTTCACTGCAACCTCTACCTCACGACTTCAAGCAGTTCTCCTGCCTCACCCTTCCAAGCAGCTGGGATTACAGGCACCCGCCACCATGCCTGGCTAATTTTTGTATTTTTAGTAGAGGCAGGGTTTCACCATGTTGGCCAGGCTGGTCTCAAACTCCTGACCTCAGGTGAGCCACCGTGCCCGGCCTTAATTTGTATTTCTAATTAATGCTGTCTAATGACTACTGATACGGTAAGTTATAGTAATTGATTTTATTTTTTAAATTAAATTTAATTTTTTTTTTTTGAGACGGAGTCTCACTGTGTTGCCCAGGCTGGAGTGCAGTGGCACGATCTCAGCTCACTGCAACCTCTGCTTCCCGGGTTCAAGCAGTTCTCCTGCCTCAGCCTCCTAAGTAGCTGAGACTACAGGCACATACTGTCATGACCGGCTAATTTTTTTGTATTTTAGTAGAGATGGGGTTTTACCTTGTTGCCCAGGCTGGTCGCAAACTCCTGAGCTCAGGCAATCTGCCCACCTTGGCCTCCCAAAGTGCTGGGATTATAGGCGTGAGCCACCGCGCCTGGCCTAGTTTTTATTTTTTTGAGGCAGGGTCATGCTCTTGTTGCCCAGGCTGAAGTGTAGTGGTGCAAAAATGGCTCACTGCAACCTCCACCTCCCAGGCTCAAGTGTTCCTCCCTCCTGAGCCTCCTGAGTAGCCACAGGTGTGTGCCACTGCACCTGGCTTTTTTTGTTTGTTTTTTGTAGAGACAGGGTTTCACCATGTTCACCAGGCTGGTCTTGAACTCCTGGCCTCCCAAAATTCTGGGATTACAGGTGAGCCACTGCACCTGGCCTTTTTTTTTTTTCTTTTTCAGTTAAACATTTTGCTATCCAGGCTGGGCGCGGTGGCTTGCTCCTGTTACCCCAGCACTTTGGGAGGCTGAGGCTGGTGGATCGCTTGAGGCCAGGAGTTTGAGACCAGCCTGGCCAACATGGCAAAACCCCTTCTCTACAAAATGTACAAAAATTAGCCAGGCGTGGTGGTACACATCTGTGGTCCCAGCTGCTCGGGTGGCTGAGGCACGAGAATCACCTGAACCCAGGAGGCGGAGGTTGCAGTAAGCCGAGATTGCGCCACTGCATTCCAGTCTGGGTGACAGAGTGAGACTCTGTCTCAAACCAAACTAACAAACAAAAAAACACCACATTCTCCTATCCAATAGTAGTTGATTTTAGAATGTTGAGCCAGCCTTGCATTCCTGGGATTAAACCCCTGTTGGTCATGGTGTATTTTTTTTTTAATTTTTATTTATTTTTGTTTTGTTTTGTTTTTTAGAGATGAAGTCTTGCTCTGTTGCCCAGGCTGGAGTGCCAGTGGTGCGATCTCAGCTCACTGCAGCCTCTGCCTCTTTGGTTCCAGCGATTCTGCTGCCTCAGCCTCCTGGGTAGCTGGGACTACAGGTACCCACCATCACGTCTGGCTAATTTTTTGTATTTTTAGTAGAGACGGGGTTTCACCATGTCAGCCAGGATGGTCTCAATCTCCTAACCTCATGATCCGCCCGCCTTGGCCTCCCAAAGTGCTGGGATTACAGGTGTGAGCCACCACGCCCAGCCACATTGCTAGATTTAATTTGCTAATATTTTGTTGAGGATTTTTGTGCCTAAGTTTATGAGACGTATTGGTCTATAGTTCAGTTATTTATTTTATTTTATTTTTTTGGCTCTCCCACCCTGCTGATAATCCCAAATCCTAGTGATAACTGTCTGCTCCATTTCATTCCCTCCATTAGACCCTCCTTATGTCTTACTTGATATCCTAACTGGTTCTCTGTGTCTAATGTCTCCTAAACTCTATCCTACCTACGTCTTTCTGCCAAATTAAAGAAAAAAAATGCAGGCCGGGCACAGTGGCTCACGCCTGTAATCCCAACACTTCGGGAGGCCGAGGTGGGCAGATCACCAGAGGTCAGGAGTTCGAGACCAGCCTGGCCAATATGGGGAAACCCCGTGTCTACTAAAAATGCAAAAATTAGCTGGGCATGGTGGCGCACACCTGTAATCCCAGCTGCTCGGGAAGCTGAGGCAGGAGACTTGCTTGAACCTGGAAGCAGAGGTTGCAATGAGCCAAGATCACGCCACTGCACTCCAGCCTGGGTGACAGAGCAAGACTCCATCTCAAAGAAAAAGAAAAAGAAAAAAAATCCAATGGTTCTTATTGCTTACCTGCATTAGTCAAGGTCTAGACAGGAAACAGTCAGTGTACTCAAAGGGTTAATTAAAAACTCTTTAATGAAGGGATTATTCACAATAGTGTGAGTAGTAAAGGAAACATACAAGGGATAGTGGAGCACCCAGGGACTGGCAAGGTAGTGTCCCCACCCTAGGTGCAATGACGGAGTGGGGATGTGTCACTGGAACCCAGCAAAAGCAATGGCCATGGGAGAGAGGGGTCCTCTAAAGGAGCTGTGACCTTGGTTAAGGAACACAGCTCTGCCAGAACCATATCCTGGGAGGGAGAGAAGGCAAAAAATAAACACCTTGGCCTTTCCTCCTGCTCGCTGATCTCTTCCTGGTTCTTTCCCTTGGCTGGACTCAGATGGAAGCCAGAGGACCTGGAGCCCAGGGCTTTAGAGACTGACCTTCTGACTCCAGAGACAAAAAGCAGGGCAGAGAGGATCAGGTAGGGAAGGAGGAGCAGACCAAGAATACTGAGCACACCCACCTGTCAAAGTCCAAACTCTTGAGATTAACACTTTACGCCACCAGTTCTGGCTCCTACTCACCTTGCTGACTTGTCACCCCTGAAATTAGGACTTTTCATCTTTTTATGTCCCACAGCTCCCTCGTTAGCTCCTCAGAAAAGGTGAGACATTGACCAGATTAGTATTGGTTTTGAACAGTGGATCAGAGGCAAACAGTCACCCCCAGAGCAGACAGTGGAAGGAACTTGCCTGGCTCACACTCATGAGGAAGGATGGAAGAAGAGTTGCTCCACACATGCACATGTTACAAAATGACTCTTTTTCTTTCTTGTTTTTATAGAGGCTCAGAGAAGTGAAGTAACCTGCTCAAGGTTTCATGCTGGTTGTAGCAGGTCATGCACACAGCCAGGCGTGGAACCCTGGGAGAGTTACCTCACCTCTTTGAGCATGTTTTCTTATCTGTACAACAGGGTTGCATGGAACAAGGGACAGACTAAACACTGGCTGCCCTATTATACTCACTTCATATTAGCTCAGAATTATGACCCTCATATTTCTACTCAACTTTTGAAGAAGAGACATCTAAGTCAGTCACAGATAGTTAACAGATATCTTTTTTTCAGAAAAAGATTCCCTATGTACTGACTCATATCTAATTGGCCAGGCCCAATTATAAGTATTCTACAAATATTAACTCAATCCTTAAATCCCCTGTGAGGTAGATAAAATTTCCCCATTTTACAGATGAGGAAATGGAGATACAGAGTGACTAAAGGACTTACCTGAGGTCACCCAGCTGGAAAGTGACAGAGCCAGGATTTGAACCCAGGCAAGGCCTTGTCAAATTGTATATAGCCTGTCCTGCCAAGGCACACTTCATTCCTGACCAGCATGTGGTGATGGGAAATGTATGTGGTCTTGGCAGGACTGGGTTTGTGGAGATCTTTGGAGGCATCTGAAGGATATGTGCAAGGATGTTAAAGACAAAGAGTGGGGAAATTTTAGGGGTGAGAAAGGGTAGCCACTGAAATTAACAAGGAAAACCAGCTCTGCCTGCTTGGGCAGGAAATACCTAGTCAGCAAGCCTGCCTGCCTTCATGCCATCTGGCTTCCTCGGGGGCCAGCCAATACCCCTTTATGGGAGTTGATGAAGCTTCCCTTTGAGTCAGTGGCAGTAAAACAGGTTATTAAAAATTTTTCGGCCGGGCGCAGTGGCTCACGCCTATAATCCCGGCACTTTGGGAGGCTGAGGCAGGCGGATCACGAGGTCAGGAGATCCAGACCATCCTGGCTAACATGGTGAAACCCCGTCTCTACTGAAAATACAAAAAATTAGCCGGGTGTGGTGGTGGGTGCCTGTAGTCCCAGCTACTCGGGAGGCTGAGGCAGGAGAATGGCGTGAATCCAGGAGGCAGAGCTTGCAGTGAGCCAAGAGCGCGCCACTGCACTCCAGCCTGGGTGACGGAGCGAGACTGTCTCAAAAAAGAAAAAAAATTCTAGTCCATTCTGTTGTTTTAAGCTACCGATACTTATATATATTTTTCACTTCATATTGGCTCAAAATTATCATCCTCATATTCCTACACAGCTTTTGAAGAGGAGACATCTAAGTTGGTCATAGATACGTAATAGATCATTTAAAAAAAAAAAAAAGATTCCCGGCCGGGCGCGGTGGCTCACGCCTGTAATCCTAACACTTTGGGAGGCTGAGGCGGGCAGATCACGAGGTCAAGAGATCGGGACCATCCTGTCCAACATGGTGAAACCCCGTCTCTACTAAAAATACAAAAAATTAGCCAGGCATGGTGGCGGGCTCCTGTAATCGCAGCTACTTGGAAGGCTGAGGCAGGAGAATCGCTTGAACCTGGGAGGTGGAGGTTGCAGTGAGCCGAGATCGTGCCATTGCACCACTCCAGCCTGGGCAAAAAGAGCGAAACTCGATCTCAAAAAAAAAAAAAGGGTTCCCTATGTAGTGGATACATACATTCCCTATATATACCCAAATACAACTAGGGTGAGAAGGAACACGGTGTGAGAGTGGAGGAGGTGTGCCCTGGGCATGAATTTAGAGAAGACATGGACTGTGTCTCACTCCCTTAGCCCTGTAACAATTAGTAATTAATGACCAACAAAATTTGGCTGGGCACAGTGGCTTATGCCTGTAATCTTAGCACTTTGGGAGGCCGAGGCAGGAGGATCACCTGAGGTCAGGAGTTCGAGACCAGCCTGGCCAATATAGTGAAACCCTGTCTCTACTAAAAATACAAAAATTAGCCAGGTATGGTGGCGCATGCCTGTAATCCCAGCTACTCGGGAGGCTGAGACAGGAGAACCGCTTGAACCCAGGAGGCTGAGGTTGCAGTGGGCCAAGATCATGCCACAGCACTCCAGCCTGGGTGACAGAAATGAGACTCCGTCTCAAAAAAAAAAAAAAAAAACTTAAGTAGAATCTCACTACTTACCTAATGCTGCATGCTTGACACTGTCAAGCTCCTATAACAGCCATAACCTGTAAATAACCAAGACACCTGTAAAAGCAGACAGTGACCAAATAGCCGAAGGGAGTCCAGGACATGAAAATTGTAGAAGATAACTGTGTGCTTGACCTGTTTTCTAAGAAAACTAGTAGAGAAGCCTGTAGGGGCAGAATTAGCAAAGAGAAAAGAGAGAGATGGTGGCTGGGCTCAGTGGCTCATGCCTGTAATCCCAGCACTTTGGGAGGTCAAGGCGGGTGGATCACCTGAGGTCAGGAGTTCGAGACCAGCCTGGCCAACATGGTAAAACCTTGTCTCTACTAAAAATACAAAGATTAGCTGGGTATGGTGGCGTGTGCCTGTAACCCCAGCTACTGAGGTAGTAGCTGAGGCAAGGAGAATCGCTTGAACCGGAGCGGCAAAGGTTGCAGTGAGCCGAGATTGCACCATTACGCTCCAGCCTAGGCGACAGAGTGAGACTCCGTCTCAAAAAAAAAAAAAAAAAAAAAAAGAGAGAGATGGAGAAAGTAGAAAAGGAAAGCAAGGTGACTGAGTGGCCACAGACAGTTTACCATCAGAAAGAATGAAAGCTGGTTAAAATAAAACAACCCCAGTGAGAGTACAGGAGGCAAGCCAAGCTTCACAGTCACAGAGAGTGGAGACAAGAGGCACGAAATTGGCAGGGATCTGGAGTTAGAGGCAGCCCAAGTCATGTGTAATTTAGTGGTTCACAAAGGAACAGGTGTACTTCAGATAGAATCGAGCAGTACAGGATGTTATACTGGGCTATGCTGACAAACCATCCCCTACTATAGACATTTTCTTAGTCCAGTACACTTGTGTCTACAGTAGGAGCAAAAGAGATGCTGGGCTTGAAAATGAAGTTGAGAAAACAATTTCTCCAGCCGTGGTGTCTCATGCCTATAATCCCAGTGCTTTGGGTGGCCGAGGTGGGAGGATCACTTGAAGCCAGGAATTTAAGACCAGCCTGGGCAACATAGTAAGATGCTGCCTCTATATTAAAATAAAATTAAAAAAAACTTTTTTATTAAAAAGCCAGGCTCAGTGGGTCACGCTTATAATCCCACCACCTTGGGAGGCTGAGCTGAGAGAATCGCTTGAGGCCAGGAGTTTGAGGCCAGAGTTTGAGACCAGCCTAGGTAACACAGTGAGACCCCATCTCTACAAAAAATAAAAAATTAGGCCAGGCTCAGTGGCTCATGCCTGTAATCCCAGCACTTCTGGAGGCCCAGGCGAGCGGATCACCTGAGGTCAGGAGTTTGAGACCAGCCTGGCGAACATGGTGAAACCCTGTCTCTACTAAAAATACAAAAAAATTAGCCAGGTGTGATGGCGTGTGCCTGTAATCCCAGCCAGTCAGGAGGCTGAGGCAGGAGAATCGCCTCAGCCTCAGAGCTCGGGAGGTGGAAGTTGCAGTGAGCCAAGATTGCACCACTGCATTCCAGCCTGGGTGATAGAGCAAGACTCTGTCTTAAAAAAAAAAAAGTATGTCCTAAATGCCACTGGATTATGGGGGTTGGTTTTTTTGTTTGTTTGTTTGTTTTTTGTTTTTGAGACAGAGTCTTTCTGTTGCTCTGTCACCCAGGCTGGAGTGCAATGGCATGATCATAACCCACTATAGCCTGAAACTCCTGGGCACAAGTAATCCTCCCACCTCAGCCTCCCAAAGTGCTGGGATTACAGGCATGAGGCATTGCACCCAGCGGCCACTGAATTGTTCACTTTAAAATGGTTAATTTTGGCTGGGTACAGAGTTTCAGTATGGAATGATGATGAAGTCCTGGAGGTGGATGTTGGTGATGGTTGCACAATACGAATGTATTAGTGCACTGAACTGTACACCTAAAAATGGTTTAAAATGGTACATTCTGTAATGTACATTTTTCCACTTCCCAAAAAAGATTCTAGCCAGGGACCATGGCTCATGCCTGTAATCCCAGCAATTTGGGAGGCCAAGGCAGGAGGATTGCTTGAGCCCAGGAGTTTGAGACCAGCTTGGGCAACATGATGGAACCCTGTCTCTACAAAAAACACAAAAAATTAGCCAGGTATGATTAGCAGGGCGTGATGACACGCACCTATAGTCCCAGCCACTTACTTGAACCCAGGAGGCGGAGGTTGCAGTGAGTCGAGATGGCACCACTGGACTCCAGCCTGGGTGACAGAGTGAGACTGTGTCAAAAAAAAAAAAACCCAAAAAGCCAGGTGTGGTGGCTAATTTGAAATAAGGTTCTTTGTCTGAATTATAAGTGGTCCTGGCTAAATATGCAGATGCAGTGCTACTCCCTGGATTTGGCTAGATCAGGGAGCTTGTGATGGTGTCCCATTAGTAGGACCAGAGGTACATATATCTGTCACTTTGTGTTTGAAATGCAAGCTTTTTATTTAAAAAGTGAGAAAGGATTCCTTTTAGAACCACATTTTCCTTTTTTTTTTGTTTTTGTTTTTGAGACAGAGTCTCAATCTGTCGCCCAGGCTGGAGTGCAGTGGCGCAATCTCGGCTCACTGCAAGCTCTGCCTCCTGGGTTCACGCCATTCTCCCGCCTCAGCCTCCCGAGTAGCTGGGACTGCAGGTGCCCACCATCACGCCTGGATAATTTTGTTTTTGTATTTTTAGTAGAGACGGGGTTTTACCATGTTAGCCAGGATGGTCTCAATCTCCTGACCTCGTGATTCGCCCTCCTCAGCCTCCCAAAGAGCTGAGATTACAGGCATGAGCCACCGTGCCCGGCCTTTTTTTTTTTTTTTAAATTATTCCCCTTTATCCCCTTTCTCTACTCTGGTTTCCCTATCCCCTGTAAATGTATTTAGTATGTATCCTTTCATTTGTATAATTTCCTATGAAGCATTTTTGTTTCTGTGCATGTGTGTGGGTTTTTGTTTTGTTTTGTTTTGTTTGAGACAGAGTCTTGCTCTGTCACCCAAGCTGGAGTGCAGTGGCATTATCTCAGCTCACTGCAACCTCTGCTTCCTGGGTTCAAACGATTCTCCTGCCTCAGCCTCCTGAGTAGCTGGGACTACAGGCGTGCACAATCACATCCAGCTAATTTTTTTATTTTTTAGTATAGATGGGGTTTTGCCATGTTGATCAGGCTGGTCGTGAACTGATCTCAGGTGATCCGCCCACCTCTGCCTCCCAAAATGCTGGAATTACAGGCGTGAGCCACCGCACTCAGCCTGTGTGTGTATTTTTAGTTTATATAAATAATGTATTAGAGCTCGCTATGTTTTCTTTTTTTTTTTTTTTTTACCAAGTTCATTCATGTGACTGTATTCATCTAGTATTGTTTCTAACTTGCAGAGAACCCCAGTGGGTATATCCCCCACACTTTACCTGCCCACTTCTGATCCCCAGATTGTCTCCAACTCTGCACCTCAGACATGATGTGGTAAATATCTTTGTATCCCTTATCAGTGCATCCCTATGAGAATTTCTTTGGGAACACACATACACACACACACGAGTAGAATTTGTGAGTCACAAAATGCATAGTTTTAATTATATATAAGGCCAGATTACTTGTTATTCAGAACAGCTGTACGATTCTGTATCACTATCAGTAGCACGTGAGGATAGAACCTCCAGTATGTTTTCAGAGGGTAACTTTGGTGTTTCATGGACGAATGTGGCCATGAGAAGCTGGTGACACCAGTGAGTAGGCGCATCCAGAAAACACTTTACTGAGCACAGTGAGTTCATTAATTTATTCATTCACTAATCAGTGGAGGGCCTGCTGTGTTTGTGGGCCTGAGGACACAAAAGAGGAGTAAGTTTAGTTCCTATTGCAAGTATATAGAAGGTGCAGAGGGAGGAGCTCCTGGGGGGGTACAGTCAGAAAAGATTTACAGAGGAGGGAAGATGTAGGGTAGAGAGGAGTTCCAGGAGTTGGTCATCTCAAAGAAAGCAGAAGCTGTGCTATGCAGAGGGACCTGCCGCAGAGTCTTAATTTTTTTTTTTTTGGGGGGGGGTCTAGGCACAGTGTGACTTGCTTCTGTAATCCTAGCGCTTTGGGAGGCCAGGATGGGCAGATCAGTTGAGGCCAGGAGTTCGAGACCAGCCTGGGTGACATAGTGAAACCCTGTCTCTACAAAAAATGCAAAAATTAGCCAGGCACAGTGGTGTGCACCTGTAATCCCAGCTACTCAGGAGGCTGAGGTGGGAGGATCCCTTGAGCCTGTGAGGTTGAGGCTGCAGTGAGCCATGATCAAGCCATTGCACTCCAGCCTGGGCAACAGAGCAAGAATCTGTCTCAAAATAAAAATTATGATAGTGACCAAGATCAGGAGTAGTTAGCTTTTTAAAGGTAATTGGTAGGCCAGGCACAGTGGCTCACACCTGTGATCCCAGCACTTTGGGAGGCTAAGGCAGACGGATCACCTGAGGTCAGGAGTTTAAGACCAGCCTGGCCAACATGGTGAAACCCCATCTCTACTAAAAAATATAAAAATTAGCTGGGCATGATGACACATGCCTGTAGTCCCAGTTACTCGGGAGGCTAAGGCATGAGAATCGGTTGAACCCAAGAGGCGGAGGTTGCAGTGAGCTGAGATTGTGCCACTGCACTCCAGCCTGGATGACAGAGTGAGACTCCATTTCAAAAAAGAATCAATAAATAATTGGTAAACAAAGGGACCGTATGGTGTTTATAAAATTATTGGTAAAATGATGTTACCAAAGGTAATACATAGAAGTTAAAATAGTTGTGTTAGAGATTTTTCCCTCTTAATGACAGATTTGTCCTTTTAATCATAATACAGAGGGTGAGAAGGTTCAGGAAAGTGTACATATAACAAACAGGACATTTTGTTATGACTCCAAATGTAGATAATTTTTCACATGCGTTAAACATAGTTCAGAGGTTCTCAGCTGGTGGCTGCACACTAGGATCACCTGGGGGGCTTTAAAAGTGAACGATAAAAGTGAATGATGAAGCCAGGCATGGTGGCTCATGCCTGTAATCCCAGCACTTTGGGCAGCCGAGGCAGGCAGATCACTTGAAGTCGGGAGTTCAAGACCAGTGCCACTCCACTCCAGCCTGGGTGACAGAACAAGACTCTGTCTCAAAAAAAAAAAAAAAATAGTGAATAATGGTCACCTCACATCCATCAGAACGGCTAACCAACAAAAAACACCAGAAAATAACAAGGGTTGGTGAGGACGTGGAGAAATCAGAAGTCTTGCACGCTGTTGGAGGAAATGTAAAATGGTACAGCCACTGTGGAAAACAGTATGGTGGTTCCTCAGAAAATTAAAAATCTAATTACCATGACCCGGCAATTCCACTTCTGGGTATATGCCCCAAACAAATGAAAGCAGAGTCTAGAAGAGATATTTGTACACCATGTTCATATCAGTATTATTCACAGTAGCTAAAACATGGAAGCAACCCAGGTGTCCATTGATAGAGGAATGGATCAGCCATACAATGGCATATTACTCAACCTTGAAAAGGAAGGAAGTCCTGACATATGCTACAAGGTTTGTAAGGGTGAACCTTGAAGACATTATGCTAGCCAAAATAAGCTAGTCACAAAAGCACAAATAACGCATGATTTCACTTAGATGAGGTATCTAAAGTAGTCAAATTCATAGAGACAAAGTAGAATGATGGTTGCCAGGGGCTGGGGCGGGGGTAGTGGGAATGGGAAGTTATTATTTAATGGGAATAATGGGTATTATTTAATGAGTTTTTAGTTTTGCAAGGTGAAAAGAGTTCCAGAAGTAACCATCCACCAGGGTGGTGGTGATGGTTACACAACAATGTAAATGTATTTATTTATTTATTTACCTATTTATTTTATTTTATTTGAGACAGTCTTGCTCTGTCGCCCAGGCTGGAGTGCAGTGGCTTGATCTCAGCTCACTGCAACCTCCGCCTCCCGGGTTCCAGCAATTCTCCTGTCTCCACCTCCCGAGTAGCTGGAATTACAGGCACATGCCACCACGCCCGGCTAATTTTTGTATTTTTAGTAGAGATGGGGTTTCACGATGTTGGTCAGGCTGGTCTCAAACTCCTCACCTCAGGTGATCCACCCACCTTGGCTTCCCAAAGTGCTGGGATTACAGGCATGAGCCACCACGCCCAGCTGTAAATGTATTTAATACCACTGATGTATATACTTAAAAATAGTTAAGATGGTCTGGGCGTGGTGGCTCACGCCTGTAATCCCAGCACTTTGGGAGGCCAAGGTGGGTAGGTCGCTTGAGCTCAGGAGTTCGAGACCAGCCTGGTCAACATGGCGAAACCTCATCACTACCAAAAATACAAAAATTAGCCAGGGGTGATGACACACACCTGTAATCCCAGCTATCATGTGGCTGAGGCAGGAGAATCGCTCGAAACCAGGAGGGGGAGGTTGCAGTAAGCTGAGATTGCGCCACTGCACTCCAGCCTGGGCAACAGAGTGAGACTGTCTTTAAAAAAAAAAACAAAAAGTAGGTCAGGCTCGGTGGCTCACGCCTGTAATCCCAGCACTTCGGGAGGCTGAGGCAGGCAGATCACAAGGTCAGGAGATCGAGACCATCCTGGCTAACACGGTGAAACCCCGTCTCTACTAAAAATACAAAAAAAAAATTAGCTGGGCATGGTGGGGGGGCGTCTGTAGTCCCAGCTACTTGGGAGGCTGAGGCGGGAGAATGGCGTGAACCCGGGAGGCGGAGCTTGCAGTGAGCCAAGACCATGCCACTGCACTCCAGCCTGGGCGACAGAGCGAGACTCCGTCTCAAAAAAAAAAAAAAAAAAGTAAATTTTATGTATATTGTACTACAATTTTTAAAATAACATTAAAGTTTAAAAAGAGAAAAAGAAAATGACGGTGATGTGGCCCACATCACTCTTGTCTGTTTCAGTGGGTCTAGGGTTACCAGTGATGCTAATATGGAGTGGGGAACTGCTGGTTTAGCTGGGGGAAATGTTGGATGGGGAACCCTGATATTCTGAGCACACCTACATCTCATCTTGGTTTTCCCACGACATTGATCCCAAGCAAAGGACTTTTGTTTGGTTTTGTTCTTTATTGTATAACCCTTGTGATCAGAAGAAAAACTCTACAATGAATAAGACAGAATCATGTCTCAGAAAATTTGGCAAAGTTCAAAAATTGAAAAGAAACAATAAAAATCATTCATAATCCCATCAACCTCAGCAATCAATAAATTCAGGAGTATTCTAGTCCTTCTACAGCATTGAATAGAGATATTTTATAGATATATTACAGATATCCTTATATATATACTCATACCTATTATACTTCTTTTGTGTGCTTTTTTTAAAAAAAACCCCATACTTCTGATAGTGTGTGTTTTTCCCTTTCAGTGACAATGTGGTGAATGTCTTTCAGGTTATTGAGGGCCTTCTACTTCATGGTTTTCAGTAACTCCACAGCATTCTTTATCTAACCCATTACTTGTATTGGACATCTAGATTGTCTCCCAGTTTTTCACTATGATAGCCAATGCTATAGTAAATATCTGTATACAAAAAAACCTTTTTTCCTTTCTTGAGACAGTCTCACTCTATTGCCCAGGCTAGAGTGCAGTGGCACTGTCATAGCTCACTGCAGTCTTGACTCCTGGGCTCAAGCGATCCTTCTACCTCAGCCTCCCAAATAGCTGGGACTATAGGCATGTGCCACCATGCCAGGCTAATTTTTTTTTTTTTTTTTTTTTAGTAAAGATGGGTGTCTCACTAAGTTGCTTGTGCTGATCTTGAATTGTTGATCTCAAGCAATCCTCCTGCTTTGGCCCCCCAAATTGCTGAGATTGCAGACATGAGCCACCACACCCAGCCTAATAAAATCTTTTTTTTTTCTTTTTTTCTTTTTTTTTTTTTTTTTTGAGACGGAGTCTTGCTCTGTCGCCCAGGCTGGAGTGCATTGGCGCGATCTCACCTCACTGCAGGCTCCGCCTCCTGGGTTCACGCCATTCTCCTGCCTCAGCCTCCCGAGTAGCTGGGACTACAGGCACCCACCACCACAACTGGCTAATTTTTTGTATTTTTTAGTAGAGACAGGGTTTCACTGTGTTAGTGAGGATGGTCTCTATCTCCTGACCTCGTGATCCGCCCGCCTCGGCCTCCCAAAGTGCTGGGATTACAGGCATGAGCCACCGCACCCGGCCTAATAAAATCTCTTTAAGCATACTTTTTCTTTTAGCCAGTTTGATGAAAAAAGTTTTTTGGTATTTTTTTTTCTAGTGAGCATTTTCCTATGTTTGCTACCATGAAAATTTTAATTATACTTAATCTGTATAGCAATTAGTTCTTTCACTTTCCTCTTGAACTGGTTTTTGTTTTCCATTCTTCTTTTTCTTTTCTTTTTTTTTTTTTTTTGTGACGGAGTCTCATTCTGTCACACACGCTGGAGTGCAGTGGCACAATCTCAGATCACTGCAACTTTCACCTCCCAGGTTCAAGTGATTCTCCTGCCTCAGCCCCTCGAGTAGCTGAGAATACAGGCTTGCACCACCACACCTGGCTAACTTTTTATATTTTTGGTAGAGACGGGGTTTCACCACGTTGGCCAGGCTGGTCTCGAACTCCTGACCTCAAGCGATCCACCCACGTCAGCCTCCCAAAGTGCTGAGATTACAGGCATGAGCCACCACGCCCGGCCTCCAGTCTTTCTTTCTTTCTTTCTTTTTTGGATAGAGTCTCACTCTTGTCGCCCAGGCTGGAGTGCAGTGGTGTGATCTTGGCTCACTGCAATCTCTGCCTCCTGGGTTCAAATGATTCTCCTTCCTCAGCTTCCTGAAGAGCTGGGATTACAGGCATCTGCCACCACACCTGGCTAGTTTTTTTTTTTGTATTTTTAGCAGAGATGGGGTTTGGCCATGTTGACCCGGCTGGTTTTGAACTCCTTACCTCAGGTGATCCGCCCGCCTTGGCCTCCCAAAGTGCTGGGATTACAGGTGTGAGCCACTGTGCCTGGCCTCCACTCTTCTTTTCTTTGTCATATATAGAATCATGAACTTTTATAGCAAGAAGGAACCTTAAAGATCAATCACTCCCCTTATTATACATTTAAGGCCCTGAAAGTTGAATCTTTTGACCAGGGTTACACAGAAAGTTAAGTAGCAGAACAGAGATTTAAACTCAACTTTATTCATTTTCCGTTTTTCCTCTTATCCTTCAGTCTCCATGGAAGAAGAAGATTCTGCAGTGTTTCATCTTGGAACAGTATTTCTTTTTTCTTTTGAGACAAGGTCTTGCACTGTTGCCCAGGCTGGAGTGCAGTAGCACAATCATAGCTTACTATAGTTGTGAACTCCTAGGTTCATGTGATCCTTTCACCTCAGCCTCCCAGGTAGCTAGGACTACAACAAGCGCATGCCACCACATCTGGCTATTTTTTAATATATATATTTTTTAATAGAGATGACATCTCGCCGTGTTGCCCAGGCTACTCTCAAACTCCTGGCCTCAAGTGATCTTCCCACCTCGGCCTCCTGAAATGCTGGGGTTACAGGCATGCATGAGCCACCATGCCTGGCCTCGAGCCCTATTTCATTTGTGCTTTTCTGGCAGAGAACTTGTTACTTCCTTATTTGAAAGTAGCCTTCGCACCACTGCACTCCAGCTTGGGCAACAGAGCGAGACTCCATCTCAAAAAAAAAAGAAAGTAGCCTCAGCTGAGTGTCCTCTCCAGTAATAACCAGTGTAATGTTTGCTATTCTAGGAGCCATGTCTGACCAGGACGTTTGGAAGATCATATCCATGCCAGAGGCTCTTGTGAGGAGATGAGTTGGTAAAGAGAGAGGCTGGGATGAAGATGCTGCCAGGAGTGGGCGTGTTTGGGACTGGCAGCTCCGCCCGAGTTCTGGTCCCACTGCTGAGGGCAGAAGGGTTCACTGTTGAGGCCCTGTGGGGGAAGACTGAGGAGGAGGCGAAGCAGCTTGCTGAGGAGATGAACATCGCCTTCTACACCAGCCGGACTGATGACATCTTGCTGCATCAAGATGTGGATCTGGTGTGCATCAGCATCCCCCCTCCACTCACCCGGCAGATATCCGTGAAGGCTCTAGGTACGCCCGGCAGGCCACAGCAGGGGCAGATCATGTCTCTCCCTCTGGGCAGTCCTCTGAGGGTCACTCCTCTCCTCTGAGCTCTCCTTCCTGGGCTCGCATCTGCAGGGAGGAGAACTCTGGGACATCACTTGTCCCTGAAGCAGTGCTTGGGGAGGGCATGAAAAAAGACATAGCCTAACCTACCTCCCATCTGTAAATCCCTGAACAGAAATTAAGGAAATACTCTAAGAGACAGCCATCAAGGGGCTGGAGATGGTTGCATCTCAGTCAACATAAAGTTTGCCTCTGTGAAGTTAGAGGTCAGAGCCCTGGGTGGCGGGGAATTGGTTGTGACTAGTGTGTTTGTTCTCCCATTTCTGGGGCACACAGCACCACAGGAAGGAGAGGCTGTGTAGCAAGGCTACCATTTCCCATGTTTTGTCAGCGTTTGACTATAGTGAGCACACACCCTTCCTGCCAAACTGCAGTCTTGTATTGCCGGAGGACAGGAAGGCTCTGCCAGCATTGGGCTTCCCTGACAGGATCCGTCGACAGCCTGCTTACATGACATCTCCACTCCCTTGGGAAGTTTTGGGCTTGGTAACCTCTTGCCCCTGACTGGGCATGGCCTGCTGAGCTGTTCTCCTACAGTTCCCGTTGGTCTTCTATTTCCAGTCAACTGGAGTCAACTTCTTCTCTTTATCTAATATAAATCAGAACCTAGTTTACTAAGTAAACAAACCAGTAAACATTCAGCCAGCAATTTTTATTTTATTTTGAGACAGAGTTTCCCTCTTGTTGCCCAGGCTGGAGTTCAATGGCGCAATCCCGGCTCACTGCAACCTTCGCCTCCCAGGTTCAAGTGATTCTCCTGCCTCAGCCTCCCAAGTAGCTGGGATTACAGGTGCCTGCCACCACACCCAGCTAATTTTTGTATTTTTAGTAGAGACAGGGTTTCACCACATTGGCCAGGCTGGTCTCGAACTCCTGACCTCAGGTGATCCATCCGCCTCGGCCTCCCAAAGTGCTGGGATTACAGGTGTGAGCCACCATGCCCAGCATTTTTTTAAAATTATTATTATTATTTTATTTTATTTTTTTAGATGGAGTCTCACTCTGTTGCCCAGGCTGGAGTGTGCATTGGTGCAATCTCAGCTCACTGCAACCTCCACCTCCCAGGTTCAAGCGATACTCCTGCCTCGGCTTTGCAAGTAGCCAGGACTACAGGCATGTGCCACCACGCCCAGCTAATTTTTGTCTTTTTAGTACAGATGGGGTTTTGTTATGTTGGCCAGGCTGGTCTCGGGCTCCTGACCTCAGGTGATCCACCTGCCTTGGCCGCCTCCCAAAGTGCTGGGATTACAGGCAGGAGCCACCACACCCAGCCTCAATTATTTTTTTAATGCCTCCTGTGTGCCAGTCACTGTCCTGATGTCATTTTGGACATTCAAAGCTGTGTTAGATTGGACCCCTCCCTGTCTTCAGATTTTATAGTCCAATTGAGGCAACTAGAAATAACACACATTACAAGGTAGATGACAGAAGACATAGTCACAATTCAACTAGCACATACTTACTTGACTGAGTAACTGTTTTATGTGAGGTAATAGGAGCCAAGTGTCTCCTTGATGCAGCCGAAGATCTCTAGGTCGAGGAACCGGTGCCATGAGGTTGTCCTCCACTCTTCCTGACCACTGCCATGGTGGCAAACCTCAGGGTCTGCTACTTATCTCCTCCCTCATTCTGAGGAATGTCATAGGAAGGTGTCTGTCACCTCTGGCTCAGTGGGTAGGGAAGGATAAATGTTCTTTGAAGTGAGAAAGAACTTCAGTCTGTCCGGTTGTCAATTTGGAGCAAGTAAGTTTTGGCCTTATTGTTTGTTTCTTCCAGAGAGCTCTCTCTGAGGATGTGTGACATTGGAGTTATTCATTCATTGGTCACCAAATGCTTGGGAGGTCAGATGGTGGCTCCCAGATTGAATTCAGAAATAGACCTAAGTCAACACTTTAGCAGCAAGTTGGTTCAAGGGGAAGCAAGCCGCTATTGGTCACTTGACTCCTTGCCATCCCTTGTGGCTTGAATGCAGGCTGGAAAGGTGAGGTGTGTCCGGAGCCAGAACTCTGGAGGCTCTCAGTCTTCTTCCTGAATTTTAGGGTTCCCCACAGAGACCATTTCCAAGCTATACGGGAAGAAAGAGGAAACCCCAGGGTTCTTTGGCAACAAGCTTGCTTTTTTTCTGGTTCTTGGTATGCTCCACCAGCAGCAGCATCACCTGGGAGCTTGTTAGAAACTGAATTCTCAGCTGGGCAACATAGTGGGATCCCGTCTCTACAAAAAAGTTTAAAAATTAGCCAGGCATGGTGGCACGCGACTGTGGTCCCAGCTACTTGGGAGGCTGAGGCAGAAGGATCGCTTGAGCCCAGGAGATAGAGGCTGCAGTGAGCAGTGATCATGCACTCCAGCTTGAGTGACAGAGTAAGACTGTCTCAAAAGCAAACAAACAAAAAGAAATCTAAATTCTCAGGCCCCACTCCAAACCTACTGAATCTCTGGGATCCAGCTATCTGTGTCTGAACAAGCCTTGCAGGTGACTCTGGTGGACATGAAGGATTGAGAGCCACTGATCCAATCATTTTGAATTAAACTGAGGCCCAGGAGCATTAAGGAATGACATCTTGGTTACATTTCACCAAGTCTTCGTGCTGTGATTTTTCTCTCCTTGCTAGAGCTTTATATTTTTACCTTACTTCTAAGGCCACGAGATCATTTCTTGCCCTCATTATTAGTTTTTCCTAAAATTAATGATTGGACTTAACCTTCCAGAGATAATACTTTTCATATCACAGCTCTTTTTATGGCATCTTGTTTTCTGCTTTGGTCTGACCTATGTTCTTCATCTTCTACCTCCGATTTCATCCTTAAAGCTTTCCCATGAATTTCTTAAAGGGGAGAGGGGAAGGGCCCTAATATATTTTATTCTTCAGTTCAGAAGTGGTTCAGGAAATTATATTTTAAGTGCAAGGTGCCCCTAGCATCTTTGCCACAGTTGAATGTTTTCTTAAGTCTGTCACTAAAAGGTGGGCTTCTGTGCCCAATTCTTGGCACTTCTGTGGTTCATTAGAAAAACACTAAGTTTGCAGGCCAGGCTTGGTGGCTCATGCATGTAATCCCAGCACTTTGGGAGGCCGAGGCGGGCGGATCACAAGGTCAGGAGTTTGAGACCAGCCTGACCAACCTGGTGAAACCTCGTCTATACTAAAAACACAAAAATTAGCTGGGCGTGTTGGCACGTGCCTATAGTCCCAGCTACTCAGGAGGCTGAGGCAGGAGAATTGCTTGAACCCAGGAGATGGAGGTTGCAGTGAGCCGAGATCACGCCACTGCACTCCAGTCTGGGTGACAGAGCGAGACTCCATCTCAAAAAAAAAAGAAAAGAAAAGTAAAAAGAAAACATTTTTGTAGAGACAGGATCTTGCTGTGTTGTTCAAGCTGGTTTCGAACTCCTAACCTCAGGCAATCATCCTACTTTGGCCCCCCAAAGTGCTGGAATTATAGGTGGGAGCCACTGTGCCCAGCAGATTTCAGCTTCTCCAATCTCTCCCTTGACTTCCTGGCAGGAGAGCTAGATAAACTCAGGTAGACATGTCTTTCATGGCTACCCAAAGACTCTGTACAGCTAGCCCTCAGGAGCCTGTTTAAGTCAAGATGTCCTTGCAGTCCCACACTGATACTACTGAGCCCTAAGTTTAAGAGTGCTGTTATTCAGGGTTGGGCTCAGTGCCTCACACCTCTAATCCAGCACTTTGGGAGGCCAAGGTGGGCAGATCGCTTGAACTCAGGAGTTAAATACCAGCCTGAGCAACATGATGAAATCCCATCTCTACCAAAAATACAAAAAATTAGCTGGGCACAGTGGCGTGCACCTGTGGTCCCAGCTACTTGGGAGGCTGAGGTGGGAGGTTAGCTTGAGCCCAGGAAGCGGAGGTTGCAATGAGCCAAGATTATACCACTGGGTAACAAAGCGAGTCCCCATCTAAAAAAACAAAAACAGACTATTTTTCAGATTCAAGAAGAGAGGTCTTTCCCTCTTTCCTCACCTCTTGAGGCATGAAACAGGAATTCCTTATCCTAGTTTTATCACCACCAAACTCCTAGCAGTCATAAAAGTCCTTTTTCCTCTAAACCCACCTCCTCTCTGCCTCACACTGCAGTATCCACTCTGTCGCCAGCAGCGAGGCATTATAGCAGGAGGCTTCTGAATTGGCCAGAACAGCAGCTCTCAGGTGGGGTGTCTGAGAACCTCATTTCCTCATTACATCCCTCCCTGGTCAGCCATATGTGTTCAGCAGCCAAATGGCAAAATTCACCCCCAGAACTGTGATTGTCTTCCCTAATCTGGAAGGCCCACAAGTGTGGAGAAGCACTGGAGACCCTCCAGAAGCAGTAGTGCTAGCAGTCAGGGGCTACTCTCCCTGCCGGGCCCCGTGCAAGGGCCTGGCCACCCTATCCCAGGTATGTGACACTTGGCTGGCTGTTCTTTATTGTCCTGCTAGTACCTGTTGTAAAGCTTCTTTTATTAAAGAAGAGCAGGAGATTGAAGTGTCATAAATTGAAGAGATTCACACCAACACGGCACATGTATACATATGTAACAAACCTGCACGTTGTGCACATGTACCCTAGAACTTAAAGTATAATAACAAAATATGTATTAAAAAAATAAATAAATAAATTGAAGAGATTGAATGATGTCATAGACTACCAATCCACATGCCTTGTTCCTTGCTGCAGCACTGAGGTTTGTAATCCTGGGAGTTTAGACCTACGTAAGATGCCCATAAGTACAAATGACAGATGCTCTGTGGGGTTCTTCAGGGTCAAGGTGGCAGAGGTGGGGGTAGGAAGTGAGAGGAGGGGGAAGGGTTGACCAGAGGCACCAATTTGTCTCCTGTGGGCTTGGTCAGTATGTGAGCTACCAGGGGGCCAGGCTGGGCCTGACTCTCGGAGAGGCCTAATAAACAGTACGTATGATAAAACAACTCCTCTGTATTCGTTTTGATTTTATTTATTTTTTGAGACAGAGTCTTGCTGTGTCATCCACGCTGGAGTACAGTGGCTTGATCATAGCTCACCGCAGCCTCTAACTCCTGGACTCAAGTGATTCTTCCACCCTAGCCTCTTGTGTATCTGGGACTACAGCTGTGCACTGCCACACCTGTGAGCCACCTCACCCAGCCTGAAAATTAGATTTTCTAAAAAGACATTATAAAATCAACATGGGTTGGGCATGGTGGCTCATGACTGTTATCCTGGCACTTTGGGAGGCCAAGGCAGGAGGATCACCTGAGGCCAGGAGTTTGAGACCAGCCTGGGCAATGTAGCAAGACCCTGTATTTACAAAAAGTTTAAAAATCAGCTGGGCGTGCTGTCACTCATCTATGGTCCTTGCTACTTGGAAAGCTGGGAGGAAGGCTCTGTTTGAGCTCAGACCAAGACTGCAGTGAACCAGAATCCCGCTACTGCACTCCAGCTAAGTGACAAAGCAAGACCCTGTTTTTTTTTGTTGTTGTTGTTGTTTTTTTTTTTTTGAGACGAAGTCTCGCTCTGTCGCCCAGGCTGGAGGGCAATGGCACTATCTCAGCTCACTGCAACCTCCGCCTCCGGGGTTCAAGCAATTCTCCTGCCTCAGCCTCCTGAGTAGCTGGGATTACAGGCGCCTGCCACCCCGCCCAGCTAATTCTTGTATTTTTAGTAGAGATAGGGTTTCATCATGTTGGTCAGGGTGGTCTCGAACCCCTGACCTCGTGATCCACCCGCCTCGGCCTCCCAAAGTGCTGGGATTACAGGCCTGAGCCACTGCGCCCGGCCAAGACCCCGTCTCTTAAAAAAAGGAAGAAGAAACTAAATCAGATTTTCAAAGTACAGAACATAGAAATTATTTACCTGGGGCCGACGCGGTGGCTCACGCCCCAGCACTTCGGGAGGCCAAAGTGGGTGGACCACCTGAGGTCAGGAGTTCAAGACCAGCCTGGCCAACATAGTGAAACCCCATCTCTACTAAAAATACAAAAAACTTAGCTGGGCATGGTGGCAGGCTCCTGTAATCCCAGCTAGCTCAGGAGGCTGAGGCAGGAAAGTCACTTGAACCCAGGAGGCAGAGGTTGCAGTGAGCTGAGATCGTACCATTGCACTCCAGCCTGGGCGACAAGAGCAAAACTCTGTCTCAAAAAAAAAAAAAGAAAAAAAAAAGAAATTATTTACCTGGAAAATGTAGTTTCTATGTGAGTCTTTTATTTATTTATTTATTTGAGACAAAGTCTCATTCTGTCACCCATGCTGGAGCGCAGTGGCTTGATCGCAGCAAACTGCAGCCCCAATCTCCTGGACTCAAGGGATCGTCCTACCTCAGTCTCCCAAGTAGCTGGGGCTACAGGTACACGCCACCACGCCTGGCTTATTTTTTATTTTTAATAAATACTAGGTCTTGCTATGTTGCCCAGGCTGATTTTGAACTCCTGAACTCAAGTGATCCTCCCACCTTGGCCTCCCAAAGTGCTGGGATTATAAGCGTGAGCCACCACGCCCAGCCAAGTCTTAAAATCCAAGTCACAATGGGCTTTTTTTCTCTGTATTTACGACATTGGCTGAATCCCTCCCTTGGCGATGGTAATAAAATGTACTGTTGACAGAGCTGTACTGAGCCAGGTACTTTACATATACTGCTTTGGTTGCCTTAGTCCTCCTTTCTTCCCCTGTAACTGTAAAATCCTGCTTTACAGTTATAGTAGTAAACAAAAACCCAGGGAAGTTTAGAAACTTCCCAGATCATCTAGCAGTGAAGTGAGAGAGCCAAGATTTGAGCACAGGAATTTCTGGCTCCAAAGCTTGAGTCCAGCACCAGTAATTGACTCTTCCTGGGTAGTCAGTTGTCCTGGGGCCCATCCATCATGTGGGACATCGGCCATTTCTTTTTCTTTTTCTTTTTTTTTTTTTTTTTTGAGACAGAGTTTCACTCTCGTCGCCAAAGCTGGCGTGCAATGGCGCAATCTTGGCTCACCGCAACCTCCACCTCCCGGGTTCAAGTGATTTTCCTGCCTCAGCCTCCCGAGTAGCTGGGATTACAGGCATGTGCCACCACGCCCAGCGAATTTTGTATTTTTAGTAGAGACGGGGTTTCTTCCTGCTAGTTAGGCTGGTCTCAAACTCCCAACCTCAGGTGATCCACCCACCTTGGCCTCCCAAAGTGCTGGGATTATAGGCGTGAGCCACCATGCCCAGCCAAGACATTGGCCATCTCTATGAAGTTTTCTTAGTTTTTGTTGCAAGATTTATTGTCTGTAGTTACTATTGTTTCTGCTGTAAGCTGGCCCCTCCTGAGCCTGTGTGAACAGAATCCATCTTGGTCCATCAGGGTAAGCTGCACCCTGCAGTGAGCCATCAGAAATAATCTGTGTCTTAACCATTACCTCATCTGAAAACATTCAGAAAATGTTTGGGGGCCTGAGGGAAGATGAGCACCATGGTTACTGAAGATGCACATACCTGGAGAAGGCACATTCTTGTGACCGGTTGCCCCAGGTCACAGGCATCCAGGCCTAAGGCTGCCCCTCCAACCAGGAAGTACCTGTGGAGTGCCAGAGTGGAGCCTGGATGGCTGTGGAGGAGAAGCCCAGGTGCACACATTGCCCAGATGGGCTTCAACTAGAAGGGTAAGCACATGAATTAGTCCAGCCCAAGACTTGGTATCCAGTTTTCCACATTGCATGTAGGCTCTGTGTAATGCTTTCAGTCTCGTTTCCTAACCCACCCCTGCCTTCTCAGTCCTTCAGCATTTCGTGATCATTGCCTCTCCCCAATCCCCAAGTCCTTCTGCACAGCAGCCCCCATCTCACATTCAGTGGCTAGAGCAGGATGAGCAACCGAGAGACCACAGGAGGCAAAGAGTCAAAAAGATAATTTTGGAGTGGTCAGGCATGGCAGCTCATGCCTTAATCCCAGCACTTTGGGAGGCCAAGGCGGGTGGATCACCTGAGGTCAGGAGTTGGAGACCAGCCTGGCCAACATGGTGAAACCCTGTCTCCACTAAAAATACAAAAGTTAGCCGGGCGTGGTGGTGGGCACCTGTAATCCCAGCTACTCAGGAGGCTGTAGCAGGAGAACCGCTTGAACCCAGGAGGCGGAAGTTGCAGTGATCCGAGATCATGCGACTGCACTCCAGCCTGGGCAAGAGTGAGACTCTATCTCAATATTTTTTTAAAAAGAAAATTTTGGAGGAGTGCACAGATCATGTATCAAGACCTTATGGGTGGGGCCTTTGTAAGGACTTTGGCTTTTATTCCGAGAAGCTATTGCACATTGGAGAGCTTTTTCGTGGGTTTTTGCCAGGGTGTCTTTACCCTTTCTGGCTTACTATGACTTGTAAACTTCTGTATGTGTCTAGTCCATACTGCTTTTTGGGCTTTCTAAGTTTTCTATTTAAAGTATTAGCACAGGATTTCCTTCGACTTGAACCACACAAAGCTCGCAGGAACACTGCAGGTGTTAGTGTCTCATGGCTGCTCATATCCTCACAAGCTTTCATCTTGAAACATGGAGCAGCATTCATCCCTTCAGTTCCCAGCTGCTTATCCTCTAGCACTCTCCTCAGGGCTTTGTCCAGCTTTGTTTACCTCTGGGTGCGTGTTGGCTGCAGCGTACCCAGAATGGGTGTGAGGGCAAAAAGGGTATTCTCACTTCCTTCCCTTCCTGCCGGAGCCAAACATGTTCTAGCCTTGGGCCACTCTAACTTGTTGGACCAGTGTTTTCAGAGAACAATCTGCAGGGAATCTTAGGGCCCTCTCTGGAGTTATGACTAAGAGTAGAAGTTATGAATAGTCCATCCCCTAGAAAATAGGTTAGATTTCCTTGCCCCAAGCTGATGACCTAATAAATGCATGACAACATAGAGACACGTCCATGAAGTGTGCCCACCTCTCTAGCCCACCTGTGTTATTCAGGGTTCTCCAGAGAAACAGAACCAATAGGGTGTTTAAGACAGAGATTTATTTGAAGAAATTGGGGCCAGGCATGGTGGCTCACACCTGTAATCTCAGCACTTTGGGAGGCCAAGGCAGGAGGATCACTTGGGCCCTGCCTAGGCAACAGAGGAGGACCCCATCTCTACAAAAAAAAAATTTTAAATTAGCCAGGCGTGGTGGTACACACCTGTGGTCCCACTTAGGAGGCCAAGATGGAGGATCGCTTGAGGCCAGGAGATTGAGACTAGCCTGGGCAGCATAGCAAGACCCCACCTCTACAAAAAAGAAAAAAAAATTAGTTCGTGCAGTTGTAAGGCAGAGAAGTCCAAAATCCTCAGGGCAGGCGGACATGCTGGAGATTCCCCCTTGAAACTTTGAGATTTCCTGTTGTGTCCTGTTGTTAGGTATTGGGAAGAATGTGGTTTGCGAGAAGGCAGCAACATCGGTGGATGCCTTCCGGATGGTGACAGCCTCGCGCTACTACCCGCAGCTCATGAGCCTGGTAGGGAACGTGCTGCGCTTCCTGCCTGCCTTCGTGCGCATGAAACAGCTGATTTCGGAACACTATGTGGGAGCGGTGATGATCTGTGATGCCCGCATCTACTCAGGCAGCCTGCTGAGCCCCAGCTATGGCTGGATCTGTGATGAGCTCATGGGCGGCGGGGGCTTGCACACCATGGGGACCTACATTGTGGACCTGCTGACCCACCTGACCGGCCGGAGAGCCGAGAAGGTGCACGGGCTGCTCAAGACATTCGTGAGGCAGAACGCTGCCATCCGTGGCATCCGGCACGTCACTAGCGATGACTTCTGTTTCTTCCAGATGCTCATGGGTGGGGGTGTGTGTAGCACAGTGACACTCAACTTCAACATGCCAGGCGCCTTTGTGCATGAAGTCATGGTGGTAGGCTCTGCAGGACGCCTCGTCGCCCGGGGAGCCGACCTCTATGGGCAGAAGAACTCTGCCACGCAAGAGGAGCTGCTCTTGAGGGACTCGCTGGCAGTGGGCGCAGGACTGCCTGAGCAGGGGCCCCAGGATGTCCCGCTGCTGTACCTGAAGGGCATGGTCTACATGGTGCAGGCCTTGCGCCAGTCCTTCCAGGGGCAGGGCGACCGCCGCACCTGGGACCGCACCCCTGTCTCCATGGCCGCCTCCTTCGAGGATGGGCTGTACATGCAGAGCGTGGTGGATGCCATCAAGAGGTCGAGCCGATCCGGGGAGTGGGAGGCTGTGGAGGTGCTGACGGAGGAGCCCGACACCAACCAGAACCTGTGTGAGGCACTTCAGCGGAACAACCTATGAGCCTGCACCTGGGCTCCTTGCCACAGGGCAGAGGGACCAGGGAGGGGAACAGGAGCCAGACATGACAGGGACTTGGCCCTAGCAGAGACAGTGTCTTTCATTTAATGAGTCTGGGTGAAGCCAGAGGTGGCTCTGGGACTTCGCCCCCTCCAGTGGCTCATCTGCTCCTCAGACTTGCAGGGTGGCAAATGTTCCTGTTGCCAGGTTACCACGGTGTGCACAGGGCAGAGCTGCCGCCAGGCCTCCTCATGGTGATGCCAGTGAGTCGGACCAGGAAAGGCTCACCCTGGGGAGCCCTTCAGCCTGATCCGCAGTCCTAACAGGGTGAGAAAGCACAAGAGGGGCCAGCTCGGCTGAGGCCTGAGGAGAAATGATGAGAAGTTTTGTTTCGTTCTTGGGCTGGGGCATCTCAGGAACAGTGAGGGCAACAAGCTGTCCCTCAGGGACCCTCACCTGCCCTCCCATGTGACCAGGCCCTTCCCAGGTGGGGACTGGGGCTTGCTTTATTAAGTGAGCTCTTGGGCTTTTGAAGTAGGACAGAGGGCCCTGGTTTGGCAGAGAGGAGGCAAGGGAGGGCTTTAGAACATCTGAGAAATGTTAATAAATAATTCAGAAAATAGGACATGGCATGTGGTTTTTGTTTGGTAGGTTGGGTTTCTTTAATACTGAAAGGCTTGTTTCTGGCTGGTAGGGGGTTTTTCTCTACTCATTGCTCCACAGCAGCTCGGAGCCAGCGTGGGTCATCACCGCCAACTGTGCCACACGGGCCGCTGCCCCTGCCAGCCCTCGTCTCCTGCCTGTTCCCTCATAGCCAAATCCCAGGAGCCTCAGAAGAAAAGATTTCCTCAGAGAACAGGACTCAGGACTTCCTAATGGGCTGCTGCTGGGCCTGCCGTCTCAGCAGATAGCGGGAGAGTTTGGGGCCTCACTGGGGTGGAGGTTAGGAGGGGTTCTGTTCTTAATGTCACGGTGTTGGCTGCCAGAGTGCTCTTGAGGTGGCGGGGAGGAGTGGTTTCAGGGAGGTGGCACAGGGTGAGGAGGAGGAGGAAGAGCTCCAGGCGTGCCCCATGGAGCAGCTGTGGCTGGACCCGAGGGCCAATCACCCACCATGCTCTTGACTGTGCTCTGCACAGGGCCAGCCTTCTACCCAGCTCTGCCAGAGGCGGCGGGGGGTGGGGGCGGGGGGGCACGGTGTTGAGAAAAGACATGCGTTCCCCTTTGCTTGTTTGACCAGCCTGCCAGGATCGTTCAGCCTGGACCAAGTTCTGTTCCCTTCTCTAACCTTCCGCCCTCTTCCCTGCCCTGGGCTCCTTGCCAGAAAAGCCCAGGGAGGGCTTCCTCTTCCTCTTGGCACCGCTTCTAGACGTCACCAGGCTTGTTTTCCTGTAATTTCCTGGATTCAGATGTCCTTGTGAGAGGGAATAACAAGGGATAGGGTTGGAGTGTGCCTACTGCATGCTGACCCTCAGGGCAAACGTGTATGTTATTATTTCCCTTAACCTCCAAACCACTCTCTGACGGTAAATATTCTCATCATTCAGATCATAAAATGGAGGCACAGAGGGCAAAGCTACTTGCCTCCTGTAGATTGTACATGATGGAGCCAGGAGCCTGGTCAGGACCATCTAACCACAGAGCCTGACCTTGAACCACGCTTCCTCCCAGCATTTGGGAATCTTCAGACCTGAGGGCCCGGCATTGCCCCTCCCTGTGGCAGGAGCCTCGGCCTGGCCTGAACTAGGAGGTGAAATGCAGATAGCACCCACCACCAGGCAGGACACCGAAGGTTAAAGGGGAGGCTGCCCCCTTGTCCCTGGGACAGTT
This sequence comes from Homo sapiens, assembly GCF_000001405.40. Taxonomy (NCBI): domain Eukaryota; kingdom Metazoa; phylum Chordata; class Mammalia; order Primates; family Hominidae; genus Homo; species Homo sapiens. Next base: position 67,673,330 of record NC_000016.10, on the reverse strand, counting down.
AGCTCAGCTCAGTCCTCCCATGTGTTGCTAGGATGTCGAGGTCACTCTGAAATGTGGGAATTGACCAGGAAAGCACAAGCCTGACTTAGATGCTCCCACATAAGAAAGGGCCATGTGGCCAACCCAGAATGGCACTCGGGTTCCCAGAATGTGCTGGGGGGAGGGTACTGCAGTGGGCTGAATGCAGAGCTGCTTTAATGAGGACCCCGGTTCCTCTGAGGGAATCCCCAGAGCCTAGATTCACGGCCAGAGTGGTGCATGGCCCCTTCCCTCAGACGTCTTTACCATCGAGTTATCCTGGGCATCAGAGCTGGTCAGTCCCACACTGGGGATGGGGAAGACAGATGTGCCCAGATGCCTGTGGCCAAGGGAGCCCACAGGGTTCTGGTCTCCATGGGTGACTGAACCCACACTGGTTCTAGACTTGTCCGGCAGCACCCCCTCCTGGAAGAAGGCAGTAGCATCTCCCAGGACCTGTTTCCAAATCTCAGGATGTTACCAGCTCTTCCTCAGGTCAAAATAAAGTTTTTCCAGGACAGTAAAAATGCAGTTAGCTTGGCTCGTCAGATACAGCAACCAGAAGAGAACTTCCCAAATACCTGTCGCTTATTCTTCAACCTCCAGCCAAATCCAGGACTGTTTTCACCTAGACGATGGCAGCCACTTCCTTTCCTGTTCTGCCCATCACCCTGCTGGCCAAGCAGCCTCTCCTGAATGTCACGCCAAGATCCCTCCCTATCCACACCCTTCCTCCTCACCCCCGGACTTGACCAACCTGGTTTCCATATGGCCATGCCCTCCTCTCCAGCCACACTAAGAGCCCTCCTGCAGAGGTGGCAGCTTCCATACTAGCAGGGCTTTGTCCCTGGCATGTCCTCTGCCTGGAAGGCACCACCTCTCTCTCTCAGGAGTCAGCTGGAGGACTGCCCGGTCACCACTTCTGACTTCAGCAAAGTAGCCACCTCCCAACCTGTGGTTCCACAGCCTTGGTCCTCAGTTGAGCTGAGGTTGCATGTCCCTCCATCCCTCCCTCCCTCCCTCTCTCCCTCTCCTTTTCTTTTCTTTTTTCTTTTCTTGTCTTCTTTCTTTCTTTTCCTTTTTTTCTCTCTTTTTTCTCTTTCCCTCCCTCCCTCCCTCCCTTCCTTCCCTCCCTCCTTTCTTTATTTATTTCTTTTCTTGACAGAGTCTCACTCTGTCACCCAGGCCGGAGTGCAGTGTCGTCACCTTGGTTCACAGCCACCTCCACCTCCCCGGTTCAAGCAATTCTCTTGCCTCAGCCTCCCAAGTAGCTGGGACTGCAGGCGCCCACCACCACACCTGGCTAATTTTGTTTGTTTGTTTCTTTTTGAGATGGAGTTTTGCTCTCGTTGCCTAGGCTGGAATGGAGTGGCGCAATCTCAGCTCACTGCAACCTCCACCTCCCTGGTTCAAGCAATTCCCCTGCCTCAGCCTCCCAGGTAGCTGGGATTACAGGCACATGCCACCAGTGCCCAGCTAATTTTTTTGTATTTTTAGTAGAGATAGGGTTTCACCATGTTGGCCAGGCTGGCTGGTTTCGAACTCCTGACCTCGTGATCCACCCACCTCGGCCTCCCAAAGTGCTGGGATTATAGGCATGAGCCACCGCCCCCAGCCTAATTTTTGTATTTTTAGTAGAGGCGGGGTTTCACCACATAGTCCAGGCTGGTCTTGAACTTCTGGCCTAAGTGATCCGTGCCCCCCTCAGCCTCCCAAGGTGCTAGGATTACAGGCATGAACCACTGCACCTGGCCACTTGTTTTGAATATATAATTTCAACTTTTATTTTACATTCGGGGGGTACATGTGCAAGTTTGTTACATGGGTATACTGTGTGACGCTGAGGTTTGGGGGACGATTGGTCTCATCACCCAGGTAGTGAACATAGTAAATAGGTTTTTTCAACAATCACCCCACCCCCTCTCTGCCCCCTCTCATAGTCTCATGTTTGTGTTTCCCATGTTTGTGTCCATGTGTACCCAATGTGTAGCTCCCACTTGTGAGAACGTGTGCTATTTGCTTTCCTGTTCCTGTGTTAATTTCTTAGGATAATGGTCTCAGCCGTTTCCATGTTGCTGCAAAGGACGCGATTTCATTCTTTTTTTTATGGCTGCATCATTTTTACTTCTTGAGACAGGGAAAAATGTTGCCCAGGCTGGTCTTGAACTCCCGGGCTCAAGCGATCCTCCTGCTTCAGCCTCCCAAATATCTGGGACTACAGACACAGACCACCACGCCCAGCTACACGTCTCCCTAAATAATGTAGCATTTCCTCTTTACAGCGAGCTTCTAGGAGCAGTAGGGACTTGGTCCTTTCTGCAGCTCCTACTACCCACCCTGCTTAGACAAGTCCATTGGGTAATAGGCCTCAGGAATTGCAGACTAGTTCTCCCACGATTTCTAATTCCTGCCTCACCTGTGAGAAGACAGGACCAGCTCTTCCTTATCAGTGCTGGCCTCGTTCACGCTTCCAGCCCTGGAGACCGCACAAAGATACAGAGGCCTTCTTGGGTCCGGCCTTAGCCAGAGAGCCCCCAGGTCGGCAGATCCTGCACAACTCAAGACAGGGATTCCTAGATCCCAGGGTGTGGTCTCATGCAAGGCCACTTCTCTCCAGGCCTCTGCCATCCCAAACATAAAGCAAGGAGGTTAAGCTCAATTATCTTGGCTGGGTGTTTTGGCTCATGCCTGTAATCCTAGCACTTTGGGGGGTCAAGGAGGGAGGATTGCTTGAGGTCAGGAGTTTGAGACCAAGCTGAGCAACACAGACCCTATCTCCACAAAAAAAATTTTTGGCCGGGCACGGTGGCTCACATTTGTAATCCTTGAGTCCGGGAGGCAGAGGTTGCAGTGAGCCAAGATTGTGCCACTGCACTCCAGCCTGGGCAACAGAGCGAGATGCTGTCTCAAAGAAAAAAAAAAGTCCTGACCCCCATGGCTTGTCATGGGGCCAGTGAGCACCCAAGTGACCCTGTCAAAGGAGGGAGCAGGCTGGGATGATGCCAGAAAGGGGACCCTGCTTTTCCCACCTGAACCTGCCCACCCTACTCCCTCCAGTGACCTTGCCAGGCCATATTCCAGGGAACCTACATATTAGACTGTGGCCTCGGGATGGCCTCAGCATTTCAGATTCTGGCCTGTCCCTCTCTGCAGCTTCCTCCACCCCTCACTTCAGTCTCATCACCTTGGTGCCTTTTAAGGGGCCCTCTGGCTAGGTCGATGTGATGCAATGAGATGTGCCCTTAGGGAGCTCACGGTCTAATCCCGATGACAGTTATAACCCACATGATAGCAATGCGCAGGGGCTGCAATGCAGGGCAACATGGGGTGCTGTCTGGCTCCCCAGGAAGCAGAATCCCAAGTTTTCAAAGGTGTGCGTGCACTAGCCAGGGGGAGAGGTGGGAATAAAGGCATTTTAGGCAGAGAAAGCCCCACATGCACAGAGTGAAGGGAGGAAAAGGTGTAACTGCTCAGGGAATTACCGGAAGCCACTGAATTCTAAGGTAGCTGGGGCAAGAGGAGGGGAATCCCAAGGGGGAGTGACACCATCAGGGGCTCAGGTGTGTGTGTCACAGGGCCACTGGATGGATCCGTGGGCCAAGGGATGACAGGCAGGGTGACCAGTGAGGCTGTCACCTGGAGATGACAGTGGTCCAGGCGACGGTGCTGACTGTGGGGTCCGAGAGGTTCTCAGCCTGAAAGGGTAGGATCACTGGCCTCAATGTCTGCTTAGCTTGTAGGAATCAGGGAGCAAAGAACAGGATGGGGTCTGGGGTGACACCCAAGATTCTAGCTTAAACAATTGTGCAGATGAGATACAGGAGGAAAAGCCAGTTGGAGGAAGGGGAAATTTCCATGAACTTAAAATTCCCTGTGTCTGTTTGTGGTGTCCAAGGAACACACAGGAGGCCCAGGATGTGCAGTTTCCAAAATGGCCAACACTGGCTGGCTCTTCCCAGAGATCCTTGCCGGTTGGACACAGCTGTCATCCAGTGGCTTGGCCTCAGGGTCCCAGATGCACTTACTGCCCCTGTCCACCCCTGCCTGCCAGGAAAACATCACTGATGCCCTGTCACCTGTGACCAGAGGCTACTCCACAGACAAGGTCCGGTCCAGCTATGGTCTGGCAATGAGTAGGAAACATCCCAAAGCTGTCACTGTTGTGACAGGCAAAAGAACTCTGTGCTACCTCCTAGGAGGATCCCAAGTTTTGATCCCCTCAAGGTGAGACCAAATGCAGGCCCTTCCCCAGGAGACAGAAGAGCAGGGCCAAACACCTGCTTCCCATGACCCAACAGACCCTTTCTTTTCTCTGCCCCAAGTTCCTCCTTCTCACTTCCCTCTTCATCACCCAGTTAGCTGCCTGACCCTCAGATTCACCTAAACACACAGCACCAGGTCCACCCTGATTCAGTGAGGCATGGGGTGGCACAAAGGAATCTGTCATTGTCAAAGTCTCAGGTGATGCAGATGACCATTCAGGCCTCAAACCCTGCACTGTTGAGTCCTCCATCCTCTTACCCATTTCAGGCAACCTATCTGGGGAATCACAAAGTCTTTGAAAAAGAAAAATATTTATTTTCAGCAAGACCAAAGTCCCAAGTGGGGGCAGGTGCCAAATTTGCCCCCGCCACCAGAGGGCCTAGGCCCACAGGAAGCCTGAAGCCAAATTCAGGCGTGGAAGGAGGGGAGCCACCAGTGGGGCGGGACAGTCACTTGTACTGAGGAGAGAGCGGGGGGACAAGTGGAGCAGTGCAGACACTCAGCATCTTGTCGATGTCCACCTGGGTTGACTTATCCACCTCGGCCTTGTGGTCACTCACCCCCAAGCTGGGCAAGCCCCCAGGCTCCTCTCCAGCCTCCTCTCCGAGGGGAGCCAGGGCATGGGTGGGGGTCACTAGTGGACTGGGACAGGGCAAAGCGAGGCCTGGGCCCAGCTCACCTGCCAAGGGCAGCAAGGCCTGCAGTTGCTCCACACCTCCCTCCTCGGGAACCGGGGCCAGCTCTGCCTCTGCCTCCACCTCAGCCTCCCCGTCCCCCTTCCCTGCCTGGTTCAGCTCAGGGTTGCAATAGTTGACGTACTGGTACAGCGGCCGCAGGCGCTGGGCCTTTCCTGCAAAGACCCAGGGCAGGGCAGAGGCTAGAGCGCCAGGTTGTGCCATGTCGGGCCCCACAGGCAGGGGGAGAAGGAACAGTCCAGGGACTGCCACTCACGCTCCAGCCTCAATGTCTCTAAGGGTGCAGACACCATGCTGGCCACAGCGTGGAGCACGGGAGCCCCCAGGCTCTTGCGCTTCTTGGCTTTTTTGTGCTGTTTGGCAGATGGTGAGGGCTCACTCTGGCTGTCCTCTGGCTCCTCCTCCTGCAGCGGCAGCTTGGGTGGCAGCTCAGCTTCAGCCTTAAGATGGGCACGAAGGCCCGGGAGGCTGAGAGACCTGAGCCAGGGACAAGAGACTTGAGCCAGGCTCCAGCCCTGGCTCCCATTCCCTGGCCCAGGGAATAGCCCAGCCTGCCCACAGCCCCAGGGCTCGACGCCTGTCCCGTTCCTGGTCAATGAGACCCCAGGCCCAAGAGGCTTAGAGGCCAGTGAGCCCAGGCCCCTACAAGCCCTGAAGCTCCCACTCTCCTGCTGCTCCCTACACGGGGGCTCTTGAGGAACGGGAGGAGAGTGATGGTAGTGGCTGGGGACGAGAATCCTCCCTGCAGGAGTGCAGGATTTAGGAATCCTACTGTGGTGTGTGCCCCAACCCCGGGGCTGCAGCTCCTTCCCCCCGAGAGCCCCCTCACTTGACAGGCTTTCTCTTTGGACCATGACGGGGCCTCACAATGGAGACCACGGGCCTGGGGCCTCTCTCCTCTAGCGCCCCGGCATGCGGCTTGGGCCGCTCCTCCCCCAGCTTGGGTCCTTCCTCCTGGAGCTCCGACTCCGAAGCTGCGCCTGCTGGGCGCTGGTCTTCACTCTGGGTTCCGCGGGCCTCATGGGCAGGCACCAGGAACTGGTCTCCCGCCACTGGACACTAGAGATGACACACAGGCCATCGGTCACCATGGCCGGGCAAAGGACATAGGGATCCGTCACTGAACACCTAACGTTAGACACCGAAACGGGAATAAGGACACCAGCCTGTGCCCCTCCCCGCCTGGAGGGCCCAGCCTGGCAGTTAGCGGGTCGGGGCGCTCAGTTCCACCTCTCAGAGCGCTGCGGCCCTGTGTTTGAAGGTTAAACAGCCTGACGGTCACCTCGGAGGTCTGAGCGCTGCCGGGCTCCTCCGTGAGCTGTCCCTGCCCCACGACCGTCGCCTCCTGGACCCCCGGCCGCCTCTCCGCCCCTGCCGAGGCCATGGCTGCGCAGGCTGAGTGCGTCCTCGACAGCTGCTTGGGGCGGGCCCCAAGGGGCTGGATGGTGGCCCCGCGCTGACCCCGGAGACCGGCCAGCAAGCGAGGGCAGAGCTGGGAAGAGAAACCGGCGACCGCGGAGCCCACCCTCGGCCGAAACTACAAGCCCCAGGACGCTTTGCGCCGGGGTCAGTGGGCCCTGACCCCGGGGACGGAAGCCACGGTTGCCCGGCAACAACAAGTCCCGTCGGGTGGCAGCGGCTGGCGGCAAAACCTCTCGAGTGAGCCCCTGCCCGAGTGCCGCGGGGGAGAGGCCGCGAGCGGGACCGAGAAGTGGGCTGGGAGCAGAGGTCGCGGAGGTGGCGAGCGAGGCCGGGGCCCAGGCGGGGACCGGCAGGGGCCCGGGAGTGGCGGGCACGCCAGGGTCAGGGTGCCGGGCGAGGGAGGGGGCCCGGGGTTGGGGAAGGGGGCCCGGGGAGGGAGGTAAACAGCCCTGCAGGCCTCGGGGCACCGTTGCTGGGCGGCGCCGGCGGCATGTGCGAGGGCCCGTCCCGCATCTCGGGGCCCATCCCCCCAGACCCGACGCTCTGTCCTGACAACTACAGGCGGCCGACCTCGGGTGAGTCCGGGGGCTTGGCGGTGGTGCGAGGCTCAGGGGTCGGCCCTGGCTCCACCTCTGAGCCCCGGACTCCGCCCGGCTCCGCCCCACAGCTCAAGGGCGCCTCGAGGGAAACGCGCTGAAGCTGGACTTGCTGACTTCCGACCGGGCCCTGGACACCACCGCTCCCCGTGGCCCCTGCATCGGTCCCGGTGCCGGAGAGATCCTGGAGCGCGGCCAGCGCGGCGTCGGGGACGTGCTGTTGCAACTCGAGGGGATCTCCCTAGGTCCTGGGGCCTCTCTCAAGAGTAAGTCCCAGGAATGGAAGAAGGGACAGAGAGGCAGTGCGGGGTGGAAAGAGATCAAAAGCAGCTGCTCTTTCCACCCTGACGTGGGCCCAGGCTTTGCATCTCTTGAGTCTCAGTTTCCCCAACTATAAAAGGGGGAGAAATATGCTACCTTCTCGAAGGAGGTGAACTGAATGAGGTAGTTCCCACGAAGCCCTAGCTCTGCTTTATGCATTTGTTACCCATTAAATTTGTTTGTTGAGTGCCTACTGTGTGCCAGGCCATATAGATGCTAGAACACAGGGCTGAAGATAAGCATGAGCCATCACTGAGTCAAGGTGGGATACAAAGATCAAGAGATGAATGTCATATATGAGATGATCTATGGTGTACTTCAATGGTGTACTTCACTATAATAATGGAGGAAATCACCTGGGCGCAGTGGCTCACTCCTGGAATCCCAGCACTTTGGGAGGCCCAGGCGGGCAGATCACTTGAGTCCAGGAGTTGAAGACCAGCCTGGCCAACATGGTGAAACCCCATCTCTACAAAAAATACAAAAATCAGGCTGGCATGGTGGAGTGTGTCTGTAATCCCAGCTACTCGGCAGGCTGAGGTAGCCGGGGAGGTTGAGGCTACAGTGAGCTATGATCATGCCACTGTACTCCAGCCTGGGTGACAGAGTGAGACCCTGTCTCAAATAATAATAATAATAATAATAATGGAGAAAATCATCCTGTGATACTTACTACATGAGGAAGGGAACACGGTGATGAGGGAGAGTGTGTGTAGGGTCTAAGGTAGTTGGAGAGGTCAGGGAGCTCTTTCTGTAGGAGGCAGGGGGCAGGCCTGTGTGTGAACTAGTGGAAGTTGGACTGTGTGGGCCCCATGTAGGGCAGAACCTGGGGGCATCTTTTCTCCAGGGAAGGACCCTAAGGACCATGAGAAGGAGAACCTGAGGCGGATCAGGGAGATTCAGAAGCGCTTCAGAGAACAGGAGCGCAGCCGGGAGCAGGGCCAGCCCAGGCCCCTGAAAGCTCTGTGGCGCTCACCCAAGTACGACAAGGTGGAGTCCCGGGTCAAGGCCCAGCTCCAGGTACCTGCTTCAGGGAGCCAGAAGTATTATCCATTTTGTTGGCCAACAGGCAACTGTACCCTGATCTGAGTTCTGGGGTGGGAGGGAAGTCACAGAGGTAACAGAGGACTAAGAGACCCTGGCTCTGCTGCAGGGCGAGGCTGGGGGGCTTCTCAGAAGTAGTGATGGTGGGGCTGATCCTGAGGGCAAGTAGCAATTAGTCAAAGGGACAGCAGAAGAGAACATTCCCAAAAGATGGAACCTCACAGACCACAGGGCACGCAGCAGTGGAGATGCTAGGTACAGTTCACTGTGAGGAAAGAAGGGCGTGAAGTTAGGCCAAGAAGTCAGCTGGACCCACGTCAGGGGCCACAAAAGCCACTTTTCAGCCCTTATTTCTGAGGACAGTGGGAAGGGCAGGGGTATGGTGGGGGGCTCTGTCTCAGGGACTCAGTAGGAGGAGCAGGAGTGAGAGGAAAGGCAAGGTCACACAAATGTGTTGTAGCTGAAGCATCTGTGGGGTTCCCAGGGGGTGGGAGTGTGTCCAGGAAGCAGATGGAAATTCAGGCCTGGATCTCAGGAGTGAGACCTAGGAGTTATTGACGATCAGGTTGAGGACAACGAGACCAAGGAATTGACCGCCTGGATTTGAGGACTTGGAGGCCAGCTGTTAGGAGCCTTGCAGGGCTAGAGCCAGGAAGCTTGGCTAGGAAGGAGGAAAGAGAGTGGTAGCTGGGCCAGTACTGAGGTGGAAGGAGAGATGGTTTGTTGTTTTCTTAAAAATCTGACATACTCACACATTTGTGTGCTGATGAGGACAAGTGTCCCTTGAAGAGGGAAGAGGGCCCGAGGGACATGGATGCAAAGGTCAGAAGGGCCAAGATGGCCAGGGTCTTGCAGCTTGAGCCCCAGACCTCAGCCTGCCTGCTCTCTCTGCTGTGCCCTGCCCTCCAGGAGCCTGGCCCTGCCTCTGGGACAGAGTCTGCCCACTTCCTGCGGGCGCACTCCCGCTGCGGCCCTGGCCTCCCACCACCCCATGTATCTAGTCCCCAGCCAACCCCACCAGGTCCCGAAGCTAAGGTGAGAGGATGTATGGGGGCTAGATGGTGGTTGGGCAGGGCTCCTGGTGTGGGGGGGGTGTTCAGGGACACAACATAATGCTGTCTGCCCCCACCCACGCTTGCTGTGTCCTGCAGGAGCCAGGCCTGGGGGTGGACTTCATTCGTCACAATGCACGAGCTGCCAAGAGAGCCCCCCGGAGGCATTCCTGCTCACTGCAGGTCCTGGCACAAGTGCTAGAGCAGCAGCGGCAGGCCCAGGAGCACTACAATGCCACGCAGAAGGGCCATGTGCCACATTAGTAGGTCTCACTGCCCGACACTCAGGGTGAAGGACACCTGTGGAGGGTGGGAACCAACCTCTGCCCTCGGGTCATCAACTCTGAGCCTGTGTACCCACAGCTTGTTGGAGCGCAGGGACCTGTGGCGGCGGGAGGCCGAGGCCCGCAAGCAGAGCCAGCCGGACCCTGCCATGCCCCCAGGCCACACGCGCATGCCTGAGAACCAGCGGCTGGAAACACTGACCAAGCTGCTCCAGAGTGAGTACCTGGGCAGGGAGGCTGGAGGGGGGCCCCACTGGGGACCGGGCACCCCTGCCCAACACTCACTGTTCTCACTGTTCCCGGGCCCCCTGTAGGCCAGAGCCAGCTGCTGCGTGAGCTGGTACTGCTGCCTGCTGGGGCAGACTCACTGAGAGCCCAGAGCCACCGTGCTGAGCTGGACCGGAAGCTGGTGCAGGTAGAGGAGGCCATCAAGATCTTTTCTCGGCCCAAAGTCTTCGTGAAGATGGACGACTGAGCCCCTTTGGGGGACAGTGGCAAGGAGCTCCATGCTGAGGATCGCCACATGGCTGCAAAGGACAGGGTTGGACCCAATCCCAGAGCAGAGGTCTGAAGACAGGAGCAGGGGGGTGGCCAGTGTCCCTAGAGCACTCTTCCCAGTCACCAGTGGCTGCAGAAGGGCCACCCTAGCCTTTTAACTGCTTTGTCAAAATTAAACATTTTGTACACAGGATTTGTTTCCATAAGAGCTTTTCTTACCCTAAAAATGCCAAGCCTGGTGGCCCTCCTGCTGCTTGATTGCAGGAAGTTCTCCCCAATGTCACTCCTGCCTTAGTCCAGAGCAGAAGGCAAGCTGGTGAGACCAGGGAGGAGGCTGGAACTGGGACACACAAGGACCATGACTGTATTTGTAGAAAACCTTTAATGTTCCCCAGGCTGAGGGAGCCCTGTGAGCCAGCTAAAAACCCCCACTGTGAAGTCCCTGCCATGTCCCAGCAGTGTGGAGTGGCATGGGGCTTCATCCTGACTGTCAGAGGCTGAAGCCACTACCATCTCCTCGAATGCGACTCCCCCAGCCAGAACTGGCCTGCTCCTGGTCATCCAGGGAGGGCAGAGAGCTGCGGGTACCAGGATGTCGGCAGCCAGGGTGCAGGTCCCAGCACGGGGGCCCCTGAGACAGCCCATTGGAACTGGGAGGCTGGCGGTTCTCAATGACCAGGTCACTGCTGTCATCGTCACTATCAGGCTCAGCAGGCCCAGGCCCTGCAGAGGGAGGACCTGTCAAACGCCCAGATGCCCCTCGCACCACGTTATTGCGCTGGTTGGCGGGCTTGACAGTGACAATGAGGTTATGGCTGTTGGCAACCATCATGTCCGTCACTTGGTCCAAGGTCTTCCCGGCTACTTCAATGCCATTGACCTCGAGGATCTCATCACTGACCGCCAGCAGCCCTGTACTCTCAGCCAGACCCCCACGTACCAGGCGGGAGATGAAGATTCCTGGAACCCGCTCCAGGCCCTGGGGAGCCACACGCACGCTCATGCCATCTCGGATGTAGAAGCCCAGGGGGCGGTCTGAACCATGCTTGTGCAGCCGCACCCGTCGGTGGGTCTCAGGCAGTAGGTCCACGTCTATGACTGAGGAAACCTGGCGGAAATCTTGGGGCAGGCTGATTAGCAAGGGTGGCCGGGTGCGCAGGGGTGCCACTGGCCGCAGCAAGAGCCCTTTCTTGCGCCGCTGCAGAGAGTTGGAGGCAAAAGCCAGGCCGCTGGAGTCAGCTTCTGCTGCAGAAGAGGGGGGATGTTGAGATCAGAGACCTGCTCCCCGACTTGGGCTGTTTACAGGGGGCACTGTAGCTATTTCCTACCACTTAGAGGTCAAGCCAAGGGCAGGGACTGCAGAGGGTGACGCTTGGGTACCCTGGGCATGGACTAACCCTTGTAGACCTGCCCCACAGACACCTTACCCCACAGAGGCTGCCCACTGTACCCCTCCTCACCCCGCTTCTGCACCAGTAGGCGCAGTGGCGGGGGCCCGCTGGCCAGGGCCCGGTGCAGGCTGTCGTCGTTGGTGAGGGGCAGCAGGTCGCCATGAGCATCCGTATAGCCAAGTAGCACGTCCAGGCCCGGGATCTGGTGCACCGCCCGCAGCAACCGCGAGAACTCCTGGAAGCCGCTCACCGAAGCGCGAGGCAGCGCGAAGCGTCGGAACTCGGCGTCAAACTGGAAGTCGGGGTTGGGGGAGAGGAGGAGTCAGGACAGCCTGCGCCCCTTTCTCACCGCAGGCTGGCAGGAATGGGAAAGATGCGGCTGCCGCTTTTGCGGCAGCCTTAAGCCCAGACCTCAGCTCCAGTACCAGGGACGCTGTCCAAGGTCTTCTTACCGCCCTCCAGGTACTCAGGCCACAGAGAGCTGGAGACCAGCAGTGGAGGAAGGAAGACGGATGGGGGAAGGCGAGCAGAAAAGCAGAATGGGACTTGGAGGATAGAGGGAAGAGGTGGCGGGGACCAAGGAGCTGGGAAGGGGAGAAAGAGGGAATTGGGAGCGCCTAGGGCCGAGGCCGGAGGAGCCCTTACTTTGCTCTTCACCTCGACGATGCTATCGGGACTGCGCGCCGGAGTCCTCTGCGGCCGGGCCATGGCGGGGCCGGGCGGGCCGGGGACGGTGCCCCAGGCGGCCCGCCGAGGCGCAGGTGCACAGCCCGGCCGGCCCGCCCGCGCCGCCCCGCCCCTGGCGGTAGCACACGCCCCGCCTTCCCATCCGGAGCGTGACGTCAAGGGGGCAGCGACGCAGAGTGGAACGCGGAGTCCACGTTTCCTAGGAAACGGAGCCGTGGATGGAGAGGAGCCGTCCTCCGCTCTTGCGTCATCACGCTGAGGTCCGCGCGCCCCCGGAGTCTGGGGAGCAGGGCTCCGCCAATCCGAGGGGAGGGCGAAGGAAGTACCATTTATTTAGCGCTGTGTGTGTGCTCTTATTTCCACTGGCCTTACAAGACCGTGCACTGTGTAGATGAGGAAACTGAGTCATAATAAATATGTGCTGAACCGTTCGGGGGTCACACGGTGCTGAAATGGTTTCGAGTCAACTCGCTCGGACGGCACTCGGCCTCAGCCTCCGGCCCTGGAACCCTCTCCAGGGACGGGACCAGCCCTTGTTCTGTTCCCTACCGGTACCACAGGAATCTTGACGAACGGCCCAAATGCCTGGCCGCTGTCAGAGTGACGCCGCGATGAGAGTAAACGGGCCAGCATCCCGTGCACCAGCGGGGTGGACCAGCGGGAGTCTGCACACAGGCCCCCGAGCAGGACGCCCTCGTGCGCAGGCGCGGGGTGTACGTGGGCGGGGCCTCCTCCTCCGGCCCCGCCCAGCGAAGGAGCTTCCTCTTCCGAGGAAAGGCGGGGCCTGGGCGCCCGCGGGAAACCCGGGCCCGTTGCATCCGCTGGGTGTAGCCGTGGGGATGGCAGGTTCGGGGAGGCTGGTCCTACGGCCCTGGATTCGGGAGCTGATTCTGGGGTCAGAGACACCCTCCAGTCCACGAGCCGGGCAGCTGCTTGAGGTGAGCCCCCATTCAGGGCCCGGAGACCGAGGCGGAGGCCCGGGGTGGTGGGATTGACGCCGCTCGCCGCCGTCAGGTACTACAGGACGCCGAGGCCGCGGTCGCGGGCCCATCCCACGCCCCTGATACGTCCGACGTCGGGGCCACGCTGCTTGTGTCTGACGGGACCCACAGTGTCCGATGCCTGGTGACGCGGGAGGCCCTGGACACCTCGGACTGGTGAGAGGCCCCGCGCGGCTCTGGAGGTCGGAGTCCGGCAGGAGAGCGCGAGGTGGGCGGGCCTTGTGTTCAGGTGGGCCCGGCAGTGAGGATCCTGCTTGTTGCAGGGAGGAGAAGGAGTTCGGCTTCCGCGGGACAGAGGGCCGGCTGCTGCTGCTGCAGGACTGCGGGGTTCATGTCCAGGTCGCTGAGGGCGGCGCGGTGAGTGGTGAGACTGCCTTGGGCGGGTTACCGGGCATGACTCTTCGTGACGATTCTGAGACCCCCCCTTCCCCCCGAACTCCTCCAGCCCGCAGAGTTCTATCTCCAGGTGGACCGCTTCAGCCTGCTGCCCACGGAGCAGCCCCGGCTACGGGTGCCTGGTTGGTAAGTGATGCCTCCGCCCTCCAGCAGCTCTCCCCACCCCAGCCTGGCCGGCGCTGGCAGACGCCTATGGGGTAGGAGGGCTTGGGCCCCCATTAACTACCCTTCTCTTTTTCTTAGCAACCAAGACTTAGATGTTCAGAAAAAGCTCTATGACTGCCTTGAGTGAGTCTGGGGTTGGGCTCGGGGGCCACGTGTTGTTTGGTGAGGGGATGGTGTATCTAGGTAGACAGGCCTCAGCATGGTTCCTGAGTCCTGGCCACTCTCTTCCTGTAGGGAGCACCTTTCAGAGTCCACCTCGTCCAATGCAGGTACTGTAGAGCTTGACCAGTGATCCTAACACGCTGTGCAGTGATCTCTCCAGCCTTAACCTTATGCTTCCTCAATAAGCTGTCTTCCCCCTCACCCTCCTGGTCCTCCCCTTTAAGCCTTGACTCATCCCATGGTCCCCTGTCCCCAGGCCTATCACTGTCCCAGCTTCTGGATGAAATGCGGGAGGACCAGGAGCATCAGGGGGCACTCGTGTGCCTGGCTGAAAGCTGCCTGACACTGGAGGGCCCTTGCACAGCACCCCCTGTCACCCACTGGGCTGCCTCACGATGCAAGGCCACGGTCAGTCTGGGGATTTGCTTGGGAGATGTCAGGGTGAGGAGTTGGGCAAGGGTCATATCCCACAGGACATGAGAGTAAACGGGCCTGTCCTACAGAGTTCATGTCCCACAGGGAGAAGCTGTGTACACTGTCCCCAGCTCAATGCTGTGCATCTCTGAGAATGACCAGCTAATTCTGAGCTCTCTAGGCCCCTGTCAGAGGACACAGGGTAAGGGGGACTGGAGAGGTTGGGGGGATACCTGGGGCCCAGGTCCACAGTGCTGATAAGACTTCCTGAACCCCCCAGGCCCTGAGCTGCCCCCACCAGACCCGGCTCTGCAGGACCTATCTCTGACCCTCATAGCCTCTCCTCCTTCCTCACCCAGTTCCTCAGGTGAGGTGATGCACAGGTCACAGGCACTCACTGCCGCCTGTCAGTCAGGTTCCCGGGCTGCGCAGGATGCTGTGAAAGGTGCACGGTGGGTGGGGGATGAACACGGTCCCTGCAGTCCTGTCTGAGCTCGCAGGCCACTCAGCTGCCCTGAGCGGAGAGGGCTGTGCCTACAATAAGTCCCCTCCTCCTCAGGAACCCCGGCCTTACCCGGCCACATGTCATCCGAGGAAAGTGGTACCAGCATCAGCCTTCTGCCTGCCCTGTCCTTGGCTGCTCCAGACCCAGGGCAGAGAAGCAGCTCCCAGCCCTCACCAGCCATCTGCTCAGCCCCTGCCACCCTGACCCCCAGGTCCCCACACGCCAGCCGTACCCCCAGCTCCCCACTCCAGAGCTGCACTCCCAGTCTCTCACCCCGTAGCCATGTCCCCAGTCCACACCAGGCTCTTGTGACCAGGCCCCAGAAACCTAGCCTGGAGTTCAAGGAGTTTGTAGGGTTGCCCTGCAAGAATCGGCCGCCTTTTCCCAGGACCGGAGCTACCAGGGGAGCCCAGGAGCCCTGCTCTGTCTGGGTGAGCATAGCCCCTCTGCAGCTGGAGGGTAGAACAAGGAAGGCCTGAGGTAGAGCTGGGAGGGAGCATGGGTAGCCTTGGATGGGGTTGGGGTCCTTGTTAGCTCTTCCCCAGACACCATACCCCTTTCAGGAACCCCCAAAGAGGCATCGTGATGGTTCTGCCTTCCAGTATGAGTATGAGCCACCCTGCACGTCCCTCTGTGCTCGGGTCCAAGCTGTCAGGTGAGTGCCTGGGTCTGCCCCAACTCTTGGTCACTAGTCCCAGGCTCCATTGACCTGCAGCGGTGGTTTCTTTCCAGGCTTCCTCCCCAGCTCATGGCCTGGGCCTTGCACTTTCTGATGGATGCACAGCCAGGGTCTGAGCCAACTCCGATGTGAGACGTCACGCAGGACAGATACCGCTCCACACTCTGCTTCCTTTGAGTTTTTTAATAAAATAATCTCATGCGGCAGGAGAGGAGAGGATCAGGGATTGGGGCCGCCGCCTCTTTGGTCTGTGGCTGGGGAGGGTGGGCTCCGCTCAGGGCTGGAGGGCTCTGTGGGCTGTGGGGGCAGAGGCTCGGTTCCAAGGCCAGATCCTGTGAGGGGAGGGAGGGAGAGAGAGGAAGGGTCAGGGCTGGGCTAAGCAGTCCTGCCACCCTCCCAGCTGGCCTGGACCCCCTCTTACCTAGGCTTGGGGATGGAGGTGCCTCGAGTTTTGGCCTGCGTTTGAGGACGGGGGAGCGCTGCAGCCTCAGGGGCCGTTCTAAGGGACACAGAAAGGCTTGGGGTGGGTTGCTAAGGCTTGGGGTCTGTCCATCCCCTGCCCCTCTCTTCCACCTCCAGTGCACATAAGCATGCACTCACACACACTGCTGCCTTCAGAGCATCCCCCGTCCCTGCGTCCTCACCCCTGGCAGAGGCTGCTCTTCGGGAAGTGGAGCCAGTGCTAGTTGGAAGGGCTTGCTGTCAAACCCTTGCACCTGGTCTTCTGGCTCCCTGATTTCTTGAGACCTCACACACTGGTGGCTCCCTCCAAGGACCAAAGCTATGAAGGGAGCCCCAGAAGCCCACCCTCCCACATCTCCTGCATTCAAGCACACGTGGAGGTGTCTCCCCTCACCAGCAGGGGCCTGGAGCTGGTCCTCATGCACAGACACTGCTCGCCGCCCTGCCGAGAGAGGCCTCGGCCTCAGCTGGCCATCTGAGGGAGGCCAGGGAATCAGGGGTATTCCAACAGCTGCCCCCACTCCAGCCCTTGCCTCCCACCCTCAGGGTCCTTAGAGGAGCTGAGTTCCCAGCAGGAACTCCTCCAGCCCCGAGGCCAGGATTGGGGTGGGGAATCAGGTGCCTGCCTACCTTCATTTCTGGGGCCCAAGCAAGGGTCCTCTGGGAGGCCCAGGCTGTCTGGGGAGGGGCTGGTTCTGCAGGGACTTGGGCTTTGACCAGGGGAGGGAGGGCCTGGACCATCCTGTTGGCCCCAACCACGGCTCCTGAGCTCCGCATTCAACTGCTGCCCCAGTGTCTTCCAGGTGGCAGACTCAGGCCCCTGGCTCCCTGGGCCAGGTCTGCAGGAAGGGTCTGTAGGGAGAAAGGTGTCAGCCAAGACCTGGTCAGGCATTGGCGATAGGTCTGAACAACAGTCTGACCCAACTCCTGCCTGTCCCTGCTCCCACTACCAACACACACAGTGGCCCTCACTCACCAGCAGACACAGAGTGGGTGCGGGACTTGATCGAGATGGGAGGGGCCTCCGTGGAACTGTCCATAATGTCACCTGCAAGGCGGAGCTGGGGACTCAGGTACCAGACCTTGGAGGTGAGGGGAAGAAAAACCTGGCCTCTCCCCTTCCTCCCCAAGGAGAGCAAGTGCCTTGGGGGCTGTCTATAAGGACACCTCCTGGCAAATGTACTGCCACACCCCAGGGTCCCACTTACCATCTGAGCCAGCTTTCTTGATCTCGCCATCTTTGCTCTGCAGGAAACAGGGCAATCAGATTCCAGCCCTGCCCGCTCCCCACACCCTAGCCTTTTGTTCGTTCTTGTTCTTATAATCCTGCCACTGAATGCCCACCATGGGCTGGACAAGAACATGGCAAACCCAGTACAGCCCTCTTAGAACTCTTTGCACACTTGAATATTTCTAAATTCAGGCCGACTTCATGTTTTTTGTTTGTTTTTGTTTTTTGTTTTTTAAGATATTGAATGGATGGTATGGAGGGCTGGGGTTCTTTGGGACTCTAATGAGAGAGACATTAGCAGGGTGGCCCACAGAGGAGAGTCAGGGAAGAACCATGGGCACTGCAGGGATGGCTGAGGAGGGACCTGGCGTAACCCACAATTAGAGACTGGAAGCGAGGCAGGGAGGACATCCAGACCACCCAGGGACGTGTGTGGAGGCTCTGATTTGCACCAGGGGAGGAAAGCAGTGAGGTTTTAAGGTGGCCAGGGCCAAGACCCCACAGGGCTCTGAAGCAGGTTGTGGAGTCTGAACAGTGTCTTGAGAGGAAGCCCCTGGAGGACTTGCTATTTCAAGCACAAGTGACAAGGTCAGATTTTTTTCTTTTTCTTTTTTTGAGATGAGTCTCACTCTTGTTGTCCAGGCTAGTGTGTAGTGGCACGATCTAGGCTCACTGCAACCTGTCTCCCAGGTTCAAGCAATTCTCGTGCCTCACCCTCCCAAGTAGCTGGGACTACAAGTGCCCACCGCCACACCCGGCTAATTTTTGTATTTTTAGTAGAGACAGGGTTTCACCATGTTGGCCAGGTTGGTCTCTTAACTCCTGACCTCAGGTAATCCACCTGCCTCAGCCTCCCAAAGTGTCGGGATTACAGGCGTGAGCCATGGCGCCTGGCCCAGGCCTCAGATTTCTATTAGACCTGCAGAGAAAAGACTTTCTCAGGTCCAAAGAGGAGATGCTGGTGGCCTGTGCCTGGGTCAAAGCCAAGAGGGAAGAAAGGTCGAATCTGTAACCATTTCGAGGAGAATGGAGTAGAACTGACAATTAGACCTATCTGTCATGAGTCTCCTCCATCTTGGTCACTTATGTCACCCACAGCATGCCATCTGCCCTCTCACTTCATGCTCAGGTCCCCTCAACTCACTTGCTTCCTCTTGCCTTCGGCACCCCCGCTGCCTCGGCTGACGCCTATCCTCTGCAGCATTACTTGTACCCGCTGTTCAAAGGATGGAGCCAGTTCTGTTTCTCCCCGCTCCAGGGGCCGCCGCTAGGGACAGAGATGCTCGAGTTGGAGACAGTCCGCGCCCTGGGTCCCAGAAGCGCCTTCACCACCCCCCATCAGCAAGCCTCACCTTGTCGGGTCTGGCACCCAGCGTTGCCTCCTCCTCGGCAGGCAGCAGTATCATCGAGTAGGCCTTGCTATCTCTTGTGTAGCGAGGTCGGCTCCTGCCGGCAGGGTCAGGGCTGCTGGTGTCCCCCTCAGCCCCACCAAGCTCCTCACCACGGCTGGGACGGGTTGGCGGCCGCAGTAGGTCGCCAAATGTAGTTTTTCGGGTTCGGGGAGCTGCCCCAGGGCTGGTCTCTAGATCAGTCCGTGGACCCCGCGTTGAACGAGGCTTCTTGAAGGCAAAGAGGGTGCCCAGCTTCTTTCGCAGTGTACGGGGGACAGGAGTGGCGCCCCCCTCAGTGGCCGGGTCCTCCTCGGGGGCCCAGCTGTGGGGACACCCAGCAGTGAGCGAGAAAGCCCATCAGGCATCCCACCCTCTCCCACCCCCAGCAGATGCCCCTCACTCACAGGCGATCCTGCTGGATCAGCCTTTTGGAGAAGAATTCCTCCACGCCCTCGTCCACGCGGGCACTGAGCCCATTCCCTTCCTGCGGCAAGGCTGGGGGTACCTGGGGGGCATCATGGGGTCAGGGGTCAGGGTTGAGTGCAACTCTGGCTTCTACCCCCCCCCCCCCCCGGCCGGCAGCCTGGACTGAATAACTCCAGGATTCCAGACTGGGGTGACCCTAGGGGCTGCTGATACCAGCCTCCTACTGTCCTGCTGCTGGACAGAGACTCCAGATTTCACGCACTCCTCACTCGCTGCTGGCTCCCGCACACCCAGTCCACACCCGTCCTTGTCCCACAGAGTATCCTACACGCCCGAGCCACCCGGTCACCAGCAAACCTAGCCCTCACGTGCCCCCGGGGTCACCCGTTCCCACTTGCCACCAGCTCTGCTCCGAACAGTTCCCTGCAGTGTCCCCCACCCCACCCCCACTCCACCCGGCCTGCTGCCGGCTCAGTGGCGCCGGCTGCTGCGTCAGACCCTCTGGGGGGCCTCAAGCCGGCTCCTCCCCGCCCTCCGCCAGTGCCCGCTGCCCCCGCGGGCTTGCAGCCCACACACGCATCTCCCCACACGCGCCGCCGCCGGACGCGCAGCAGACGCAGGCTTGGCCCCGCGGCTCGGCTACCCGGCTGCCCGGCATCTCTCAGCAGCCCCGGGGGAGGGAGGGAGGACGGACACCCTCTCTCGCGCAGCCACGGAGGCCGCGGGCCGCCCCGAGACGGAGTCCCACACCCAGGCACACCCCGAACGGAACCCGCACACCCATGGTCCCGCACAGGCATGGCCTGGGGTGGGGGGTGGTCAGGAAGAAGCCAGGATGTGACCGCGGCCGCACGACCAGGTGGCCTTGGGCCCCCACCACCCCCTCTCCTTGACCGCTACCACCCATGAGGAGCGGCCGGGCCACCCGTGATCCCCAATTCCACGCGCTCCGGAGTGGGGGAAGGGTGCTCACCTGGGGGCCCCCCGGCGGCGGGCGGTGGTGGTGCTGGCGGCGCGGCCGCGGCCGGGCCCGGGTCGGATGGCGCAGGGGCTGCCCCGCCAGTGGCAGGTCCATGCGGGGCAGCGGGCCGGCCGGGGGCCCAGGGGCGGCAGGGCTCGGAGAGCCGCGCGCGGACGGCCCCGCCTGCGGCTCTGCATCTTCTCCCGGAGCCGCCAGCTCGGGCTCCGGCTCCGCTTCCTCAGCAGCACCTGAGGGGACAGCACCAGAAGAGCACCGAGCGCCGAGCCCGGGGAGGTGGCGGCGGAGGCGCTAGGGCGGCGGGGGACCCGCCCAGGGCGCGGGGAGGGGCCCGGCTACGCCGCCCGTCCCCCCGCCCCTCTGCCCCTCCGCCCCTCCCCCGCCGCCGCCGCTGTCCGTGGTGCTGAGCGCGGCCCCGAGCGCGCGCGGCTCCGCGCCGCCGCCCAGCATGCGCGTCCCTGGGGTAGGGAAAGGGGCGCGGGGAGGCGAGCTGAGCCGGTGTCCTGTCCCAGATCCGCCCAGGTCCCGCCCCGGGCTGACCACAGCAGACCCCAGCTTTGCAGGTTGCACAAGGGGCCCGACCTGGCCCAGTCAAGGGCTGGTGGGTACCCAGACAAGGCTGAATGAGTTCATCCAGGTCCCCGGGTCCCCAAGTCTAATGGAGCTT
The DNA here is from genome assembly GCF_000001405.40 of Homo sapiens. Taxonomy (NCBI): domain Eukaryota; kingdom Metazoa; phylum Chordata; class Mammalia; order Primates; family Hominidae; genus Homo; species Homo sapiens. The sequence goes on along the minus strand of NC_000016.10, from coordinate 67,652,581 downwards.
CAGCCCACCCACGTAAACTCCCTCCCCCAAGGCCCTGACTTACTGTGAATGAAGGGGACCAGGTGAAGACCGTGGCTGAGCTCAGGCCATTTCTGTGGAGGACTGTCATCCTGGTGGGGAGGGCACAAACTCAGCCTGGGGTAGGAGAGCACCAACCCAAAAGAGCTGCCTTTCACCTTCCACACTCCACAGCAAGATGGGAAGACTGGGAGTGCCATGCCCCGTGTTCTAAAACCACTTACCTTCTCCTTCTCCTCTTCCTTCTCCTCGGGGAAGAAAAGACCTTCCAATTCCCCAGGCTCAAGGAGGCTGGGCTCACCTCCATCCGGTGCTGGTAGGGCAGGGGGCATTGTCACTGTTGCCTGCTGAGCCAGACTCTCCACCTGCAATACCAAGCAGCCAAAGATGGCAGGTAGGGCCTCAGCCATGATCCCATTGATGCTAACTAAGGGGACCCTGAAATAGCCCTGGGCTACATGACCCCAGAAGACATTACAGAGCCCCTGCAAGGGAGATGGCCAAGTCACTGCATGTGTGTGTTTGCACGAAAGTGTGTGCACATCTCCCCCTCACCAGCTGATCCCGGGCTGCACTCAGGCCTGCCAAAGCCTGAGCCACAATGCTCTCTGCCAAGGTCCCCGTGATTGATAGCCGCATGTCCCTAAGGGCAGGAGAGGACAGGGGTTAATGGGCTGGCTTTGCTCAGCCTTGCCCAGCCCAGCCCCATCCAGCCTACCTGAGCCTAGTGAAGGCATCTTGCAGCAGCTGCTCTGGGAGCAGCTCCGGGAGGCCCCTCGAGCCTGCCAGGACCCCCTCTAGCTGCTCCCTCCAGCTGGATCCCTGCAGCATCTGTGGGCAGAGGCTCCTTGCTGTGTCCAGTGTGGCCTGAGTGAAGTCCTAGACAAAGGTCAGTCAGAGCATGGTGAGGATGTGGCCAGACACCAGGCTGCTGGCTTGAGGCTCCAACTCCAACAGAATATTGAGTCAGGGGATATCACAGTTAAAACTAAAGGATGGGAGTCAAACCTGCAAACGGAGGTGGGGTTGGGGCAGGAGTACCCTCTCACCTGGATGTCCTGGCGGCAGACCTCGCCCACCTGTCTCAGAAGGCCCTCCAGCTTCTGCCCAAGCTGCCAGTGATGGCTTGGGGAGCTTCCAGCTTCATATAGAATGGGGAGAATCTGAGGGCCAAAGAGGAAAAGCAGTTGCGAGCTGACACCTGACTAAGAGGGGAAGGGTCCTTGTAGCAGGAGGGGGAGTGCTCACGCTGAGAGAGAAGTTGGCATTTTGGATGGCATCCTCGGCCTGGCGCACAGCGGCTTCACCCTGGGGCCCAGCCCCACAGCCCAGCAGCTCCACATGCTCCTGCACCGACTGACACAATTCATTCACTTCCTGGGGCGAAATGGGGATCAGTCTCAGCCTAGCCCCCTCCCAGTCTCCCAGATCCTGCCTGCCTTCCTCCCAGGCTCTTTAACAGAGGGAGGTCCTGAAGCTGACACCCTTAGACCAGCCACTTTGGAACCCTATCTGTTCAAGGAGGGAAGGAACTATCTGTTGCTTTGGTTCATTTTAAGGACTTTATATACACTTCCTAAGTGCCCAGAATAGGAAGGAAAGGAGTTGTAAATCATGTCTGTGTTTTAGAAGCTCAGTCTGTCCACACAGAGGATAGACTGAGAGAGGGGTAGAAAAGGGAGTGAGTAGCCCTGGAGGAGGGACCAGGAGGAGCAAGGGATAATTGGTGTGGGGGTAAGGAGTGGCATGTATGAAGGTTGGTCTAGAGGCAGGACGAAGGAGGCCTATGAGGGCTCCAGTGTGACCAGGAGAGACCTGGAAGGGTGCCCCAACCTCTGTCCACAGCACTGGGTGGCTGTGGGCACCAGTGGGATTGGGCTCCAGGGTAGACAACAGGGTTTGTGAGCGACGATGACATCACTTGGAGAAGTGCAGAGCATGAAGCCCAGCAGGATGTCTGGATTAAGACCTTTGGGCTCTGAAGCTTAGGAAAGAAGAGGTATTTGGGAATGGAGAGGTAGAAACATCTCCAACAGATAAGGTAGTGGAGGGAGATGAAGACAGTGAAGGAGCAGCTGGGTTTGGGCACACAATGGAGAGGGGAGGGGAGTCACGTATATGTGAGGACAGAGATGGGGCTACAATTGGGGGAAAATTGAGGAAGGACATAAAAATTCCTCTCTAACAGGACAGCCTGTTTACAGGCTTAACGTTAGGCAGCCAAGGGTGTTATTTGGAGAGCTATTTAAGGGGTGTTTAGCCGCCTCCAGATCAAGGAGAGGGACTTTGTGTGGGACAGCAGGGCTCAGGCACCCTGGCCCCAGGAAAGTCAGACCCTCTGACTCATGGAGGCTCCCGGATGCCACAGGTCTCCTCATGCCCTACCTCTCGTGGTTGGGGAGGGGACATTGACCTGCTCTGAGGGGTCTGAGACCAGACCAAGTGGCTGAAGGCGGGTCGTGTGGTCAGAAGAGGCAGGGTCTGCGCGGTTGTTCCTCAAGAGACAGGCTTGGATCTAGGGGCAAGGGGTATTGAGAAATGCCGAGGGACGGAGTTACCGTGCAGAGAAGGGCAAGGGAAGAGGGGGACGCCCACCTGATGGACTGCACGTGCTGTCAGTTCCGGGCGGCTGCGCTGCGCCTGGGCCACGTCGTTCAGTGGCAGAGGCATGGCCTTCAGGCTGTGGTTCTGCTCCAGCGCCTGCGCCACGTCCAGCAGACCCAAAGCAGATGTGTGGTTCCGGTCCCAGACCACAGACCTGGGCCGGGCCTGGCTTCAGTCGGGGACGGAGCTTCCCAACGCCCCACCCAACCCTCGGCCTAGTCCATTCGCCTCGTCAGCCTGCTCCATTTGCTCCGCCTCATTCAGTCCCTCCCCTTAGCCCGGTGCCCTCCTCTCCACCGCGCCCCCTGCCCGCTGGTCCCACCCCTCTGACCCCGCCCACCGGAGCCTCGAGTTGACCCGCAGCGCCTTGGCCAGCAACTTGGCGCCCGCGTCCCCCATGGCGTTGCCGCTGATATCCAGCGCGGTCAGGTTAGGATTGGTGGCTAGGGCCCGGAGTAGGACGCTGGCACCCAGCTTCAGCCGAGACTCAGCCACCGACAGAGACTGAAGAGGCTGGGGTTAAGAGAAAGCCATTGATGGCTGGAGTCAGGGGTCAGTGAGGGCAGGTCACAGGGTCTGAGGGAACAAGAGAAAGGAGGACCAAAGTGGTCTAATTGCCCGAGGCCCTGCAAGGTCCCGTGAACTCACACAATCGTCGTCCTGCATGAGCTGGACAATCCGGTGCAGGACGTCGTCCAGGGTCTCCCTGTGGGCAGGGGCCGCAGTTGTGGGGGACAGGGGTGGTGGGGTGTTGTCTGGGAGGCCCAGGAGTAGGGTGGGGGCTCACTTGCACCGGACGTTGAAGTTCCTTCCAAGCGCCACATGTCTCAGGGACCGGCTTCTCCCGATGGCCAGCACCAGAGTCACCATGTCTGAGCCGAAGCCTGGGGGTGACTCGGGTCACGCACGAGGCGAAGTTGCAAGGGTAGGGTGGGGATTGGGAATCGAGTGGATGATGCGAGGATGGGCTCTCCTGCAGCCTCACCGTTATCCGCCAGATCCAGGGAGCTCACAGCGCCTGCGTCGCACACTAAGTCTTGTATCACCTGGGCGCCGGCCGAGCGCAGCTGTATGTGGGAGGTGGGAGGTGGGAAGTGGGACCCACTTAGGCCGCGAGTGGGGAGGGGCAGGCGGCCCACGGCCCTGCCCTTCCGCCTCCCAGCGCCTCTCCCAATGTGTGGTCTCTTCTGGGGGCCGGCGCTCACCTCGCAAGCGCTGAGGTCCAGGTGCAGGTCGCGGAGGTGCGTGTTGAGCGCGAGGCCATCCAAAAGGGCTCTGGGAGAGGACGTTACACGGGGTGGCGGGAGCTGGGACAGGGGGCTCCAGGGTGCGAACGAAGGAGGCAGGGCCAGGATCTGGGGGAGGTTGTGGGAGCGACAGAAGCAGGAGCGGGGAGGGGCGAAGGCCAGGGCAGGGTGGGAGCGCCCGCGGGGGCGTGGCCGGGGTCCGACACTGACCTGAGCGCGTCGGGCGGCAGCTTGCAGCCCGCCAGGCCCAGGTGCCGCAGCGTCCGCGCGCGGCTGAGGAAGAGCTGCAGCGCGGCCGGCGCGGCGCGGGACTTCCTGGGGGAAGTGGGAAGGTGGGCCTGGGGCCGCAAGGAGGCGGCTTCCAGCAGCCTCCCCCGGCCCCGACAGGTCCCCCTTACGTGCGGGAGAAGACGTTCCTCGAAGCGTCGAGGTGGGTAAGGCTGGTGCAGCAGCCTCGGGATACCGCTGCGAAGAGCTGCGGGGGGAGGCTGTTGGCTACACCCGCGGGGGGACCGAGCCCTCCCCGTCCCGCCCTCCAGTCCGCCCTGCCGGTCATCCATCCCCCCACGGAGCACCCCCTCACAGTGTCCAGGGCAGTGTCGGTGCCTGCGAGATTCAGGAACGACAGTACGTTAGGACGGCTCAGGAAGCTATAGAGGCCCTGGAGGGAGGACAGGGGTGCGATGGAGTGGGGGATCGCCTACCCAGGGCTTATGAGCAACCCCAAGCTCCCACCCTGAAGACAGCCACTCACCCCACTGTCCTCGGAGGCCCCCAGCGCCCCAGGATTCCCAGAAAGGTCCAGGTGGGTCAGGGTGGAGTCGAAGGCGGCATTGGTGGCCAGTGCCCGGCCCAGAGCCCTCATTCCTGGTGGTGGGTCGGGGTCACTCAGCAGTTGGACAGACCCCCACCCCCCTCCCCTCACCCCCTCCCTCATCCAGCCTACCTCGCGGTGTCAACCCTGTCTGGGCCAGGCTGAGTCTCCTCAGGGCTCCTGGACAACGCTCGAGGTGTCTGCTGAGTGCAGTCATGCCTTGGGGGGTGGGAACAGCCACGTGGGTCTCACCTCCTCCTGCTGCCCACCCCTGCGGTCCCCAGGCTCAGTCATACCTCGGTCATCCAGCAGGTTCCCCGCGAGGCTGAGCTCCCGCAGCCCAGAGCTTGAGTGTCCCGCCAGCGCCTGGGCCAGTCGTCGGACAAAGTCTCTGGGGACCAGACCCCAGGCATGAGATTCTGCCCCTGGTTTGCCAACCCCTCCCAGGCCACTAGCCCCCAGTCCCAAGCCTCCAGACTCTCCTCTCCAAGCCCTGCCCTGTCCCCCTCACCCCCTCAGGCTGCAGGTCTCCAGCACCAGCTCCTCCAGGTGTGATGACTGACTCATCATGTGCAGAATCTGTTCTGAGACCTCAAGGCTCTGAGAAGCAGAGGGCGGCGGCTCACGGGCTGCACCCTGGCCCTCAGCGGGCTGCACCCTGGCCCACACCCTTGGCCCCTCCCTGCCCTTACCCCGAACCCCCTCACCAGCTTCATGTCCACACAGGAGAGGCACCGGAACCACAGGTTGTAGGACAGGGCAGCCACACTCAAGGCCAGGTCCCTGGTGGGAGGGTGGGAACAGAGGCAGAGCTCAGGGCCCTCCAGCCAGGTCCCAGGCCCAGCAGCCCCTCCATGGAGAAACTGAGGCCCAGGGATATGGGCCCCGGGATCTTCCTCCTCTCCCATCCTGGCAGGCCACACACCGACTGCCGAGGTGGCTGAAGTCTCCCAGGCTGAAATGGCGGCAGCCCTGGCGATGGTAAATGGTGTCCACGTCCTGGGTGAGAAGGAGATGCTTACAGTTCGCCTGGGGCCACAAGGGGCAGGGAGGGGCTCAGCACACATGGGGGACCAGATGTCTCCAGAGCCCTTCAAAAGGGCCCTACCCTCACCCACTGAATCTCCTCTCGGAAAGGGAAGCCATTGTAGTCACACAGAGCCTCGTATGTCTCCAAGAAGCCACCTGGGGAGGGGATAGGGGTGCGATGTGGAAAAGGAGAGAGACAAAACATCAGCGATGGAGGAAGACCAGACCCACAGACTAGGTGGTGGCTGGGACCTGAATGGCTCTGTTCAGTTTGGGGCCCCCCCAGCTTGCGGGTCTGGGGAGGCAGAGGTGGGGCAGGCTGGAAGGCCTGTGGCTCTGCCTTCACCCTTACCACAGGGGCTGCAGGGGTCAGTGGACTCCGAGGGGCTGCTTCTCTCCAGCCGAGCCAGCATGGAGGCTGGTGTGGGCCTCCGGAATAGCTTCCTGGTAGGGGGTTAAGGAGAAGGGGGCAAAGGACTTCCAGCCTCTGGGATGGGAAGCAGCCCTTCTCATGCACTCCCTCCTCCCCTGCCAGCCCCTCGAATTTGCCAGGCCTCACCCAAGGGTCGAGCGAGGGAAGACCTTCTTGATGGCTGCAGCCACGTGCTGGGCCAGCTGTTCCAGGGCGGCCACACCAGGAAACTCCAGGACCAGCTCACGCAGGGACTCCAGCTCAAAGGTGACCTAGGGAAGGGGCACTACTAGGCCTCGGCTCCACACATGGGCGCAGGTGATGGTGGTAGCATGAAGACCAGGCTGCAGGCCCAGGTAGGGTACTAGGTGTCTCACCTGAGGGGGTGTCTCCTGCAGCGCCATGGCCTGGACCTCCAGGTAGCTGAACGTGCAGTCCACCTAGAAAGGGCCTAGATCAGCTGGGACCAAGCCCCCAGCCCCGCCCTCATGGAAGTCCAGTCCTTTGGGCAGCCTGGGGCAGAGCCAGATCTGCCTGGACTCCCCTCCTGTCGGCTGCCCAGAGCCCAGTGCTGGTGCAAAGTCAGGGCCCACAAGGCCAAGAAGGACCACTCTGCAGATGCAGCCCCCTGCCAAGGTAGCTGCTGGCGGGCGGGGGTGTGGCCAGGCCCTGGGACTCACCCTCAGCGGGAGGCAGGTGGTGTGCAGCAGGTAGGCTCTCCATCGTAGCAGTGCCTGGGGAAAGACAGTCTGATATCCTGGGCAGAGCAAGAGGCTCTTTCTGTGGGGCCACAGCCGCCTCCCCGGCTCTGTCCCCTGCCCCATACCAGGACATGGTTTTGCACAGCACCCTCCCCGGGTAGCCAGGTTTTCAGCAGCAGCTCCACCTCTTTGGGCCACAGGAACCTGGTGATCTCGCCTGTGGAAGGGCAGCCTGCTGGGTGACTTCAGTCCTTGCACAGAAGCCACTGGTGCCCACAGTCTGTGCCAGGCTGGGGCCCTGGGGCTTATCTGCGGCCAGCGAGGAAGGAGGGGAGAGGATCTGGGGCGCCTGCCCTCCTGGGGAGCAGGGAGGACCTCTGACCAGGCCCTCTGGGGCGCTGGGTGGGCCTCTGATTTTGGGGCTGCACTACTTCCTCCCGGCCAAGAAGGCAGGAAGGGCCAGCGCTTACCTCGGAGCTCACAGGAGATGCCGTCGGGGGTCTGGGCCATGGGCCGGGCGGGCCGGGGAGGCCCAACGAGCTCCGGCGGGAAACAGCAGAGGACGAGCGCGCACACAGGAAGCCTGGGGCCCAGACCCGCACGGCAGCCACCTGCTCCTCCGGCGGCGGAAGGTGCGCGCCGCTTCCTGCCAGGCCGCCCCCGGCCCGGCCCCTCCCCGCCCCGGCCTCGCGGCTCGAGAGCTTGCCCGGGAGCGGGGTTGTGGGAGGGGGGCCGAGTCCCACCTGCCCGCCCGCCCCGTCGCCCAGGAGCTTCTCCGCCAGGGTAGACGTCGGGGTGGGCAGTGGCGTGGCCGGGAGGGTCGCGGGTGTGGCGGGCCTCCAGCGGGTCCTTGCCCCCGGCTTCCACCCCGCCCCGCAGTCCCTGCCGCGAACACCAGGGGACGCTGCCTGCCTGGGGATCCCCGCGGCCCACCGGGGCTGGTCCCCTCCAAAGCCCAGGCTGCGGAGGTGGACGAGGCGCCTGGCAGAAGGGGGACTGTTCAGCAAGGAGCGCCCGAATTCTGCCAACACCGGAGGTCCTGCCCGTTGCTCCGAACCTGGAGTCCGTGACCCTGTTAGGGATCCAAGAGATTTTGAATGGGTGGGAAAAAATGTCAGATGGGGCCAGGCGCGGTGGCTCACGCCTGTAATCCCAGCACTTTGGAAGGCCGAGGAAGGAGGAACGCTTGAGCCAAAGAGTTCGAGACCAAGCTGGGCAACATAGGGAGACCCTGTCTCTGCAAAATAATTTACAAAATTAGACGGCGTGATGGCGTGTGTCTGTAATCCTAGCTACTTGGGAGGCTGAGGTGGGAGGATCACTTGAGCTTGGGAGGCAGAGTTTGCAGTGAGCGGAGATCGCACCACTGTACTCCAGCCTGGGTGACAAAGCCAGGTCCTGTCTAAAAAAAAAAAAAAAAAACAGCCTGATGGGTCCAGACGCCCTTCCTTGCCGCAGAGGTGGGGTCAGGGCCGAAGGTGAGGGTGTACCCGGAGCCTTCGGGGGGAAGCCTGGGGCTAAGGTGAGCCCTGAACCCCAAGCACTTCATAGAGGGCCGGAGTGAGTCGTCCAGGTACATGAGGGTCTTCTTGTGTCTGCCTTCTCCCCAGGCTGGAGAGAGTTTGGGAGGGGGCAGCCAGAGAGAGAGAAATAAGCCAGTGTCTCCAGGGCTGAGAGGGGTCAGACAGTCATAGGGTGGGGCCTGGTAGCCTGTTGCCCTCTCAAAGACCAGGACCTAGATTCTGGAAAGTTCACAGGAAGAGACTGCATTTTTTTTCTTCTATTACAATCTAAACTCCACTTAAGCGGTAAGGAACAGCAGTCTACCCTGCCCATAGCTCAGCAAGGTGGAGGTGAAATGACAGCTAAGGGTGACAAGGAGGAGTCAGCTGCAGAAGATGCAGCACAGAGAGTTCCTGCTGCCTCCCCGATTGAAGAGACATACTTGGTTTGTTTGTTGGTTTTGAGATAGAGTCTTGCTCTGTGGTCCAGGCTGGAGTGCAGTGGCACAATCTTGGCTCACTGCAGCCTCCGCCTCCCAGGTTCCAGCAATTCTCCTGCCTCAGTCTCCCGAGTAGCTGGGATTACAGGTGCCCACCACCATGCCTGGGCTAATTATTATTATTATTATTATCATTATTATTATTATTATTTTAGACAGAGCTTCGCTCTTGTTGCCCAGGCTGGAGTGCAGTAGGGCGATCTTGGTTCACTGCAGCCTCCGCCTCCCAGGTTCCAGCAATTCTCCTGCCTCAGTCTCCCGAGTAGCTGGGATTACAGGTGCCCACCACCATGCCTGGGCTAATTATTATTATTATTATTATCATTATTATTATTATTATTTTAGACAGAGCTTCGCTCTTGTTGCCCAGGCTGGAGTGCAGTAGGGCGATCTTGGTTCACTGCAACCTCTGCCTCCTGGGTTCAAGCAATTCTTCTGCCTCAGCCTCCCAAGTAGCTGGGATTACAGGCATGTGCCACCACACCCAGGGAATTTTTATGTTTTTAGTAGAGACGGGGTTTCACCATGTTTGTCAGGCTGGTCTCCAACTCCTGACCTCAGGTGATCTGCCCACCTCGGCCTCCCAAAGTGCTGGGATTACAGGCGTGAGACACCATGCCTGGCCACGAAGAGACATAATTTGGATTAAGATCTAAGGCTCTAAGACCACACAGAACCCTCAAACTGCTTGTAGGGTGACAATTCAGTAGGTCTCACACAGTACTGCCAAGGAACCAAGAATGCAGGTTCTGGCCAGGTGTAGTGGCTCATGCCTATAATCCCAGCATTTTGGGAGGCCGAGGTGGATCGCCTGAGCTCAGGAGTTCGAGACCAACCTGGCCAACATGGTGAAACCTTGTCTCTACTAAAATACAAAAAGTTAGCCAAGCGTGGTGGTGGGCACCTGTAGTCCCAGCTACTGGGGAGGCTGAGGCATGAGCATTGCTTGAGCCCAGGAGGCAGAGGTTGCAGTGAACCAAGATCTCACCACTGTACTCCAGCCTGGGCGACAGAGCAAGACTCCGTCTCAAAAAAAAAAAAAAGCAGGTTCTGCAGGCACACTGCCTAGATTTTGACACTGAACACATTGCTTAGCCTTTCTGGTCTTCCAGTTTTGTTTGTAAGCCGGAGCTATTAACTAACCTCAAGCCTTGCTCAAAGGATTCAATGTTTATTAAGGGAAGTGCCCGCAACAGTGCCTGGCACTCAGATAACACTCACATTTGCCAAGTCTACCATGACAACCCAGGGATTCCAAAACAGAATGGCAGAAAATCCACCTCACTGGGATTTTTCTGTTTAGAATGACAAGGAGGAGAGAGAAATGAGAGTGACTGCCAAAAGGGCTGGAGCCATGCCCAGGTGGAGGGCCTCTGGAGGCTGCAGCGATGCCAGTGGGGCCAGTCCCTGTGTGTGTGAGCACATGGGGGCAGGCAGGGACAACTAAGAGATCTGGACAGGCTTGCAGGGCTAGCCACGTGGCTGATGGTGGTCAGGGAGGTAGTAACACAGCAAACCTGATCTCAGAGACCAAGTGAACACATGGGACTCGGTTCTTACAAGTGACAGTGACTCAGTGAGAAGCTGTCAGCTTGTTCAAGCCCGTCTGTGTTCTGGATGGCATGCCACTCCATGGGCATTCAGGAAATGTCAAAGCTCCCGAGAGCATCAGCCTCGCCTGCTCTGGGTAGCACAGGCTGAGGGCGAGACTTGCCTCCCAGGTGGGCCGGGCTATGCCCCCTTGGTGCTGCCATAAGGCTCACCACAGATGATTTTCAAAGACCAGGTCCTGACAAGTCAGAGAAGGGTTCAGGTACTTGCTGAGCTGGGCAGCAATAGGGTGATGCCAGCCTAGGGGTGAAAGGGGCAAAGGTTCTTTACTTCTGTGGCTTAACACTGAGGGAGCTGCATGCAGGTTCAGGAACTTCCCTGTCAACAGAAGCAGTAACACAACTGGCTTCTGCTGCTGAATGTTTTATAATTAAGGGACAGACAGGATGCATCCTGGGCTATGCAGCAGGAGGATCCCTTTTCAGCCTTAACTCCATCAGGATGTCAATTCTCTTGCCCCCTCTCCAGCTAAAACAAATCCACTTTTAAACTTTTTTTTTTTGAGACGGAGTCTCGCTGTCACCCAGGCTGGAGTGCAGTGGCGCAATCTTGGCTCACTGCAACCTCCGCCTCCCGGGTTCAAGCAATTCTCCTGCCTCAGCCTCCCAAGTAGCTGGGAGGCTACTTTTAAACTTTTAAACTTTCTAACAGAGGGCCGGGCATGGTGGTGCACGCCTGTAATCCCAGCACTTTGGGTGGCCGAGGCGGGCGGATCATGAGGTCAGGAGATTGAGACCATCCTGGCCAACATGGTGAAACTCCGTCTCTATTAAAATACAATTAGCCAGGTGTGGTGGTGCGTGCCTGTATTCCCAGCTACTGGGGAGGCTGAGGCAGGAGAATTGCTTGAAACTGGGAGGCAGAGGTTGCAGTGAGCCGAGATCACGCCACTGCACTCCAGCCTGGCAACAGACCGAGACTCCATCTCAAAACAAACAAACAAGCAAACAAACAAACAAAAACCTTTCAAACAGAATGTATACAATCAGGAATGACAGGCTGTGTTGAATGAAGATACAGAAAAACTGAGCCTCATTGTTCTGCAAAGAGGTTATATATGCTTAGGTGGCTGGGAATGGTGGTTCATGCCTATAATCCAGCACTTTTGGAGGCTGAGGCAGGAAGATCACTTCAGTCCAGGAGTTTGAGACTAGCCTGGGCAACATAGCAAGATCCTATCTCTAAAAAAAAAAAAAAAAAAAAAAACCCTAAAAAAACAAAAAAAACAAAAATGAGCCAGGTGTGATGGCATGGCCCATAGTCCCAGCTATCCAGGAGGCTGAGGTAGGAGGATTGCTTGAGCCTAGTTCAAGGTCACAGTGAGCTGATTGTGCCACCACATCCCAGCCTAGGTGACAGAGTGAGACCCTGTCTCAAAAAAAACTTGGAATTAAAAAAAAGTTGGGGCCGGGTGTGGTGGCTCATGCCTGTAATCCTAGAACTTTGGGAGGCCGAGGCGGGCAGATCACCTGAGGTCAGGAGTTCCAGACCAGCCTGGTCAACATGGTGAAACCCCATCTCTACTAAAAATACAAAAATTAGCAAGGTGTGGTGGTGGGTGCCTGTAATCCCAGCTTCTCAGGAGGCTGAGGCAGGAGAATCCCTTGAACCCGAGGTGGAGGTTGAAGTGATCCAAGATTGTGCCACTGCACTCCAGCTTGGGTGACAGAGCGAGACTCCGTCTCAAAAAAAAAAAAGAAAAAAAGAAAAAAAGTTTTGGCTGGCTGGTAGGGGGTACCCTGGCGGGTAAACCCGTGGATGGGATAGAGAACTCAAGCTCCAACAGCCTGAGACCACTAACTTTCAGACCAACGAGTTAACTGCCTGGCTGAGTCCCGAGGCCCCAGGAGGCCCTGGGTCGTTTTCCTGGGAGACCCATCTGTGTGGACAGCACTAGCCAGCTAAAAGCTTCACACATTTTGCTCTGTTACTTCTAATTGACAACTCCTAAGTTGGAATTTAGGTTAAAAAACTCAAGTGGTTTAAGCTTTCACCTCAAGTGGGTTTGCCAAAGCAATCTGCCTAGGAATGGCAGCAGCAGCAAGATAATTTTCCACTCACGCCTAAGATTCCAAACACGACACAACTCCCTTTCCAACCACCTTCCTGAAGTGCTACCAGGCAGCTCTATTATCTAAGACGGTCTCTTCACTACTCGGTGGTTGTGCATCTGTCTCTCCTTTCAAATGAACTTCTCTAGGGCAGACTGGGCCCAGCTCCTCTCTGTTCCCTCACACCTGGCAGAGCTCCAGGTACATCTGATCCTAGGCCTCCTTGAGCTGAGAGCCTGAGTAGACCAGCTTCCCCTCAGCCCCTTTCACTCTAAGCAGCTCTACGCCCCATCTACTCTGTGCATGGGGCACTTACTCCTCAAGTGGATCATGGAAGCTGGCTGCTGTCCATCTACTCACCTGTCTACTTAGACACACATTTTGGGGAGTTAAGAAGTTACAGCAGGGGCCGGGTGTGGTGGCTCACGCCTGTAATCCCAGCACTTTGGGAGGCCTAGGCAGGCGGATTACAAGGTCAGGAGATCGAGACCATCCTGGCTAACACAGTGAAACCCAGTCTCTACTAAAAATACAAAAAATTGGCCAGGCATGGTGGCAGGCGCCTGTAGTCCCAGCTACTCGGGAGGTTGAGGCAGGAGAATGGCGTGAACCTGGGAGGTGGAGGTTGCAGTGAGCTGAGATTGCGCCACTGCACTCCAGCCTGGGCAACAGAGCGAGACTCCATCTCAAACAAAACAAAACAAAACAAAACAAAACAAAAAAACAGTTACAGCAGGATGCGCTCAATATCCAGTCACCCGCCAAGATCATATCGTCCCATCTGCTAGAGAAAGTACCATCCCAGGGAACAGAGGTTGCCTGTGAAAGGCAGCAGCCTGCACAGCCTGGAACCATGTATGCAGCCCCCCAGCCTCCCTCAAGCAGGCAGGAATCACGCAAGATGGAGTCTTTGGAGCACTTGTTAATCCGTTATGATTTATTAGCTGTACAGCAGTAGATCCTCCTCCCCAGCTTTCAACCCCATTACATATTTTATTACAGGTCTCATGTTGGCGTCCTAAAATAATGAAAAATATCACACAGTACAGCTAAGTACAAAATGCATCAACCTAGAGTCTGATAGCTAACTGATGGCTCTCTTAAAAGCAATACACAGAAGAAAAAAGTGTTTGAAATCAGTAAGACTGAGGCTCTCTAAAAAACACATTTTTAAACATGTGACAGTTCATGTGCAAGAATCACTTTTTAGTTGGTTTTGCTTCACATTATTTTATTTTTTGAAGATCCAAGGTTTAAATTACTGACCTAGTGAAATTTTCTGGCCCAGCTTATAAGGGCTGCTGTGAACCACTCATAATCACCCTTCTGCCTTAACAGAAGATTTATAAAACACAACAATCAGCTACAAACAGGGCAAAGAAAATGTCGATGGGAAATCATAACTGAAAGTTAATTATACAAGGTTCAAATGCTGGCTCCGTGGGCTGGAAATCATGATCTGCCACGTGCATGTCCGTCACTGGTGGGCAGTGGTCTGGGTGCCATTCTGCTACATGATTGTGATCCAATTCCTTGTCAACATTTACACACTACAGAGTCTGTGGTAACTTAATTTGCAAGTAATTAAAATGCTGGGTTTTCTTACACTGCACTTCTTTTCAACCTCTTAATTAATGGAAAAGATTAAAATGTAAAAAAAGTTATTTACAAGCTTGACCATACCAGAAACTTTGCCAAGAAAGAGGCAAAGCTTTCAGGACAGAACCTGATCGTAGCATGCCATACTACTGGTGTGCAGCTGACTCCAAGCAAAGGGAGTCAGGGAAAAGCAAAAGCAAAAAACAGTTTAAAACTCTAAGTCCTTCCCAAGTATGCATTTACAATTAAAAACTCTCTTGGGAAGAAGACCATAGAACTCTGGGAAGCCTGGTGGCCATTCTGGAGTGGTTTACCACATGGAGGGAGGGGTCAATGTCTCCGTTTCCATCTAGGAAAACGAGTTAGTTGTCAACACTGTCCTCAGCACTTCACAGTAAACCCTCAGGGACTCAGAACATTCCATGATTTGCTAACATCAGACAGCAAGTTCTAGTTAAATCACATTTTTTTCTAACATCATCCTTGAAGTTTTCGTTCTCGGTATGTTTGGTAAAATGATGCTTTTCCCAAAGCCAAAAAAAGAAAGAAGGGAGAAAAATTAAGATGCGGGCCGTTTAAACACAGCCCAGAGAAGTCCTGGCGACGCACAAGGCTCCGCCATCACCGGTCCATCATGCTGAGGATCATCTCGGGCGTGAGGTCTCCGTTGGGGGCATCTGTGGCAGCTGGCTGGGCCTCCTCTTCCTCTCCCTCTGCGGGCTCAGCATCTGGCTCTTTTTTTACTTCAACTATAATGTTCTCAATTGCACCTGTATTCTGGTCTTCAACCTGAATGATAGCTGTTGCTGGCAAAGAAGAGCACAGACAGAACAAATGGTCCATTAAAGCCCCAAGAATCACAAGGGTCTTTTAGACTGACAGCGAACGGGATGTCAGCAATGCAGGACAGCCTTATTAGATAGCGGTCCAGAGACAGTCAATTTATTTTTTATTTTATTTTTTGAGACGGAGTCTTGCTCTATGACCAGGCTGGAGTGCACGGGCATGATCTCAGCTCACTGCAACCTCTGCCCCCCGGGTTAAAGCAATTCTCCTGCCTCAGCCTCCTGAGTAGATGGGACTACAGGTGCCCACCCCTACGCCTGGCTAATTTTTGTATTTTTAGCAGAGATGGGGTTTCACCATGTTGACCAGGCTGGTATGGAACTACTGACCTCAGGTGATCCTCCCGCCTTGGCCCCCCAAAGTGCTGGGATCACAGGCATGAGCCACCGCCTGACCCTGAGTTTCTTAGAAGGGGCAATCTCAGTGCAGAAACTGCTTTCCCTCTCCAACCTTTACGATTTGGCTCTTTTATATTCATTACCGCATCCATTCTGCCAGCTGACTGTGACTTTGGTTGTTTTTCAAAACCCGCCCACATTAACAGTACCCATCTTGCAGAACACAAGTACCCTTCTACTCTGGACTTCTTCTTGAAATGTAACAGGCCTCTAAAGACTTCCTCAGATGTTCCTCAGTAAAAACTCCTAAAAAGCCATTTCCTGAGAGTTTGTTCTCGACATGCCCTTAACTTGTTCTCATGGCTTAGTTCCCACATCCCCAAAGAACAAGGACCCATCTGGCTCCCCCACATGCTCGGAGAAGACGCCAGCCTCCAGAGCAGAGATGAACAACTTACGCTGGTTCTGTTTGGGCTGGTTGGTTCTGCCAGGGGGTCGTCCTCTCCGCTTCTTGGCGGGTGGTGGGGCTGGGGTCACAGGCTGAGGCTCTGGCTCAGGTTCAATTTCTACGGCAGGCTCCTCCTCATCCTCATTGTCGTCCAGATCTGGTTCAGCATTTTCTTTTCATGAAATCAGGAAGCACAGGTGGTGGGGCAAGGAGAAGGGTGGTGGAAGATGAAAGAAAACAATTATATATTATTTGAAGTCTTGTTTTATAAATATATATATATATATATATACACTTTCTTTCTTTTTTTTTTTTTGAGACAGTCTCACTCTATTGCCCAGGCTGGAGTGCAGTGGCGCGATCTCGGCTCACTGCAATCTCTGCCTCCCAGATTCAAGCAATTCTCGTGGCTCAGCCTCCTGAGTGGCCGGGACTACAGGCACGCACCACCATGCCCAGGTAATTTTTTTTTCCTTCTTTTTTTTTTTTTGAGACAGAGTCTCACTCTGTCGCCCAGGCTGGAATGCAGCGGCACGATCTCAGCTCACTGCAACCTCTGCAACCTGGGTTTAATTCTCCTGTCTCAGCCTCCTGAGTAGCTGTGACTACAGGCATACGCCACCACACCTGGCTGATTTTTGTATTTTTAGTAGAGATGGGGTTTCACCATATTGGTCAGGCTGGTCTTGAATTCCTGACCTCAGGTGATCCACCTGCCTCGGCCTCCCAATGTGCTGGGATTACAGGCATGAGCCAACGTGCCCAGCCAATCCAGATAATCTTTGTATTTTTTGTAGAGATGGGGTTTCGCCATGTTGGCCAGGCTGGTCTCAAACTCCTGACCTCAGGCAATCTGCCTGCTTCGGCCTCCCAAAGTGCTGGGATTACAGGTGTGAGCCAGCATGCTCAGCCAATTATTAAGAAAAATCAATTTAAGGCTGGGCACGGTGGTTCACACTTGTAATCCCAGCACGTTGGGAGGCTGAGGTTGGAGGATCACTCATGTTCAGGAGTTCAAGACCAGCTTGGGTAACATAGTGAGACCTTATCTCTACAAGAAATAAGAAACTGGCAGCTGGGCGTGGTGGCTCACACCTGTAATCCCAGTACTTTGGGAGGCTGAGGTGGGTGTATCACCTGAGGTTGGGAGTTTGAGACCAGCCTGTCCAACATGGAGAAACCCTGACTCTACTAAAAATATAAAATTAGCTGGGCGTGGTGGCGCATACCTGTAATCCCAGCTACTCGGGAGGCTGAGGCAGAAGAATCACTTGAACCTGGGAGGCGGAGGTTGCGGTGAGCTGAGATCCGCCACTGCACTCCAGCCTGGGCCACAAGAGTGAAACTCTGTCTCCAGAGAAAAACAAACAAACAAACAAAAAACAAAAACGAAATTGACTCGGTGTGATGGCTCATGCCTGTAATCCCAGCACTTTGGGAGGGCAAGGTGGGCAGCTCACTTGAGGTCAAGAGTTCGAGACCAGCCTGGCAAATATGGTGAAACCCCGTCTCTACTTTAAAAAAAACAAAAAAACAAAAGGTGGCCAGGCATGGTGGCTCACACCTGTAATCCCAGCACTTTGGGAGGCTGAGGCGGGTGGATCACAAGGTCAGGAGATCGAGACCATCCTCGTCAACATGGTGAAACCCTGTCTCTACTAAAATACAAAAAATTAGCCGGGTGTGATGATGCATGCCTGTAGTCCCAGCTACTCGGGAGGCTGAGGCAGTGGAATCACTTGAACCCAGGAGGCAGAGGTTGCAGTGAGCCAAGATTGCGCCACTGCACTCCAGCCTGGCAACAGAGCAAGACTCCGTCTCAAAAAAACAAACAAACAAACAAAAACAAAAACAAAATTTACCCAGCGCAGTGACTCATGCCTGTAATCCCAGCACTTTGGGAGGTTGAGGCAGGTGGATCACCTGAGGTTAGGAGTTCGAGACAAGCCTGGCCAACATGGTAAAACCCCGTCTCTACTAAAAATACAAAAATTAGCTAGGTGTGGTGGCGGCACCTGTAATCCCAGCTACTCAGGAGGCTGAGGCAGAAGAATTGCTTGAACCCGAGAGGTGGAGGTTGCAGTGAGCTGAGATCACGCCATTGCACTCCAGCCTGGGCAACAGAGTGAGATTCCGTCTCAAGGAAAAAAAATAAGAAAAAAAAAAAAAGGAAGAAATTAGCAGGACACGGTGGTGTGTGTCTGTAGTCCCAGCTACTCAAGAGACGGAGGCAAGAGGCCTGCTTAAGCCAGGGAGGTAGAGGCTGCAGCGTGCTGTGATTTCACCACTGTATTCAGCCTGGGTGATACAGTGAGATCCTGTGTAAAAAAAAAAAAAAAAAAAAAGCCCATTTAGGCTGGGCATGGTGGCTCACGCCTGTAATCCCAGCACTTTAGGAGGCCGAGGTGGGTGGATCACCTGAAGTCAGGACTTTGAGACCAGCCAGGCCAACATGGTGAAACCCCATCTCTACTAAAAATACAAAAATTAGCCAGCTGTGATGGCGGGCACCTGTAATCCTAGCTACTTAGGAGGCTGAGGTATGAGAATCACTTGAACCTGGGAGGCGGAGGTTGCAGTGAGCTGAGATCACTCCACTACACTCCAGCCTGGGTGACAGAGTAAGACTTTGTCTGGGAAAAACAAACAAATAACAACAAAAATAAATAAAAACTAAAAACAAAACAAAAGCCCATTTAAAAATGCTTTTAGGGGAGCAGGGTGTGAGGTTCCAAAAAATAATAAATAAAAATGCTTTTGCTGGAATTTTTGCTATCAGGATTAATATAATAAACAGGTATTACAGCAGAATGAAGCAAATCGACTTGAATACTATTATTCACATTTTATGTGGGATTGGCTATTACTTTTTCCTTTTAGCTTTAGACCCTTTTTTGACTCAACACAATACCGAATTTCAAATTCTCATGATCCCCCTACCTACTATACCAGGATAAAGCAGGACACTAAGCCGGAAATGGACCCTTGGAGATGTGGTTCTGCTCATCTCTAAGTGGGCAGGAAGGGTAAGAGTGAGTGAGTGAGAGTGTGTGTGTGTGTGTGTGTGTGTGTGTGTGTGTCAGGGGACAAGACGGAAATTCTTTTTCTTTTTTTTTGAGGCGGGGTCTTGTTCTGTCACCCAGGCTGGAGTGCACTGGTGCGGTCATAGCTCACTGCAGCTTCTAACTCCTGACCTCCCAAAGTGTTAGGATTACAGGCTTCATCCATCACGCCTGGCCAGAAATTCTTACGCATTGTGAGGTCCTATTTACTAAGGTAAGTAGCAAGAGTTCTTTTGAAACTATTATTGATTCTCTTTTAAGGTCAAGTTTTTGGACTTAATTCCCAGCTGTACTAGACCCAATGTGTCATTTCCAACCCTCTTGCTCTCCTCCCTAATGCCACAATTGTCCATTCGTGGTAAAATAAGTGGTACATGAAAGTGAGGAAACTATTGTATAAAGAATACTGACGAGGAGCCAGGCAACAAGGCTGAGTCTCAGATCTCTTACTAGGTACGTGACCTGGGACATCTGACCAGCTGAGACTCAGTTTCCCTGAGTAATTTCTGTAACATTCTCACTCCATTTAATAGTGACACCTGGGGATCAACAGGACTCACGGAACTCATTTAATCCTGCTCCGTAACCTATAGTCTACCACAAACACAGCTTTTACTTATAGCAAACATCACAATTTAAAAATTCACCATTTTCCACTTAGGCTTCAGTACTTCATTGAATGAGGGTGTTACCCTCATTTTATAGAAAAAGTGAGAAACTAAGTGACTGCAATGCACAGCTAAGTCACAGCAGGTAGAATTCAAACCTCTGCCCTCAGTCTGGGGCTGTTCTGGCGCCCACATCTGCAGGCAGCCAAAGAGCTTTTGTTATCCCTCCCCCATGGCTGCGGCACAAAATGTACACTGCCTGCCTTCCTCTAGAAAGCACGGGTTATTAACATGCACTCTCTTTCTCTGGAACAAAATGTTTAAATTTAGAGATCTGTGGGTAAACTCCTGATCTTCCAGATAAAATGCCTTATTTCTCAAGTGACTGAAATCCTAAGTGAAAACGTGGGGAATATATAGATAGGTGGCAGTGTGTCAAGAACGAGAGATGCTTCCCTGCTGAACTTCTTCAAGCCCTCTATTGCCTAAGTTGGCCCAATGCCTAGAAAACTAAACAAGTTCAGTCAGAATTGGGGGAAAAGCACACAAAAGCAGGCTAACAGGATCAAAGGCTTATTGGCTTGGTGGTATTTCAGCAAAAAGCCTTGAAAACAGCAGTAGACCATCTGCTGGTCAATCTCTGTAGACAGCCGACAGGCAGAACTTCTGGGTCAGGACAAGTAAGACTGCATGGCCAACAGTGGCATGGAGCCCAGGCTGACGTCCCTTTTCTGGGGGAGATAAAGAGTCACTAGGTATAAGGCCTGGAACCAAATTCCATGCTCTACTAACCAGCAGCAGACAGAACACAGAACTGTAGAAATCTATCAGAAGCTATCAATAATCTCTTTTGACTAAAGATGCTTCTGGTTACATACAATTAGGGAAAGAAGCTGGTCTTCCTGGAGATGAACCACAGAAGTGAACAAGGCAGTATCAGGAGAAAGCAGGACATAGGACAGAGTCTGGCAGCAGGCGGCTTTGCAACTAAGAACAACTATAGGGATCCCCAAGGTTAAGATTATCTGATCACTGGTAATATCTGGGAGTCTCCTAACATTTCTGAAAACCCCCAACAGTTCAGTGCAATAATTTTTTTCCCTTTTTTTTTTTTTTTGGAGACAGGGTCTCGCTCTGTTACCCAGGCTGGAGTGCAGTGACACTATCTCAGTTCACTGCAGCTCAACCTACTGGGCTCAAGCCATCCTCCCACCTCAGCCTCCCAGGTAGCTGGGACCGCAGGCGCAGGCCACAACCCCCTGCTGATTTTTGTATTTTTTTGTAGATAACAGGGTTTTGCCATGTTCCCCAGGCTGGTCTTGAACTCCTGAGCTAAGGTGATCTGCCTGCCTTGGCCTACCGAAGTGCTGGGATTACAGGCGTGAGCCACCATGACCAGCTGCAAATTGACATCTTAAAGGAGGCATACACTTAACACCCAGTGACTGAAGAAGATGCTACTTAAAACGGATACTCCATTTAAAAAAAGGAAAAAAAAAAGGGGGGGGGGGTGGGGGGGACCTTGTTACAGATCCAAACATAAACAGCTTAGTGCTTTCATGAGAAAGTTTTACAATAAAACCCATAAAGTAGCTGGGTGCAGTGGCTCATGCCTATAATCCCAGCACATTGGGAGGTCGAGGCAGGAGGATCACTTGAGCCCAGGAGTTACGAGACCAGCCTGAGCCACACAGTGGGACCCCATCTCTATTTAAAAACAAAAAAACAGCCGGGCACAGTGGCTCACATCTGTAATCCCAGCACTTTGGGAGGCCGAGGCGGATGGATCACCTGAGGTCAGGGGTTCTGGACCAGCCTGGCCAACATGGTGAAACCCTATCTCTACTAAAAATACAAAAACTAATAGGGTGTGGTGGGGCATGCCTGTAATCCCAGCTACCTGGGAAGCTGAGCAGGAAAATCGCTTGAACCCAGAAGGTGGAGGTTGCAGTGAGCAGAGATCGCACTACTGCACTCCAGCCTGGGCAACAAGAGGGAGACACTGTCTCAAAAAAAAAACAAAAAACAAAAAAAAAACAAACAAAGAACAAAAAAAGCCCAATAAAGTCACTAAAGTTCTCCAATATGTTCCTTCTTCAAAAATCTCAACCCCTCCCCACTATTTCTACTGACAACCAGTGCAAAACACAATATGAAGAATCCCTAGACTATCAGGCATCATCTATAATCTCTCCAGTTTAATGGTGCTTCTGGGAAGTCCATTTCCTAAAACCAAACTCTCTACCACCTTTTCCATCCATACCTTAAGTCTTTAGTTACAGAGGTGCCTTCCCACCTGGATGCCAGCAACCTAGATATCCACACTACAGAATCTAACACTCTGAACATGTTTGTGTAATTAAATGTGGCCTCCAAGTTACCAAGACTCTTGTTCCTCCACCCTCTTTGTGAGGCTTGGCACTTTTTGTTTTTTTTGGAGACAAGGTCTCACTTCGACCACCAGACTGGAAGGCAGTGGCGTGATCACAGCTCACTGCAGCCTCAATTTCCCGGGCTCAGGTGATTCTCCCACCTCAGCCTCTCGAGTAGCTGGGACTATCGGCATGTACCACCACACCTGGCTAATTTTTAAATTTTTTGTAGAGACAAGGTTTTGCCATGTTCCCCAGGCTGGTCTCGAACTCCTGACCTCAAGTGATCTGCCCATCTTTGTCTCCCAAAGTGCTGGGATTACAGGCATGAGCCACTGTGCCCGACCGAGGCTTGGCACTTCTAAGCACAACCTCCTGCCTGGGTTTCATGACTAGAGAGGCAAAAAACACTCCAAAGAGTACCTGTGGTAGGAAAATAGGCAAGATTTTAAACTTTAAATGGAGAGATTAAGGTAGGAAGAGAAAGGCTGACCTTCACTGACTTGATCAGCACCTCTCAAGGTTAGGCTGACACAGGCAGTCAAACCATAAGTGAAGATGCTTAAACAACCTTCTTCATGTCCATTAGATTCACTGCTCTTATCTAGACCAGCTTCCTAAATGTAAAAGTTAAGAACATAGGAAAAGAAACTCTGCTGGCCTTAGAATATCACAAATTTGAATAAACTGAATAAAAATATTAATTTTGCTTTAACTCAAGATTACGTATAAGGCATTAATAATGGCCGGGCGCAGTGGCTCACACCTGTAATCCCAGCACTTTGGGAGGCTGAGGAGGGCGGATCATGAGGTGAGGAGATCGAGACCATTCTGGCTAACACGGTGAAACCCCGTCTCTACTAAAAAATACAAAAAAATTAGCCAGGCCTGGTGGTGGGCGCCTGTAGTCACAGCTACTCGGGAGGCTGAGGCAGGAGAATGGCGTGAACCCGGGAGGCTGAGCTTGCAGTGAGCCGAGATCGCGCCAGTGCACTCCAGCCTGGGCGACAGAGCGAGACTCCGTCTCAAAAAAAAAAAAAAAAAAAAAAAAAAAAAAAAAAAAAAAAAAAAAAGGGCATTAATGAGCGGAATGCCACGAAGAAAAAAGAAAATATGCCCCAGAAAAACACTAACTGCTGTTGTAAATAGACGTTAGGAGATGAGAAGTTTAAAGAAAGGAAGAGTGTGTGCCCGCCTCTATATCCCAGCATATCCATACATAAACACACTGGAAACTGGGCTCCAAAGCCTGCCATAGTAAGCAAATCAAGGAACAAGTCACTTACCACTGTCAGAGGAATCTTCTTTCTTAGAGCGCATCTTTCTTTTTCTTCCACGTTTACTCTTCTTCGTTTCTCCTCCATTTTCCCCCTCTACGCCATCTGGGCCAGCACAATTATCAGCATGTCTTGCCATGGTATTCTAACAAAAAGAACAAAATCCTCTTTCACACCACTAAAAAAGCTAAGATCAGATTGGAAGTTATTTACTTTAATAAAATCCATATTAAGCCTAAAAATTCTAGTATCTGCTAAGTGTGTCCTGAACACGCTGTCTCTGCTCAGGGGAAATGGATAAGGCTGGGTTCTCTAAGGGGAGGCTCAGCAGCCTGCAGACAGAGACGGGGGAGGATCAGACCAGCTCTTAGTTCTGTCAAGATCTAACAGAGCCCCCAAGAGAAGACCCAGAACAGGCTACAGCTAGCTAAGGGTGGGGTAGGGTGGGGTGCAGGTTTCAATCCACCTAAGGAAATTTTTTTTTTTTTTTTGAGACGGAGTCTTGCTCTTTCGCCCAGGCTGGAGTGCAGTGGTGCCATCTCGGATCACTGCAAGCTCTGCCTCCCGGGTACACGCCATCCTCCTGCCTCAGCCTCCTGGGAGTACAGGGGCCCGCCACCGCACCCAGCTAATTTTTTGTATTTTTAGTAGAGACGGTGTTTCACCATGTTAGCCAGGATGGTCTCGATCTCCTGACCTCGTGATCCACCCACCTTGGCCTCCCAAAGTGCTGGGATTACAGGCGCGAGCCACCGCGCCTGGCCAGGAAATTTCTTTATGCAATCAATCTATTCAAAGATACTGTGTTCCCCATCAGTGGAAGGGTTCACACATGGATAGAAACATCAAGATGGGGATGACTAACCCTTTCCAAACAATGGAGCATCTCTGTTTATAACCTCAGTGAAAAAAACTACCATGCTCTGCAGAGGAAGACCAAAAATCCAATATTCAGTATCATAACAGGCAAAGTGAAGTTCTGACCCTTACCCGACGTGTAAATGTTTTCCCACACTTAGAACAGACAAAAGCCGCAGGGACGAAGTTGGGGTCGTGATAGCGCTTGAAGTGCATGTCGAGAAGCTGCTTCTGGCGGAAGGTCTTATCGCAGTGGCTGCAGGCGTAAGGCTTCTCCCCGGTGTGGGTGCGCTTGTGCATGATCATGTGCCTCTCCTGAAACGGCATAGGGGGAAAGGCCTCAGAGCCTGCTCATGGGGCTACTGCCCCAGCTGCCACCTGCATGCATGTGGCCAACAGGTATTTCTCACCCAAGCTAGGTCTAGACTCCACACGGCTTGTTGAGATGATAAAGCTATATATTTAGAGACAGGGTCTTGCTCTGTTGCAAAGTCTGGAGAGCAGTGGTGTGATCATGGCTTACTGCAGCTTCAAAATGGGACCATAGGTATGAGCCACCATGCCTGGCTAATTTTTTTTGTTTTTTTTTTGAGACGGAGTCTCGCTCTATCGCCCAGGATGGAGTGCAGTGGCGCGATCTTGGCTCGCTGCAACCTCCACCTCCCGGATTCAAGCAATTCTCCTGCCTCAGCCTCTTGAGTAGCTGCGATTACAGGTGCCTGCCACCACACCCAGCTGACTTTTTTTTTTTTTTTTTTTTTTGAGATGGAGTCTCACTCTGTCGCCCAGGCTGGAGTGCAGTGGCGCAATCTCGGCTCACTGGGTTCATGCCATTCACCTGCCTCAGCCTCCGGAGTAGCTGGGACTACAGGCACCCACCACCACGCCCAGCTGATTTTTTGTACAGACGGGGTTTCACTGTGTTAGCTAGGATGGTCTTGATCTCCTGACCTTGTGATCCACCTGCCTCGGCCTCCCAAAGTGCTGGGATTACAGGCGTGAGCCACCGCGCCCGGCCGACCTTCGTGTTTTTTTGTTTTTTTTTTTTAGTAGAGATGGGATTTCACCAGGTTGGCCAGGCTGGTCTTGAACTCCCAACCTCAAATGATCTGCCTGCCTTGGCTTCCCAAAGTGCTGGGATTACAGGTGTGAGTCACCGTGCCTGGCCCCAGCTAATTTTTTCTTTTTCTTTTGGAGACAGAGTCTCGCTCTGCCACCCAGGCTGGAGCGCAGTGGCGCAATCGCGGCTCAATGCAACCTCCGCCCCAGGTTCAAGCGATTCTCCTGCCTCAGCTTCCAGAGTAGCTGGGATTACAGGCGTCTATCACCATGCCCGGCTAATTTTTGTATTTTTAGTAGAGGCGGGGTTTCACCGTGTTGGCCAGGCTGCTCTCAAGCTCCTGACCTCAAGTGATCCGCCCACCTCAGCCTCCCAAAGTGCTGGGATTACAGGCGCTCGAGCCACCGCGCCCGGCCCTAATTTTTTCTTTTTGTAGAGATGGGGTCTCTCTCTGTTGCCTATCTCGGCCTCCCAAAGTGCTAGGATTACAGGTGTGAGCCACTGCACCCGGCTTGATAAAGGTATTTTTAGTGTGGTGCACAACTGCTTCCATAATTGTAGCACAGATAGAGCTGCTTATTCCTGCTGAGCTCCTTCTTTGGCTCCCTCCCAACAGTCATGTCCCCGCATGAGATTCTTCCCCTCTCTCAAGTCCTGGACTTACTTTCCACAGTTTTCAGAAAGATGTCTGCTTAAGGAAGAGGTAAGCTGTGACTGAATAAAACATCATCTGGACACCGGGATGACACAATTGACAAGGAGCATGACCTTTGATTTTGGTGACATTCCTCATAATCCACAGTTTGAAAATACTATCTTTAAAAACAGCCACTGTACTAGATATGTAAATGCCCTCTGATAACACCAGACACCGAGAAAGCACCAACAACTTTCAATGAAGGTTCCTACCTGTCTACAAGCGTAATCACACTGGTCACACTTAAAGCGCTTCTCATTCTTGTGTGACTTCTGATGCTGGATGAGGGCATAGCGCTCATGAAACACAGCATCACAGTAACGGCATTTCTTGCCTTGCTCAATATAGGAATGCTGCTTTCGCAAGTGGACACCTGAAAGCACAGTAAAAAGCCCAGGGTAATGTGAAAACACAAACAAGCATTTTAACAAGTTACTAATACATTTCTCGATTCTTTTTTTTTTTTTTTTTTTTTGAGACGGAGTCTTGCTCTGTCACCCAGGCTGGAGTGCAGTGGCGCAATCTCAGCTCACTGCAAGCTCCACTTCCCAGGTTCATGCCATTCTCCCGCCTCAGCCTCCTGAGTAGCTGGGACTACAGGCGCCCGCCACCATGCCCGGCTAATTTTTTTATTTTTTATTTTTGTATTTTTAGTAGAGACAGGGTTTCATCATGTTAGCCAGGATGGTCTCAATCTCCTGACCTCGTGATCTGCCCGCCTCGGCCTCCCAAAATGCTGGAATTATAGGTGTGAGCCACTGCGCCCAGCCCATTTCTCCTGATTCTTAAGTATTACTCTGGGTGCTATACAGAAAATGAATGAAAAGGCAGAGTAACAGGTGCAGGGAGAACAATTAAGATTGTTCAAACAGGATAGGTGGGAGAAGATGGTGGCTGGGACAAGGGTGATGACAATGGGTGTGGATGGAAGGGGAAGAACTGATGAGAGATGGAAGCAGTTGAATCAACAGGATTTAGTGACTGTAGAGAGTGAAGAATAAAGTAGGTATCAGGCCTGGAAAACCAGGTAGCTGTTGGGGTCATTTATTGAGACAAGAATAGTGGAAGAGGGCTTAAGACCAAGTTGTATGTGTTATTTTCAGGGTCGGGGGGTGGGGGGGCATAGGGGACAGAGAAGTTTTAGACCTTCAGTTTTAGACATGCTGAATTTGAAATGCCAGAGATATAAAAGCAGGGGTGGGATGGCAAGGGATACACAGTTATATAAGGCTAACTCAAAAGAAAGATCTGGAGTAGGAATATAAATGTACAAGTTGTTAGGATTTGAAAGCAGCTATGCTTATCACTGTACCACCAATGCCACAAAGAGTTGTTAGAATTTGAGCCCATGGGAGCTGATAAGATCACCAAGGCAAAAAGTAGAATTAAAATAAAAAGAATGGGTCATGCTTTGAGAAGTCTAAGAGTTGGCAGGCACAGTGGCTCACGCCTGTAATCCTAGCACTTTGGGAGGCCATGGCAGGTGGATCACCTGAGGTGACGAGTTCAAGACCAGCCTGGCCAACATGGCAAAACTCTGTCTCTACTAAAAAGTACAAAAATTAGCTGGGCGTGGTGGTGTATGCCTGTAAACCTGTAATCCCAGCTACTCGGGAGGCTGAGGCAAGAAAATGGCTTGAACCTGGGGGGCAGAGGTTGCAGTGAGCCAAGATTGTGCTACTGCACTGTACTCTAGCCTGGGCGACAAAGACTCCATCTCAAAAAGAATCCCAGCACTTTAGGAGGCAAAGGTGGGTGGATCACCTGAGGTCAGGAGTTTGAGACCTGGCCTGGCCAACATATAGTGAAACCCGTCTCTACTGAAAAATACAAAAATTAGCTAGGCATGGTGGCGTACACCTGTGGTCCCAGCTACTCGGGAAAATGAGGAAGGAGAATCATTTAAACCAGGGAAGTGGTGGTTGCAGTGAGCCGAGATCGCGCCACTCTACTCCAGCCTGGGTGACAGAGTGAAACTCCGTCTCTCACACAAAGCACACAAGCACACATACACACAAAGAAGTCTCAGAGTTGGGCCAGGTGTGGTGGCTCACACCTGTAATCCTAGCATATTGGGAGGCTGAGGTGGGTGGATTGCTTGAGTCCAGGAGTACGAGACCAGCCTGGGCAACATAGTGAAACCCTGTCTCTACCAAAAGCTAAAAAAAAAAATTAGCTGGTCATCGTGGCATGTGCCTGTGGTCCTAGCTACCAGGGAGGCTGAGGTGGGAGGATTCCTTGAGCCTGGTCGATGCTGCAGTGAGCCAAGACTGAGCCACCGAACTCCAGCCTGGGCAACAGAGCAAGACAGTCTCCAGTAAAAAACAAAAACAAAAACAAAAACCTTGGAGTTAAGGCCAGTGAGAGAAAAAAAGGTTAAAATAAGAGAAAGTTTAAAGAAGTAAGAGGAAGAAGAAAACCAACAGGATTTAGTGTCACAGAGGCCAAGGGAAGAAAGTGTTTCAAAGGAAGAGGGTACTGTCAACGATGAAGAACACTGCTAACAGATCAAGTCATCTCTTAGGAAGAAGAGTGGAAAGGAGTCTTCACTACATTCAGAGAGTGGGGTCATTCATGACCTTAAGCAACAGTCATTATACCAGAGTGATGGGGAATAAGCCAGACAAGAGGGAAAGATGAGGGGGAGAAGACTGTGAGGGATGTTAACTCTTCATAAAGGCTGGCTGGGAAGGAGAGAAGAGTTAAACCTAGAGGGTGAAGACATACATATATATAAAAATACATATATATATGAATACATATATATATACACACATATATACACACACACACATATATATACACACACATACACACACACACACACACACACACACACACACACACACACACACATATATAATTTTTTTTTTTTTTTTTGAGACAGTGTCTCACTCTCTTGCCCAGGCTGGAGTGCCGTGGCGCGATCTCCGCTCACTGCAACCTCCCCCTCCCGGATTGAAGCAATTCTCCTGCCTCAGCCTCCCAAGTACCTGGGACTACAGGCATGTGCCACCACACCCGGCTAATTTTTGTATTTTTAGTAGAGATGGGGTTTCACTGTGTTAGCCAGGATGGTCTTCATCTCCTGACCTTGTGATCCGCCCATCTCAGCCTCCCAAAGTGCTGGGATTAGAGGCGTGAGCCACCGTGCCCGGCTATATTTTTATTTATTTTAAGAGACGGGGTCTTGCTATATCACACAGGTTGGTCTAGAACTCCTGGCCCATCCTCCTGAATAGCTGAAACTACAGGTGTGAGCCACTGTGTCTGGCTAAGATTCTTTTTTTTTTTTGAGATGGGGTCTCTCTGTCACCCAAGCTGGAGTGCAGTGGCACGATCTCGGCTCGTTGCAACCTCTACCTCTTAAGCTCAAGTGATCCTCCCACCACAGCCTCCTGAGTAGCTGGAACCAAGGGTGCACCTCACCACAACCGTTTTGTATTTTTGGTAGAGATGGAGTTTTGCCATGTTGCCCAGGCTGCTCCGGAACTCCTAAGCTCAAATGATCCACCCACCTTGGCCTCCCAAAGTGCTGGGATTACAGGCGTGAGCCACTGCGCCTGGCCCTTTGTCTTTATTTTTTAAGTAGGAAGAGAAGTCATTTACTGAGACCAAGAGGGGAGAGAAAAAAGAAGGAAAATTAGAGGTTATAAGAAAATAGGAGTAGGGGATCTGGTGTAGCAGCTCTCGCCTGTAATCCCAACACTTTGGGAGGCCAATGAGGGCAGATCACTTGAGGTCAGGAGTTCGAGAGCAGCCTGGCCAACATGGTGAAACCCTGTCTCTACTAAAAATACAAAAATTAGCCATGGGCGGGCACCTGTAGTCCCAGCCACTTGGGAGGCTGAGGCAGGAGAAGAGCTTGAACCCAGGAGGCGGAGGTTGCAGTGAACAGAGATCAGGCCACTGCACTCTGGCCTGGGTGACAAGTGCAAAACTTTGTCACAAAAAAAAGCAAGTGAGGGCTGGGCGCGGTGGCTCATGTCTGTAATCCCAGCACTTTGGGAGGCCGAGGTAGGCAGATCACCTGAGGTCAGGAGTTCAAGACCAGCCTGGCCAACATGGTGAAACCCCATCTCTACTAAAAAATACAAAAAAAAAAAAAAAAAAAAATTTAGCCGGGCATGGTGGTATGCGCCTATAATCTCAGCTACTCAGGAGGCTGAGGCAGGAGAATCACTTGAACCTGGGAGGCACAGGTGGCAGTGAGCTGAGTTCATGCCATCATACTCCAGCCTGGGTGACGAGAGGAAAACTCCATCTCAAAAAAAAAAAAAAAAAAAGTAAGAGTAGGTTGCCCAACTCTATATAAGCACCAAACACTGTGGAATGAATTCGCTCACTCATAAAGAACTGGAGCACACCTGACAAGAACAAACAGCTGGAACAGCTAGGAGCAGTGAGGGCCCAGCTACATTTGGGATCATGAATTTATGTATTTACGGTACTACAAGTTGTATCAACTGAGGTGATATCCCACTAAACTTAAAGAGAGCTAATTATTGGGAGTAGATATGAGGTAAGGGAGAGGATGGCTCTCACTTTTTACTCGTTACCTTTTTTTTTTTTGAGACAGAGTCGCGCTCTGTCACCCAGGCTGGAGTGCGGTGGCGTGATCTCTGCTCACTGCAAGCTCCACCTCCCAGGTTCACGCCATTCTCCTGCCTCAGCCTCCCGAGTAGCTGGGACTACAGGCGCCCACCACCATGCCCAGTTAATTTTTTGTATTTTTAGTAGAGACAGGGTTTCACCATGTTAGCCAGAATGGTCTCGATCGCCTGACCTCGTGATCCACCCGCGTTGGCCTCCCAAAGTGCTGGGATTACAGGTGTGAGCTGCCGCGCCCGGCCTACACTAAATATTATTAATAAACTCCGGCTGCATGTAAACTCTAGTTTAACTATGCACAGAAATACAGTTACCACTAAACCAATAAAACAGTCCCATTACCTAGAGAAAGTACAGACGTTCTCAAAAAAATACAATAGAATGACCTGAGTTTGAATCACACTATGTTACTTTCCTATTTGGGGAAGGAAGGCTACTAATTAAAGGTGTACTCTGTCTCCTCCCATCACAGCTCCCATTAATTTATAGATGAGTTTTACTCAGGACAGAATCTTGTGGCCTGACTACAGTAAGAAAAGGAAGAAATAGAAAAAAAAAAAAAAAAAAAGCAGCTAAGCAATGGCTTTTACTAAACTAAGTGACAGGCCATTCCTATACATAAAATGTTATGAGAGTCAGAAGGTGAAGTTATTTTTGATCCCCATATTTCGAAATATAAATCCTTCAAAATATTTTTTTCACTTCTCACTAGTTAATCTACTTACCCAAATCACTTTTTCGGGCTATGACTGTGTCACAGTGGGGACAGTGAAATTTGGCCACATTTTCTGTGTGCTTCTGTAAAATGTGCATCTTCATGGTACCACTTTGGGTAAACCGAGCATGACAAATATAACATTCATAAGGCTTTTCCCCTTTAAAGAAAATACAGAATGAACACATAAATGAAATGAATAAATACTGTAATTTAACTGGAGGGTAACTCAGGTGGCAGATATGCTACACCACAGAGAATCTACAGGTCTTAGGAAGGCTGAGGCTCAGTCCCAGTTCCCGGATCTTGTCTATCTTCAGATATGGCCAAGTCCTAAACTGCTGCTGGCCACCTCTGCTCTGCCCAGCTCTACTCTGGAATCCTCCACATTACAGCAATGCTTACCTTTGGGGGAGACTGAATGGAGAACCCACAAGTTTTTCTTTTTAGGAAAAGACAATATCCAGGAAAACTGAATAAGGTAGGTTAGGAAATCTACCCAGACTTTTAAAATTAAAATCTGTCCATTTTAACTTAATTTCTCCCTTAAAATTTTTCTTGTTGTAGGCAGATTCAAGTTGAACAAAACAAAAGGTACTATTTTCTAATGTGTTTTCTGAACAACGAATTCAGAGGATATGCCGGAGAAGCATTATCAATTCCATACTATTTTCATGCCAGTCTTCATTCATATAAACAATGGGGACACACAGTGGTCCACAGGGTCCCATGGGATTCACTGAAAAGAAGCTCATTAATACAGTAAGGAGTGGAGAAGTCCTACCTGAATGGGTTCTCATGTGCCTTTTCAGCTTGTATGTGTCCCTGCTGGCATAACTGCACAAACTGCACTGAAACGGACGCTCTCCAGTATGAGAGCGAATGTGACGTTTTAATTTGCTGACCTGAAATACGAAAACAACCGAACTTTAACTTCTGTTAACACAGACTGTAACAAGAGCACAGTAGGTTAGGCACAAAAGCTTAGCTTTGGGGCACTGAAGTTCAGAATACAGAAGTCTAAAAGATAACCTTCTTCCCTCTTCATTATTTGTAAACTTTGCTTCTCGAATCCATATCATTATCTAAGAGAAGTGGGTAAATGAATACGGGTATAGATAAGCCAAGATTGGTCATTACTTGGGAGGCTGAGGTGGGCAGATCATCTGAGGTCAGGAGTTCAAGACCAGCCTGGCCAAATGGTGAGACCCCGTATCTACTAACAATACAAAAATTAGCCAAGCATGGTGGCACACGCCTGTAATCCCAGCTACTCGGAAGGCTGAGGCTGGAGAATCTCTTGAACCCAGGAGGTGGAGGCTGCAGTGACCCGAGATCGTGCCACTGCACTCCAACCTGGACAAGGGCGAAACTCTGTCTCAAAAAAAAAGACTGCGCATTACTAGTAACTGTTTAAGCTGGGTGGTAGGCACATGAGGATGTATTACAATCTTTACTTCTACATGTTTGAAATTTTCCATAATAGTTTAAAAATAATCCATGCCTATTTACAGATCAATTTGTTCCAAATCCTGTGTTACTGAGTACATATTTTAATTCCACTCATCCTCTTTTCCTATCATTAGCGTTTCCTAGACAGGCCAGGCTCGAAGGGCCTCTCTTCTATCATCCTCACCATTATCCATCCTTTAGTCCCCTGCAGGATACCTTATACTAAAACAGTGACTTTCAAACTTGATTCTATGAAGTGCTTTGAGGGCAGGTCACGGTGGCTCACACCTGTAGTCCCAGCACTTTGGCAGGCCCAAGGCGTGCGATTGCTTGAGGTCAGGAGTTCGAGACCAGCCTGGGCAACATGGCAAAACCCTGTCTCTACAAAAAATACAAAAATTAGTTGGGTGTGATGGCACATGCCTGTAGTCTCAGCTACGTGAGGAGCAGCTGAAGTGGGAGGATCACCTGAGCTCAGGAGTTTAAGGCTACAGTGAGCCATGATCACGCCACTGCAGTCCAGCCTGGGCGACAGAGTGAGAGACCCTGTCTGCCACGCACCCCCTGCTCCAAAAAGCGTTTTGAACATTCACTAATGTTTCAATGTTTGTTTTGAAAAATTTAAAAAGTATCCCAATTTTAAGGAAACAAACAAACAAAAAACAAAAAAACACTGTACTCATAAATGTCTCTGAGTTTTTTTTGGTTTTTTTTGAGATGAAATCTCGCTCCGTTGCCCAGGCTGGAGTACACTGTCACGATTGTGGGTCACTGCAACCTCCGCCTCCCAGGGTCAAGCAATTCTCCTGCCTCAGCCTCCCGAGTAGCTGAGACTACAGGCGCACGCCACCAGGCCTGGCTAACTTCTGTATTTTTAGTAGAGACGGGGTTTCACCACGTTGGCCCGGCTGGTCTCAAACTCTTGATCTCAGGTGACCAACCCGCCTCAGCTTCCCAAAGTGCTGGGATTACAGGCGTGAGCTACCGCGCCTGGCCCCACTCATAAGTGTTACACACCAAGTTTTCACACACATAAGTCGATAACTATCCTAACAGCGTTACTAATTCTTTTCCTTCAAGATTTCCCTATTTAACCTGTTAATTTCAATATGTACCAGAACCTACTCTGTTCCAATGAGCTATCTATTCCTACTGCAATATCACACTGGCTTCATTTACTATAGTTTTACAAAATCCAATGGCACAAGCCCCTCATTCTATTTTCAAATTTTTCTTAGCCATTCATATTTATTCTTCCAGTTGAAAGTTAGAATCAACTTGTAATGTTTCTTCATTTATTCAGGTCCTCTGGAAAAGTTACTGAGGTTTTCTTCATGTACATTTCATAGATATTTTTTGTTGTTCAGTTTATCCCTCAGTTATTTTATTGCTATTAGAATCCATTTCATACCTTCCTATCACTATTGACGTTACTGATTTCTGTATGCTTATCTTATATCCGGCCAGTGAACTGAACTCTTATTGCTCTAAGTTTTTGTTCTGATACTCTTAGATTTTCTCTGTAAGCAAATCTCTCTGCAAGAAATAACAGTTTTATCTTTCCATTAATAATTCATTTCTTGCTTTATTCGATTAGCTAGGATTTCCAGTACAAAGCTGAAACAGTAACATTAAGAATGAATATCTTGTCATATTCCAGATTTTAATGGAAATACTTTCAATGTTTCAGAATTAATTAGGATGAGTTTATTATACATTTCTGGTATATATGCTGTTTAAAATTTTTTTGAGGGGGAGTCTCACTCATCACCCAGGCTGGAGTGCAGTGGTGCGATCTTGCCTCAATGCAACCTTCACCTCCCAGGTTCAAGTGATTCTCCTGCCTCAGGCTCCCGAGTCGCTGAGACTACAGGCGCATGCTGCCATGCCCAGCTAATTTTTGTATTTTTAGTACAGATGGTGTTTCACCATGTTGGCCACACTGGTCAACTCCTGACCTCAGGTGATCTGCCCACCTCAACCTCCCAAAGTACTGGGATTACAGGCGTGAGCCACCATGCCCAGCCTAAACACATTATATTAAAGAAGTTTTCTCCTATACGTAACTTGCTAGGACATTAAACAGTAATTAATGATTACTGAATTTTAGCTCCCATCCCATCTACAGAAATAATATGGTTTTTCTTCAATCCTTCAATGTAATATACATCAGCAATTTCCCAATGATAAACAATCTTTGTGTTTCAGATATATTCAGTATCACTTATTTTTAGAACGTATTACTAAATTAGGTTGGCTCATTGGCTAATAATTTCATTTAGAATTTTTGCTTCTCTCTGAGGGTAAGTTTTCTTTTTGGTAGTTTTCTGACCCAGTTTTGGTAACAGTGTAGCTTCAAATAATAAAATTGATAAACCTACCATTTTAAAATGCTCTGGGTACAGTTTTTTCTTCAAAGTTTGACAGAATTTGCCTGTATTAACATGTGAAACTGGTACTCTTTTTTAAGACGGAGTTTCACTCTTGTTGCCCAGGCTGGACTGCAATGGCACGATCTCGGCTCACTGCAACCTCCACCTCCCGGGTTCAAGTGATTCTCCTGCCTCAGCCTCCCAAGTAGCTGGGATTACAGGCATGCACCACCACGCCCAGCTAATATTTATTTATTTATTTATTATTATTTTTTGAGATGGAGGGAGTCTCGCTCTGTCGCCCAGGCTGGAGTGCAGTGGCGTGATTTCAGCTCACTGCAAGCTCTGCCTCTGGGGTTCACGCCATTCTCCTGCCTCAGCCTCCCGAGTAGCTGGGACTATAGGTGCCTGCCACCACACCCAGCTAATTTTTTGTATTTTTAGTAGAGACAGGGTTTCACCGTTTTAGCCAGGATGGTCTCAATCTCCTGACCTTGTGATCCACCCACCTCAGCCTCCCAAACTGCTGGGATTATAGGCTGTGAGCCACCAGGCCCAGCCTAAATTTTTTATTTTTTAGTACAGATCGGGTTTCTCCATGTTGGTCAAGCTGGTCTCCAACTCCCGACCTCAGGTGATCCGCCCACCTCAGCCTCCCAAAGTGCTGGGATTATAGGCGTGAGCCACCGCACCCAGCCAGAAACTTGACTCTTTTTAACAAGTAAATCTTTCACAATCATCATAAGTTTTTTGGGGGAGCGGTGTTGTGTGGGAGTGTTAATAATTTACTAACATTTTTCTACCTCATCTTAAGTCCGTTTGGGTAGTAGTTATAGCTTTGTATTGAAATAAATCATGGTCTGCCTAAGAGAGATACCAACAAAAAGCTGAACACTCACTTCTACACTGGCGTAATCGCACATGGAACACTTGAATGGCTTCTCGTGGGTGTGTTTGTAACGACGATGCCGAACCAATTCTCCACTGGTCACAAAGGCCATGTCGCAGTCTGGGCACTTGTGAGGACGAGTACCTAGAGAAAGGATGGAGTAACAGGAAGAGCAAGATCAAGGGCACAGTTAATGACAGAGTTCAATGTGTGGCACAGAACTGCTATGAGACTGGAACCCTATTCATCCCATCAACTGCAGTAGCTTGAAAGCAGATACAAAAGTCAGCTCCGAAAACTATGGGAGGGCCTGGATGAATTTATACTAACACCAGGATATTATAACACATACCAAATTAGTTTCTCTTAATTACCCATCTGAATCCGCTGCCTTTGAATACAATAAAAACCTTCTTATTCCTATTTTGTGAATATCCTGGTCATTATGGATTAAAAGTTAATAGAGACCGGGCTTGGTGGCTCATGCCTCTAATCCCAGAACTCTGGGAGGCTAAGAGTTTGAGACCAGCCTGGGCAACATAGCAAGATCCTGTCTCTCAAATCTCGTTGTATTATGACTATAAATATAGGGCCATTGGGCTGTCCATATTCTGCAACTTTCTTTTAAAAACACAAACATATAACTTGTTTTCCACATGTATCTGTCTTGATAAGGAATTTCAGAGGCTTATCACAGGCTTTACATAGTATTTCCTTTTATGTGATTTAAACAAATGATTTTCAAACATCCATGTCTAATATGCTGTGATCATTCTGAATGTCAATTCATCCAATATAAAACATGAATAATATACTCTCTACATTTCTTGTCTTTCACTGAAGGAATCTTAGAGACAAAACTGAGAGCACAATGCAGTGCTAGTTTCACAGACTAGTGACCATCTGTAATTGTGGGCAGCAGGTAAGGGGTGACAGCAAGGTAGTATCAAACACTAAAACCAAAGGAAGGCTGCCTTTGAGGATACAATTAGGAAGAGCCACAATGTAATGAATAGAACCAGCCATCTGCAGAAATGATTCTCTTTGAGAATGAAGAGAATGCTGGAGAGGAAGAGTGACTGGAGTATAATAAAAACTAAGCAATTCCAAGGAATGTTCATTTGTTCATTCGATTCTTTAGAACCACTATGGATCTAACGGTAAAGCACAGAGTTCTTCCTGTGAAAGTGTATAGTCTGGTGGTATGGATAAGAAGTAAAACAATTAACAAGAGAAGAAAAGTGGCATCCAATTTTCTTTTCGTTTTTTGTTTTTGAGCCAGGGTCTTCCTCTGTTACCCAGTGGGAGTGCAGTGATAGGATCAAGGCTCACTGCAGCCTTGACTTCCCAGGCTCAAGTGATCCTCCTACTTCAGCCTCTCCAGTAGCTGAGACTACAGGCTTGCACCACCATGCCTGGCTAATTTTTTCTATTTTGTAGAGATGGAGTCTTGCCACGTTGCCCAGGCTTGTCTCAAACTCCTGGGCTCAAGCAATCCTCCGGCCTCGGCCTCACAAAGTCCTGAGATTACAGGTTGTGAGCCACCATGCTTGGTCTTCTTTTAGAACAAAGTAAGCTAAAAAATAAATGCTCGTGTTTACCTAGTACTATCCAGGGCAGAGAAAGGCCTGCATAAGCGTGGCAATTAGCAAAGAAGTGGACACTGCTGTGGGGCAGGGAGTTCCATTAGGCTGTGCCACATGACCACCTACATCCCTTCACTCAAGGCCCATCCTCTTTTTTTTGAGACGGAGTCTCTTGCTCTGTCGCCCAGGTTGTAGTGCAGTAGCATGATTTTGGCTCACTGCAACCTCTACCTTCCAGGTTGAAGTAATTCTCTTGCCTCAGCCTCCTGAGTAGCTGGGACTACAGGTACATGCCACCACACCTGGCTAACATTTTTTTTTTCTATTTTCAGTAGAGACGGGGTTTCACCATGTTGGCCAGGATGGTCTCGATCTCCTGCCCTTGTGATCCGCCTGCTTCAGCCTCCCGAAGTGCTGGGATTACAGGCATGGGCCACCATGCCTGGCTTTTTCTTGAGACCGAGTTTTGCTCTTGTTGCCCAGGCTGGAGTGCAATGGCACGATCTCAGCTCACCGCAACCTCCGCCTCCTGGGTTTAAGTGATTCTCCTGCCTCAGCCTCCCGAGTAGTTGGGATTACAGGCATGTGCCACCACACCCGGCTAATTTTGTATTTTTAATAGAGACAGGATTTCCCCATGTTGGTCAGGCTAGTCTTGAACTCCTGACCTCAGGTGATCTGCCCGCGTCAGCCTCCCAAAGTGCCAAAGTGCTGGGATTACAGGCGTAAGCCACCACACCCGGCCA
Organism: Homo sapiens; assembly: GCF_000001405.40. Taxonomy (NCBI): domain Eukaryota; kingdom Metazoa; phylum Chordata; class Mammalia; order Primates; family Hominidae; genus Homo; species Homo sapiens. The sequence continues at coordinate 67,614,556 of NC_000016.10, read as the reverse complement.
CCTGGCTAATTTTTGTATTTTTAGTGGAGATGAGGTTTCATCATGTTGGCCAGACTGGTCTCAAACCCCTGACCTCAAGTGATCCACCCGCCTCAGCCTCCCTAGGTGCAGGGATTACAGGTGTGAGCCACCATGCCCAGCCATCAAGGCTCATCCTCACCAAGTTAGCTTTCAATTGCTACAACATCTTTTTTTTTTTTTTTTTTTTTTGAGATGGAGTCTCACTCTGTCGCCCAGGCTGGAGTGCAATGGTGCGATCTCCACTCACTGCAATTTCTGCTTCCTGGATTTAAGCAATTCTCCTGCCTCAGCCTTCCGAGTAGCTGGGACTACAGGCATGCGTCACCACGCCCGGCTAATTTTTATATTTTTAGTAGAGACGAGGTTTCGTCATGTTAGCCAGGCTGGTCTTGAACTCCTGACCTCAGGTGATCCACCCACCTCGGCCTCCCAAAGTGATGGGATTACAGGCGAGAGCTACGGCGCCCGGCTGCTACAGCATCGTAACAGAGGCAAAGGCGCCCCCTAGAATGCAATGCAACTGCATCTGGAACATGAAAAGGTATACTCCTCACCATAAACTGATACTCTTGGTGTATGCATCTGCTCTTATGGGTTTTGTTGGTATGAATCAGTCTTGCCAAATCTGCTGAGTAACCAGATAGACTGTACCTCTTACTTTCAAAGCTGAAGACCAGATAGAGAATGCCCACACCAAGGCACACCCATCTTGGGAAGTCCTGTTATGGGGCCATTTATTTATTTATTTATTTATTTTGGTGAGGCAGAGTCTTGCTCTGTCACTTAGGTTGGAGTACGGTGGCACAATCTTGGCTTACTGCAACCTCTGTCTCCCGCATTCAAGTGATTCTCCTGCCTCAGCCACCCAAGTAGCTGGGTTTACAGGCGTGTGCCACTACACCCAGCTGATTTTTTGTATTTTCAGTACAGAGGCGGTTTTGCCATGTTGGCCGGGCTGGTCTAGAACTCCTGGCCTCAGGTCATCTACCCCCCATTGGATTTCCAAAGTGCTGGGATTACCCAGTTACTTTTATTTAGTCATATGCCCCATCCTAGTGTCTTCAAAGTATCAAATAAAACATATTATCAAGTGTCTGAGTAGAAATTAGGGAGATGTTTAAAAGTAAGTCACATTAGTGAAGAATGTGCCCATGTGCAGCATACTGTTTATGATTAACACCCACTTGATCATGGTCATCTGACAACCAGCACAACAAATCTAAAACAAGGGTTGTCATTAGAAATTTTTAAAAACCTAAAAATCAAAAACAAGAGTTGTCATATGAAATGAAGTTATTCTGCATGAAAAACCATGTGAGAAGACTTGCAACCAACTTCCTACACTGGGATAACAAATAGCTCAGGAAAGCTTAAAGAGAGGTTTAGTGCACAGAGTCCCTCTACTTTAGAGACCTCAGGGAACCTGGCCACAGCCAACATGAAGCTAATATCAGAATATCTGAACACTAAAGTAAGTAGGATGCTCAAATAAATGTTTGAATTATCAGAATGGTGCCTTAGCTTTTCCATTCTGAAATTATGAATTATCTTCCTTGACGTGAAACAACCAGAAACAAAAAATGTTAAGGTTTGTTTTTGAGATGGAGTCTCACTCTGTCGCCCAGGCTGGAGTGCAGTAGCACTATCTCAGCTCATTGCAGTGTCTGCCTCCCAGGTTTCAAGCGATTCTCCTGCCTGAGCCTCCTGAGTAGCTGGGATTACAGGCACCCGCCACCACACCTGGCTAATTTATGTATTTCTAGTACAGATGGATGTGATTTTGTCACGTTGGCCAGGCTGGTCTCCAACTTCTAATCTCAAGTGATCTGCCCACCTCAGCCTCCCAGAGTGTTAGGATTACAGGCGTGAGCCACTGTACCCGGCCACTTTTTTTTTTTTAAATAAAGGTAGGATTTCACTTCTATTTCTTTTCTTTTCTTTTTTTTTAGACGGAGACTCGCACTGTCGCCCAGGCTGGAGTGCAGTGGTGGGATCTCGGCTAACTGCAAGCTCCACCTCCCGGGTTCACGCCATTCTCCTGCCTCAGCCTCCCGAGTAGCTGGGACTACAGGCGCCCACCACCACACCCAGCTAATTTTTTGTATTTTTAGTAGAGACAGGGTTTCACTGGGATTTCACTTCTATTTCTAACATTCTTCCTCATAGTACCAGGCATCTATTGCCTGAGACTTCTTTTTTTTAAGAGAGAGGGTGTTATTTTTCATTAAATTTTCTTTACATTTGTCTATAATAACTAAGTCCAAGTGCTTACAATAAAATCATGATTACAAAAAGGGCATCATAAGAAATAATAAAAACTTCCTTTAAATTCCCGCTGGAGTCAGCTTGAATGAATACTAAAAAGCGAAGTCTGAGCATTTGCTGTTGTAGCCCCCAACATTCTTATCCAGCACCTGTGTGTGTGTTAAGGTGATTCCTCAGGAGGGTGACTGTTCTGAATGCCCTGCCACAGAGATGGCACTTGTGTGGTCTCTCATCAGTGTGGCTTTTCATGTGACGATCCAAATTTGAACGCCGTGGACACGTGTAACTGCAAAGCTCACACTGGAATGTCTTCTTTACACCTATGTGCAAAATAAAACACTTACTTGCTGCAGAGTTTCAAAGTGTTAAGATTAATCCTAATCTTAAATTTCTACAAATATATTTGATTAGCTTTTAATAACAAAACCCAATATAAGTCATAATTATCTCATGTCACTAATACATTTCCTTCTTCTTTGGGATTAAAAAAAGAGCATTCAATCTGGAAAAAACTTATTTTAGACTGGTTTTAAAGAACGGTACCCACATAACGACCTTTTACAAATACGGTTAATATAAAACAACTTGCATATGCACTGTGTTGTATGCTTATCCCAAAATGGTTTTATGAAACCACTATGGATAAACTCGTTTTACCTTTCTTTTTAATTTTTGTTGGCTTTGGAGGCTTCATATTACCAACCACTTTCTCTGCATTAACCTCTGATAGCAGACCCTCCTGCTGTTCTTCCTCAAAATCGTAGACAGACACATCTACATCTTTGCCCTCCTCTGTATAACGCAGTTTGCTCTTTTTGGTTTTCTTTGTTTTTTTGGCTGGTGGCTGATAGTCTGGGTCTTTTTGCCAACTAGGATCTTCCTGGGGTGGAAGTTCCCCTTGTTCTAGTGTCTCCACCTCTCCATTGGCCCCCACTTTAACCACCTGAAACCCTTCAGGCAAAGGTAGGGTGTGGCATATCATGGGTTCACTTTCCGCAAGGCCCTCTTTAGACACTTCATTTTCATAAGCCCCCTGAAGTTCTTCTACTGAAGTGGTAGCAACAGGTACAGTCACAGGAACAGGTACTTGAACAAGCTGAAGTTCTCCTATGTTTATGGGCTGTTCCTCCATATTTACAACCTGTAAAGTTATAATCTGGGTATCGTCCACAGCAGCCTCTGCTTCTGGAGCCACTGTGCCCTCCATTACTTCAGTCTTCATCTGAAGAAGGGTGGGGTCCAGCTGTTCCATCATCACCATCTGTACACTGCTGTTGACATCCTGGACCACCTCACCCCCATCCGTCTGGTTCTGGGGTAAGTGGCAGGCATCTTCTTCCTGGCCCCCTTCCCGGCGTCTCTGGTAAGTCTTTCTCTCCTTTCCTTTAATAAAAGTTTCGGACTCCTCCACAATGGCTTCGACTGCATCACCTTCCATTTCCCCTGCCTTTATTAAGGGAGAACACAGATTGTTATTTAAAGCAAAGCATGTCTAAATAAAAATATACATTTTAAAACAAAAAGACCCTTTGGTGAATGAATTAGGCATCAATGGTTGTTAATATTAAAAAAGACACAACAGACATGTGCCTCTTGATGAAAGAAACAACCACTACTGGCCAGGTGCAGTGGCTCACGCCTGTAATCCCAGCACTTTGGGAGGCTGAGGCGGGCGGATCACGAGGTCAGGAGATCGAGAACATCCTGGCTAACACGGTGAAACCCCGTCTCTACTAAAAATACAAAAAAAATTAGCCAGGCATGGTGGCGGGCGCCTGTAGTCCCAGCTACTCGGGAGGCTGAGGCAGAAGAATAGCTTGAATCCAGGAGGCGGAGCTTGCAGTGAGCCGAGATTGCACCACTGCGCTCCAGCGTGGGGGACAGAGCAAGACTCCATCTCAAAAAAAAAAAAAAAAAAAAGAAAAAGAAAAAACCACTACCTATAATGCAATTTTGTCAAACAAACTCCAAAACTCTGAAACCAATCAAGTCTCTAGATCCAACCCAATTAACAGGAAATTGGTGACTCAGGATGTTAAATTATACTACAGGGATTAAATCAGTGAAATCCATACCGAGGGAAACACTGCAAGATTATACTCAGGTTCTTCTGCAAATAGATAACAAGAAGAATACAAGGGAAGACTGATTGGAGGGAGAACCAGTAGATCAGTAGTTCTCAGCCTGGGGTGACTTTGCCTCTAGGAACATTTGGCTAACACATTTTTGGTTGTCACTACTGGGCTGGGATGTGCTACTGTTATCTCGTGGGTGAAAGCTAGAGATGCTATTAAACATCCTCCAAGACACAGGTCAGTCCTCCACCACAAAGAATTATCAGGCCAGGCCGGGCACGGTGGCTCACGCCTGTAATCCCAGCACTTTGGGAGGCTGAGGCGGGCAGATTACCGGAGGTCAGGAGATCGAGACCATCCTGGCTAACACGGTGAAACCCCGTCTCTACTAAAAAATACAAAAAAATTAGCCGGGCGTGGTGGTGGGCGCCTGTAGTCCCAGCTCTTGGGAGGCTGAGGCAGGAGAATGGCGTGAACCTGGGAGGCGGAGCTTGCAGTGAGCCAAGATCGCGCCACTGCACTCCAGCCTGGGCGACAGAGCGAGATTCCATCTCAAAAAAAAAAAAAAAAAGAATTATCAGGCCCAAGATGTCAAGAGCACTGAGGCTGAGAAACTCTGATACAGATAAAAGAGTCTTAAAGAGACAGTAATCAATCACAATGCATGAATCTTCTTTGGATCCTGATTCAAACCAATAAATGGTGAAAAAGATGTGACACAAGACAATTAGAAATTTCAACTCTGGATATCTGATGATATTAAAGAATTACTAACAAAACTAATTTAAATCTTACACATGTAGTGGGGAAGACACTGGTAAAGGACATATAATTTCAGTGGGAATAAGTTCAAGAGATCTATTATACAACATGAATATTACAGTTAATAATAACGTATACCTGAAAATAACTGAGAGCAGATTTTTAAGTGTTCTCATCACAAAAAATGACAAGGATGTGAGATGATGCATATATGAATTAGCTTAATTTTCTGCAATTATGGGGTCTTGCCACATTTCCAGACTGGCCTTGAACTCCTGGGCTGAAGCAATCCTCCCACCTAAGCCTCCCAAAGTGCTGGGATTATACATGTGACTGAGCCACTGTGCCCGGGTCTGCCAATGTTTTGTAAAAAGCTTTATTAAGGTAGCTTTATTAAGCACGTGGTGGCTCACGCCTATAATCCCAGCACTTTGGGAGGCTGAGGTGTGTGGATCACCTGAGGTCGGGAGTACGAGACCACCCTGAACAACATGGAGAAACCCCGTCCTAAGTAAAAATACAAAATTAGCCAGGTGTGATGGTGCATGCCTGTATGTAATCCTGGCTACTTGGGAGGCTGAGGCAGGAGAATCGTTTGACCCGGGAGGTGGAGGTTGCGGTGAGCCAAGATTGCGCCATTGTACTGTGCAGCCTGGGCAACAAGAACGAAACTCCGTCTCAAAAAAGAAAAAAAAAAACACTAAATACACCTCCAAAATTTCCTTGTATTTTGTTTTTGGTGATAATATTTATCATGAGATCCATCCTCAACATAATTCAAAGTGCATAATGCTATACGATTAATACAGGAACTATGTTGTGTAGCAGATCTCTAGAACTTACTCATCTTGCATAACTGAAACTTTATACCCACTCAACAGCAATTCCCCATTTTCCCCACCCTGTCAAGGGTTTTTGACCTTGTTTTTTGAAGCCAAACTCAGAACTTAGATCCAGACTGCAATGGCCGTGTTTGTAGACACTGCACAAAACTGCCCATGTCATACCATCAACTTGACATTCACCTCTCTCCTGACAATGAGATCAGGAATTCCCTGAGAATAAGAACCACATCTAACAAGTCGTTTTTTTTTTTTTAATTTTTTTTTTGAGACGGAGTCTCGCTCTGTTGCCCAGGCTAGGGTGCAGTGGCACGATCTCCGCTCACTGCAAGCTCCGCCTCCCAGGTTCACGCCATTCTCCTGCCTCAGCCTCCCGAGTAGCTGGGACTACAGGCGCCCACCACCATGCCCGGCTAATTTTTTGTATTTTTAGTAGAGACGGGGTTTCACCATGTTAGCCAGGATGGTCTCGATTTCCTGACCTCGTGATCCGCCTGCCTCGGCCTCCCAAAGTGCTGGGATTACAGGTGTGAGCCACTGCGCCCAACCGGTTTTTACTTTTTTTTTTTTTTTGAGTCGGAGTCTCGCACTGTCGCCCAGGCTGGAGTGCAATGGCGTGATCTTGGCTCACTGCAACCTCTGCCTCCCAGGTTTAAGTGATTCTCCTGCTTCAGCCTCCGGAGTAGTTGGGATTACAGGTGCCCACCACCACACCTGGCTAATTTTCTGTATTTTTAGCAGATACGGGGTTTCACTATGTTGGCCAGGCTGGTCTTGAACTTCTGACCTCGTGATCTGTCCGCCTCGGCCTCCCAAAGTGCTGGGACTACAGGCGTGAGCCACCACGCCCAGCCACGGTTTTTACTCTTTAGCACTGTGCCCAGGATGGTAAGTACTCAATAAATGCCAACCAAATTGAATATATAATAGAAAGCAGAAAACAAATCAGCCAATTCATAGTTTTTGGCTCTTATATCTTGTGAATGGGCCGGGCACGGTAGCTCACGCCTGTAATCCCAGCACTTTGGGAGGCCAAGGCTGGTGGATCAGTTGAGGCCAGGAGTTCAAGACCAGCCTGGCTAACATGGCAAAACCCCATCTCTACTAAAAATACAAAAATTAGCCAGGCGTAGTGGTGTGCACCTGTAATCCCAGCTACTTGGGAGGCTGAGGCACGAAAAGAACTTGAACCCTGGAGGTGGAGGTTGCAGCGAGCTGAGAAAGTGCCCCTGCATTCCAGCCTGGGCGACAGAGTGAGACTCGGTCTCAAAAACAAAAAATAAAAAACAAACAAAAATCTTGTGAATGACATTACCTAAACAAGAGTAAAATAGGGGCCAGGCGTGGTGGCTCAGGCCTGTAATCCCAGCATTTTGGGAGGCCGAGGCGGGCAGATCACTTGAAGTCAGGAGATGGAGACAAGCCTGGCCAACACGGCAAAACCCCGTTTCTATTAAAAATACAAAAATTAGCCAGGTGTGGTGGCACATGCCTGTAATCCCAGCTACTCAGGAGGCCGAGGCAGAAGAATTGCTTGAACCTGGGAGGTGGAGGTTGCAGTGAGCTGAGATTGGGCCACTGTACTCCCTCCAGCCAGGGCAACAGAGCGAGCCTCTGTCTCAAAAAAATAATAATAATTAAAATAAAATAAAACATATATAGCTGAGTGTGGTGGGGTGTGCCTCTAATCCCAGCTACTTGGAAGGCTGAGTGAGGCTCGAGAATTGCTTGAAGCCTGGAGGCGGAGATTGCAGTGAGCCGAGTGCCACTGCACTCCAGCCTGGAGCCTGGGCGATAAGAGTGAAACTATGTCTCAAAAAAAAAAAAAAAAAAAACCCAAAACAAAACATTGAAGTGTTTTGTATTTTTGGCCAAGAATACAGCTCAAACGAAGCTTTTGTTAGTTCTATTAGACACACTTTTCTCCAATTCTCTGTCTAGGCACCTTAACATTGTATTATATCCATGATAGCAGTCAGAGAAGACTCCTTAAGCCAGGACCACCTGAGAGGCAGCACAAGAACTACTACAGAGAGAATGACATTACCTAAACAAGAGCAAAATAGGGGCCGGGCGTGGTGGCTCACGCCTGTAATCCCAGCATTTTGGGAGGCCTGGTCCTACATTCTAGGAGTTACTGTCTAACATAAAGGACAAAATAGGTAGCACAATGGTTCAAGGTGAAATTACATAGGTTTGGAGAAAGATAACATAACCAGGTGTGATAGAAAAATGCTTCATAAATGTGGAATTTGAACGGAACCCTGAAACGTGAGCAGGACATTTAAAGGCAGAGTTTGACAGTGGAGGGCAGAGGATGTATTCTGTAGGGGAAAGGTTTGGATTTCTGGGTACAATAAATACATGTGGGAATTAGTTATGAGTAAGAAAAAGAACTGGCTTAAAGCACAGGACAGAGGAGAGGGTAGTAAGACAGGTGAAAGATGTGCTGGTTGCCCCCCATAGTTTGGATGGTCTTGAATAACAAAATACCTCAGATGACTGGCAATGGAAAACCACTTATGCTTTCTGGGCAGAGAAGTAAAGATTCACTCATTTCACAAAGAAGAAGACTTAATTTCCTCAAAAAGTGTGTCTCTACTTTTGCAAAAACTACATGATGCACTTACCACCCTTCTGGCTCACAAAGCCCCTTCGTACCTGACCCCATGATAACCTATTCAGATTTATGTCTTGCCCTCTAGCACTCTCCCCTTCAGTCAAGCTGTCTTTTCATCCAGACACAGTTCCTACTGTCATCTCCCTGTCTTCACTCTGTACTTTACGTCTGATCCACTCCTCTCAACACCAGCTCATCCCTGGCACAACAAAGCTTTCTGAGGTTCTTGTGGCCACTACTTTGCTCCAAATGTGTTTCTGATAAAATAAGGACACAGTTTAGCACTTAAAATTTTCTCAAAACGATCTATTTTCCCAGTTGGGTGTGAAAGCTCTTTAAGGGCAAAAGCCGGGCTTGAAGCAACATATACTTTTGGACAGATTCAGCAAACCCCACCATCTGCCTGGAAAAAAACAAGGCTCAAGGTAAACTCCCGAGGTTGTTGGATTGCCAGTTTGGTTTATTCTTCCATTACCTTCTTTCTTTCATTAGTCCCTTGTTCTCAACAACCAAGAGAAAAATACAACAACATCCAATGCAAAGGCTTCTTACTATGCTGTTCCATGACAGTGGGGACAAATATAAAAAAATGTTACCGCAGAAGGTGGGGATCAAAGAACATTTGTAGAATGCTTTATAATTCACCTATAAATTAAAAATGAGCAAAGTGCTAGTATTTTTATTATAAGATGTCATTTAGGCCAAGCGTGGTGGCTCACGCCTGTAATCCCAGCACTTTGGGAGGCGAAGGCGGGTGGATCATGAGGTCAGGAGACCGAGACCATCCTGGCTAACACGGTGAAACACCATCTCTACTAAAAAATACAAAAAATTAGCCAGGAGTGGTGGCGGGTGCCTGTAGTCCCAGCTACTCGGGAGGCTGAGGCAGGAGAATGGCGTGAACCCGGAAGGCGAAGCTTGCCATGAGCCGAGATTGCGCCACTGCACTCCAGCCTGGGAGACAGAGCGAGACTGTCTCAAAAAAAAAAAAAAAAAAAAAAAAAAAATCCCATTTATACCTCTGATTGTAAAAGACTAAGCATAATCCTAACTATAATTAATTTTATATACTCAGTACTGTTCAGACAGATTATCTTTAGAATATAAATTCTCTAGGCTGGCACTGTTCAATAGAAATATAATGCAAGCCACAAACATAAGCCACATTATATGTAATTTTAAGTAAAAAAAATTCATATTAAAAAGTAAAAAAAAAAAACAAAAAACAAAAAAAAAAAAAACCCTGGTGAAATTAATTTTAGTAATCTATTTTACTTAACCTGGTATGTCCAAAATATCATTTCAAGGTTTCATCAATTTAAAAAATTGTTGGCCGGGTATGGTGGCTCATGTCTGTAATCCCAACACTTTGGGAGGCCAAGGCAGGTGGATCATGAGGTCAGGAGATACAGACCATCCTGGCTAACATGGCGAAATCCTGTCTCTACTAAAAATACAAAAATTAGCCGGGCGTGGTGGCGGATGCCTATAGTCCCAGCTACTTGGGAGGCTGAGGCAGGAGAATGGTGTGAACCTGGGAGGTGGAGCTTGCAATGAGCCAAGATCGCGCCACTGCACTCCAGCCTGGCAACAGAGCGAGACTCTGTCTCAAAAACAAACAAACAAAACAAAAACAAAACTAACAAAAAAAATTGTTATGCTTGAGACACAGACTTGCTCTGTTGCCCAGACTGGAGTGCAGTGGTAGGATCACAGCTCACTGTAACCTCCAACTCCTGGGCTCCAGTGATCCTCCTGCCTCAGTCTGCCAAGTAGCTAGGACTACAGTTTATGCCACCATGCTCAATTAATTTTCTTTTCTTTTCTTTTTTTTTTTTTTTTTGAGACGGGGTTTCCTCTGTTGCCCAGGCTGGAGTGCAGCAGAATGGTCATGGCTCATTGCAGCCTTGACTTCCTGGGCTCAGGTGATTCTCCCACCTCAGCCTCCCGAGTAGCTGGGACTACAGGTTCATACCAGGCACCAGGCTAATTTTTTTGTATTTTTAGTAAAAGTGGGGTTTCACCATGTTGCACAGACTGGTCTCGAACTCCTGGGCTCAAGTCATCTGCCCGCCTCAGCCTCCCAAATTGCTAGGATTACAGGCATAAACCACCGTGCCTGGCCTCTAATTTTTTTTTTTTTTTTTGAGACAGAGTCTTGCACTGTTGCCCAGGCTGAAGTGCAGTGGCGCGATCTCAGCTCACTGCAAGCTCCACCTACTGGGTTAACGCCATTCTCCTGCCTCAGCCTCCCAAGTAGCTGGGACTACAGGCTCCTGTCACCACGCCCGGCTAATTTTTTGTACTTTTAGTAGAGACGGGGTTTCACCGTGTTAGCCAGGATGGTCTCTTATCTCCTGACCTCCTGATCCGCCCGCCTTGGCCTCCCAAAGTACCAGGATTACAGGTGTGAGCCACCACACCCAGCCTTTTTTTTTTGAGAGGGAGTCTCCCTCTGTCGCCCAGGCTGGAGTGCAGGGACTTGATCTCGGCTCACTGCAAGCTCCGCCTCCCGGGTTCATGCCATTCTCCCACCTCAGCCTCCTGAGTAGCTGGGACTACAGGCACCCACCAGCACTCCCAGCTAATTTTGTTTTTGTATTTTTAGTAGGGACGGGGTTTCACCATGTTAGGCAGGATGGTCTCGATCTCCTGACCTCGTGATCCCCCACCTCAGCCTCCCAAAGTGCTGGGATTACAGGTGTGAGCCACTGCGCCCGGCCTAATGTTTTCTTTTTTTGTAATTTTTTTTTTGTAGAGGTGTGTTGCCCAGGCTGGTCTTGAACTCCCAGCCTCAAGTTATTGTCCCATCTTAGACTACCAAAGTGCTGTGATTACAGGTATGTGCCGTCGTGCCCAGCTATATCTTACATTTACAGCATACCTTAATTTGAACCAGTGAAACTCTAAATTCTCAACAGCAACATGAGGCTAGGGGCTTCCGTACCGGACAGCACAACTTTGTACTTGTTATTCAAAGTATGGTCTGAGGACCAGCAGCACTGGCTTCTTAAAAACACAGAACTTCAGGTCCCACCCTTGACCCACAGAATTAGATTTTGCAATTTAACTTTATACTATTACTGTTTCCCCATTAAGATTTTCTTCTCTTTTTTTTTTTTTTTTTTTGGAGATGGAGTTTCACTCTTGTTGCCTAGGCTGGAGTGCAATGGCGCAATCTCGGCTGAACACAACCTCCGACTCCTGGGTTCAAGCGATTCTCCTGCCTCAGCCTCCCGAGTAGCTGGGATTACAGGCATGCGCCACCACACCTGGCTAATTTTATATTTTTAGGAGAGACAGGGTTTCTCCATGTTGGTCAGGCTGGTCTTGAACTCCTGACCTCAGGTAATCTGCCGGCCTCGGCCTCCCAAAGTGCTGGGATTAAAGACATGAACCACCGTGCCCAGCCCCCAGAAAAAAACTTTTTAAGAGAAGTTTTTCAGTCCCTGAAAAGCCCCAAAAGTTAGTATCCCTGCAAAGGGAATGATAATCCAGATGTCTGGAGCTAGGGAACATACAAAAAGCCCAATTTACTTCAGAGTGACATTCTCAGAAAAGGTATCAAAGAACAAAAAATTGAGATGCTGTGAATGTAAATGTGGTGACCCTGCCAGAGTCACTACATAATCCCAGACTATTTAAATATCCTCAATAATAAAATTGGTAGAGGAAAAACAATCTTTGGGGTCTCCAGGATTTTGTAGCATATAATTTGATGCTACAACTTGAAGACAACGGAAAAAAATTCTATCTGGTCTCTGGTGTGAATTTGAAAACTTAAAATGTTAAAAATTGCTTGTAAACAGGCTGGGCTGAGTGGCTCACGCCTGTAATCCCAGCACTTTGGGAGGCCGAGGCAGGCGGATCACCTGAGGTCAGGAGTTCACGACCAGCCTGACCTACATGGTGAAACCCCATCTCTACTAAAAATACGAAAATTAGCCAGTTGTGGTGGCAGGTGCCTATAGTCCCAGCTATTTGGGAGGCTGAGGCAGGAGAATCGCGTGAACCCTGGAGGCGGAGGCTGCAGTGAGCCAAGATTGGGCCACTGCACTCCAGCCTGGGTGACAGAGGGAGACTCCATCTCAAAAAAAAAAAAAAAAATTGCTTGTAAACAACCGAGTCCAACCTAAAAGAGGTCACAGAATTATAAACCAGGTAGAAAAAGAAGTGGTACAAAAGAGTACAAATAGAAACCAACTGTGCTTCCAAGAAGTTGAGCTGACAGAGTACTGTCTCACTGAAAAAAAACACATGGCATAAAGTCCACAAAACAACAGCATCTACTCGGTCTTAAAGCAATAGCTTCTATTTTTAATAGAGAAAAATCAGACACAAAGTAGCAAGCCATCAGCCTCTCAATACACTGCTCAGAATCTCAGAGCATCCCCGAGGTCAGGAGATCGAGACCATCCTGGCTAACATGGTGAAACCCCATCTCGACTAGAAATACAAAAACAAAATTAGCTGGGCGTGGTGGCAGGCGCCTGTAGTCCCAGCTACTGGGAAGGCTGAGGTGGGAGAATGGCATGAACCCGAGAGGTGGAGCTTGCAGTGAGCCGAGATCACGCCACTGCACTCCAGGCTGGGTGACAGAGTGAGACTCCGTCTTAAAAAAAAACAAAACAAAACACACACACACACACACACACACACACACACACACACACACACGGTGACAGAGTGAGACTCTGTCTTAAAAAACAAAACAAAACACACACACACACACACACACACACACACACACACACCCCTTAGTGCATTCCATCAAGCAGTGGATCTCTCCTTTTACTTTCTTTCCAGACGATGGGAGTCTCTCCTCTGAATCAATAAGTAACCAATAGGCTGGACCAGGTCATTCTCCCCACTCCCTGGGGACTGCGCTTCTAGCTGCCTCTCCCGACACTAGCAGCTCCAATCCATCTCCTTTCTTTACTGCTTTCAAATACTCAGTTCCTCTTAGTACAAAACATACCCACTCACTCTAATTCCTACATATTTTTTGGCTCTATGCTTGCTTGAGTCGCCCATGCCTTCTAGGTTTCATCAAATATTTTTTGTGGACCAATATCGCCACCAAAATGAAGTTTATATCACTCAAAGCGGTTTTAATTTACTTACAGGACACATTTTTTTTCCTCCAGATTACGAAAATCACCTAATATTCTGATGCTGTTTTCTCAGCTATTCAGTTAAAGGTATATATTTTGTATATATATGAAATCATACTATATATGGAATTTATATACACTTCTATATATGGCTTTGCTCTATCTCAAAAAATCTGTCCTTATGACTAGGTGTGATGGCTCAAGCCTGTAATCCCAGCACTTTGGGAGGCTGAAGTAGATCACTTGAGCCCAAGAGTTCAAGCCCAGCACAGGCAACATGGGGAGACCCCATCTCTAAAAACAAATTTTAAAAAACACACATTAGCCAGGCTAGGCATGGTGGCTCACACCTGTAATCCCAGGACTTTGGGAGGCTGAGGTGGGCAGATCCCTTGAGTCCAGGAGTTCGAGACCAGCTTGGGCAACATGGTGAAACACCATCTCTACAAAATATAGCCAGGCATGGTGGTGCATGCCTGTAACCCCAGCTACTTGGGAGGCTGAGGCAGGAGGATCATTTGAGCCTAGGACACAGAGGTTACAGTGAGCTGAGATTACACCATTGAACTCCAACCTGGGCAACAGAGTGAGACTCTGTTCCTCAAAAATAAAAAAAATAAAAAAAATAATAAATTTAAATATCTGTCCTTACTAAAAAGGACTCAACTCCCTCCTTAGCCCTCTGCGGCCCCTTTGTTTGGCCCACAGGTACCATCCATCAAGAACCACCAGAGTCAACCCAAGGGCCTTTCCCTCTTTCTAAATCTCAGTTTCTCTGGCATCTGACAAGATGAAACTCATCCTATTCCTTCATAAGCCTCTTTCCTCCCTTAGCTCCCTTCGTCTCTGAGTACTCTTTCACCAGCCCCCCTGAGCACACCAAGGCTCCGTAGCCGCCCATTACACTAGCCTTTTAACTTCCACTGTTTCTACACAGAGGTCTTTCCAATCCATATCTGCAATCCCAGTTTCACTGCCTAAAGGATCTACTAATGTTTGGCTGTCACCTTCAACTCAATGACACTGGACAGGGAATAAACAGAAACTCCAGTATACCCAATCCATCACTAACCAACTAAATGAGCTTGGCAAAGTGGGTGGTTTAGTCGTCCGGACTGTGGTATCACCATAAAATGGAGCTCCTAAGACCAGATCCTTATTGTGTTTCTCTATCATCTAGGTGAAAAAGTGAAGCTTAGATAAAAAAATTTTATTATTCAGTCAACTTCTGTGTAGATGATGAACAGGAGGTTCCTCCAGACTGAGGAAGAACAATCCAGGCAATCGGGGATGAGGGGCTAAAAGGAAGGAAAACTGGCATCTTAATGCTTCTCTGCCCCTGCTGAATGGTGAGTGTGAGGATGCAAGGGCCTAGGCTCCAACACAGAGACCCCAGAGGCCTGTATCCTTAGGGGGCATGGATCAGTTCTTCCTCCTCTTGCTTCAGCCACTTATTTTTCTTTGAGACAGATTCTCGTTCTGTTGCCCAGGCTGGAGCGCAGTGGCACGACCTCGGCTCACTGCAACCTCTGCCTCCCAGGTTCAAGTGATTCTCTTGCCTCAGCCTCCTGAGCAGCTGGGACTACCAGCGCGTGCCACCAGGCCCAACTAGTTTTTGTATTTTTACTAGAGACGAGGTTTCACCACGTTGGCCAGGATGGTCTCGATCTCCTGACCTCGTGATCCACCAGCCTCGGCCTCCCAAAGTGCTGGGATTACAGGCGTGAGCCACCACATTCGGCCGCTTCAGCCACCGCACCCGGCCACTTCAGCCACTTCTTAGCTAGCTCTATGTTGCTTAAATCTTGCCCATTTATAACTCCCCTCAACCCCAATGCACGATTTAGTATCTGTCATCTCTTTTTTCCTACCACGCTCAACTTAACACTTGCTGTCTCTAATTCTTTCCTTACTTTCCACTCACCAGTTTGGTTTCTGATCCCCAATACTTTACGGAGCTGCTCTGAGGCCAGCAATGGCCTTTAATTGGTAAATCCACCGAGGCTTTTCTGTCCTCATCTGACTTGACCTCTCTGTGGAATTCAGCATTCTAGTCTAGGCTTTATCCCAGAATTATGCCAGACCATCAGAAAGCTGGGTATACTTGGGCCACACGGCCTTATCCCCTACAGAATTGCTTTTATCGAGTTTCACTTTGGCATCATGCCTTAGCTTACACTAAAAGATATGTGGGAGAAATTGCACTGGGAGTTAAATACTTGGAAAAGCTTTTCTTCAAGGAAATTTTTTTCTTTCATTGTGAAACCTATGTAACAGGATCATGTTGCCATTTTTTTAGCTGGCTACAGCTTGATTAATTTGTTGCCTCTCAAACCATGTAATAATAACTTTCTATTATAATTTGTATTTTCTGGTTTATTTATATCACTTATTATCTGTCTTTCCTAAATATTTCTTCAAGTTCTTTCTGGAACAAGATGGGCTATAAACTTGAAAGTGTATATACAATCTATTAAATAAATATAGGAAAATATACATAAACATAAAAAGATACAAGAAAAAGAATAACGTGAACTGAAAATGTGCAGGGTCTATTTGAAGATTATAAAACTCTTCCACTGGCCAGGTGCAGTGACTCACACCTGACTGCTAGGACTTTGGGAGGCTGAGGAGAGTGGATTGCTTGAGCACAGGAGTCTGAGACCAGGCCTGGGCAACACAGTAGGACACCATCTCTACAAAAACTTTAAAAAATTAGTCAGGTGTGATGGTGTATGCCTGTAGTCCCAGCTACCTGGAGGCTAAGCTGGGAGGATCGCCTGAGCCCAGGAGGTTAAGGCTATAGTGAGTAGTGATCATGCCTCTGCACTCTGGCCTGGGCAATAAAGTGAGACATGGTCTAAAAAAAAACTAAGAAAAACAAAACCAAAAAGAAAACAACCCTTCCCCTCCAGCCCCAAACTCCTCCAGGAGGCATTTAAAAAACCTCACTAAGTAGCGACACTATTATCTATATCCATAAAGCTACATAATTCATATAATGTGGTACTGTTACTACTATAGGCAGACAATTTAAACAGAAGAGAGAATCCAGAAACAAAGCCTAGCAAATAAAAAGCTGTCATTTTAAATCAGTAGGGAAAAGAGAATTACTGCATAAAAGGTACCAGAAAAACAGTTAACTATGTAGGAAAAAAACAGAAGTTATCTTTAATCCATTTGGAATGTATCTGTTGTATGAAACAAAGAAGCATTGGCAGGGCCAAGTGTGGTGGCTCACGCCTGTAATCTCAGCACTTCGGGAGGCCAAGGCGGGTGGATAATAAGGTCAGGAGTTCAAGACCAGCCTGGCCAACATGGTGAAACCCCGTCTCCACTAAAAATACAGAAATTAACTGTGCTTAGTGGCGGGCACCTGTAATCCCAACTACTCGGGAGGCTGAGGCAGACAACTGCTTGAACCCAGGAGGTGGAGGTTGTAGTGCGTCAAGATCACGCCACTGCACTTCAGCCTGGGCAACAGAGCGAGACTCTGTATCAAAATAAAAAAAAAAAGCATTAGTGGCCAGGTACAGAGACTTACGCCTGTAATTCAAACACTGAGAGGCCAAGGCCAGCAGATCGCTTGAGCCCAGGAGTTCGAGATTGGCTTGGGAAACATGGAGATACTCCATCAATACTAAAAATACAAAAAGTCAGCTGGGCATGGTGGTGTGCGCCTGGGGTCTCAGCTATTCAGGAGGCTGAGGTGGGAGGATCTCCTGAACCTGGGGAGGTTGAGGCTGCAGTGAGCCATGATTGTGCCATTGTACTCCAGCCTGGGCGGCAGAGTGAGACCCTGTCTCAAAATGAAACAAAACAAACAAAAACACACACAAAACTTTAAAAAGAAAAAGGTGAACAGCTTTCTAAAAATGAGGAAGGCTTTGTGCTTAGAAGCCTAAGTAATAAGAGAAATCAGAGGAAATGATTGAGATTTTAAGCACCATAAAATAAAATTAAAAATTCCAGGCTGGGCACAGTGGCTCACACCTGTAATCCCAGCACTTTGGGAGGCCAAGGTGGGTGGATTCCCTGAGGTCAGGAGTTGAGACCAGTCTGGCCAACACGGTGAAACCCCATCTCTACTAAAAATACAAAAAAATTAGCCAGGTATGGTGGCATGTGCCTGTAATCCCAGCTACTCAGGGAGGCTAAGCCAGGGAAATTGCTTGAACCAGGGAGGTGGAGGTTGCAGTGAGCCGAGATCGTGCCACTGCATTCCAGCCTGGGTGACAGGGCGAGACTCTGTCTCTAAATAAATAAATAAAATAAAATAAAATAAAAATAAAATTATGTATGACAAAAACATGTTGAACAAAAACTAAAAAGAAAATGGCCAACCATGAAAAAAATATCTGCAACATCTATGACAATGGATTAACCTCTTTATCATATGTATAACTGTAAAATTTACAATGAAAAGATGAACACTGAAAGAAAAAGCTGGGCAAAGGACACAAATAGATGACTGAAAATACACAAATGGCAGATGAATAAGAAAAAAACCAAACCTCATTAATAGTAAAAGAAATGCTAAACTAAAATAATGTGACAGCATTTGCCTCTGTTAAACTGCTATGGTTGTTTTGAAAGATACTCCCCAGACTGGGCATGGTGGCTCATGCCTGTAATCCCAGCACTTTGGGAGGCCAAGGCGGGCAGATCACGAGGTCAGGAGATCGAGACCATCCTGACCAACATGGTGAATCTCCGTCTCTACTAAAAATACAAAAATTAGCTGGGCATGGCGGCGTGCACCTATAGACCCAGCTACTCGGGAGGCTGAGGCAGGAGAATTGCTTGAACCCAGGAGGTGGAGGTTGCAGTGAGCCGAAAGTATGCCACTGCACTCCAGCCTGGCTACAGAGAGAGACTCTGTCTCAAAAAAAAAGAAAAGAAAGAGGAAAAGAAAAAAAAAGAAAGATACTCCCCAATGTTGTCCTTGGTGCAGTGAAACTAGCACAATTCTACTGAAGGTAATTGGTGGTGTGAATCGTAGACATCAAAAATAGTGCTTTAATACATAATATGGAGAAAATGTTTGTTCTATATTTAAAAAGGGAGGGCGGACAGGAGAGGCAGAATGGAATCACTGTTAAGAGTCAGAGACGTGCATCCCAATTCTGGTTTTTCTAATTAGCATTGTGACCTGGGGTGAGATATGCTACCTTCTCGCTGCAGTTTTCTTTTCTATAAAATAAGGAAATGGTACCCATTTCACAGGCTATCATAAAAACCCAATGAAACAATACATGCATGGTGCCAACTGCCATCCTCTGTATCCTTATACCGCCAGCCAAGAAGACATTCAACATGGTTAACTCAACAATATATGCTTTTTTGGCTTCTTAGCTTTCTAATTAGATTCCTAGAATCTAATCTTATCTAAACCTTTGATAAATTTTCCCCACAAAAATGACTTCTCTGATAAAGTACTGGATTTCTGTACGATGAAGGTACAATCAGTTGACAGAAGCTGGTGACTGACTAAATCCAGGAATGAAGGAGAAAGAGTAAAAAAGAAACAGAACAAGCCAGACATGGTGGTTTGTACCTATAGTTCCAGCTACTTGAGAAGCTGAAGCAGGAGGATGGCTTGGGCCCAGAAGTTTGAGGTGAGTCAAAGGAAGGGTGGGGGAGGGTGGTAGGAAGAGACAGAACAGCTTTGCAGGCTGGCCAGTCTTGTTCTATCCAGAATATTGACGCCACATTAAACCTTCCTGAAATGAGGCTCAAAAATTCCAAAAATTCATGATTGGTGATGCTGACTGAATCAGGTCCAAATTCTCCATCTTAGCTCCCAGAGCTCTGTACAGTTTGTTCCCATTCCCTTCCACCCACCCAACCTCACCTTTGACTATTTCCTGCTGGGCATCTTCTATATCAGTATCTGATGTCTTGTCCCTTCCCAGCTCAAGTCACCTTCTAAATCAAAGTCATCTCAACCTTGACCAGTACAAACTGACCACAAGTTTTAACTGTAGCATAATGTTCTATGTGTTTTTCCCCCAGTATTAGCTTTTTAAGGGCAGTAACTATGCCTTTTGTTTCTGTAGTCTCTACAGCAATGGATACAAAACAGTGTTAGACAAACAGGAATTCTCACTGACTTTGTCAGATGAAACAGGTATAGATGGTTCCTGCACAGGACAAGAGCAGGAAGGGAACATGGAAAAACAAAACACTGTTTATATGCTAAGTGAAAGCCTAAGTATACGAATTTACCTTTATTGCTCTCTTTGCATCACTATTTTTTTAGTGATGCGAAGTTTTTTTACGCATCACTATTTTTTTAGTGATGCAAAGTTTAGAAACTTTGAAAGACAAAGTTTCATTATGTTGCCCAGGCTGTTCTCGAACCCCTGGGCTCAAGGGATCCTCCCACTTCATCCCCCACAAAATGCTGAGAATATAGGCATGAGCCACTGCAACTAGCCTGTGTCAATTCTTACACCTTTTTTTTTTTTTTTTGAGACAGGGTCCCACCCTGTCGCTCAGGCTGGAGTGCAGTGGCACAATCAAGGCTCACTACAGCCTTGACATCCTGGGTTCAAGTGATCCTCCTACCTCAGCCTCCCAAGTAGCTGGGACTACAAGCATGTGCCACCATACTTGGTTCATTTTATTTTACAGAGATGGGATCTCACTGTATTGCCTAGGCTGGTCTCCTAAGCTCAAGTGGCCTCCCAAAGTGCTGGGATTACAGGCATAAACCACCATGCTCAGCCTGTGTCACTTCTTAATAGAGAAAAATAAAAATTCCCAAAAACACAATTACAGGTTAGATTTTTTAAAATCCTGCCATGTAAAAATGGAAGCTAATTGTGAATACACTAATTTTTGAAGATATTAAGGTTTAGTAATTTATCACCTATGATTATGACTACATAGCAAATATGTCAGACAATTTCCAAAGGAAAACAACCAAAACAACCTTTTATACTCACCACTGCAGAGTTTAGTCAGTTAAGTAGACTGGTTATTATACTAGGAATAATCCATGTGTACTGAGAATAAGACAGTAGAAGAGAATGATTTCCAGCAGTCTATTTTATAACTAAACCCACAACTTTTTAATATACTGCTTACTATCCATTATAAGGGGCAACTGATTGCTAAAAACCCCAACTTATTTCCTGGGGAGATCAGAAGTCTATCTGCATTCTCTTGGTAAGAAATACATTAGCAGCTCTAAGACCCCATGAACTTTCACAAGCCACAGAAATTCTGAAAGTCAACATGAAGGGTACCTAACAAATGGCCTAACAGAGGTTGATACGAACCCTCAGACATCATAAGAAGGCAGAGAACGCACAGCCATAAAAAAGAATGAAATAATGTCCTTTACAGCAACACAGATGCAGCTGGAGGTCATTATCCTAAGCGAATTAAGGCAGGAACAGAAAACCAAGTATCTCATGTTCTCACTTACAAGTGGAAGCTACACACTGGGTACACATGGACATAAACATAACAATAGGCCTTAGGGATTAGGAGGGGGAGGGAGAAAACGGGGTAAGGGCTGCAAAACTAATCATTGGGTACTATGCTCATTACCTGGGTGATGAGCAACAATTGTACCCCCAAACCTCATAATCACACAATATACCCATGTACACAAAAAAACTTGGACATGTACCCCCGAATCTAAAATAAAAGTTGAAATTGTAAAAAATTTTAAGAGAACAGAAGATACCTTGCACCTTTCTCTTTATATGTATAAAATATATATTAAAAACCATATATTAAAATATAAAAAAGATATACAAATATATAAATATAAAATATATATTAAACATTTATACATATATATATAAATTTTTTTTTTCCAGATGGAGTTTCACTCTGTCACCCAGGCTGGAATGCAGTGGCGCGATCTCGGCTCACTGCAACCCCTGCCTCCAGGTTCAACCGATTCTCCTGCCTCAGCCTCCTAAGTAGCTGGGACTACAGGCACATGCCACTGTGCCCCGCTAATTTTTGTATTTTTAGTAGAGACGGGGTTTCACCATGTTGGCCAGGCTGGTCTCAAACTCCTGAGCTCAAGTGAT